>NC_000005.10:163337081-163640111 GCF_000001405.40 Homo sapiens
AGCCTATAAACTCTCCTTACAATTCCCCCATTTTACCTGTCCAAAAACCAGACAAGTCTTACAGGTTAGTTCAGGATCTGCGCTTTATCAACCAAATTGTCTTGCCTATCCACCCCGTGGTGCCAAACTCATATACTCTCCTGTCCTCAATCCCTCCCTCCACAACCCACTATTCTGTTCTGGATCTCAAAGATGCTTTCTTTACTATTCCTTTACACCCTTCATCCCAGCCTTTCTTCGCTTTCACTTGGACTGGCCCTGACACCCACCAGTCTTAGCAGCTTACCTCGGCTTACTATCGCAAGGCTTCATGGACAGCCCCCATTACCTCAGTCAAGCCCTTTCTCATGATTTACTTTCTTTCCAACCATCTACTTCTCACCTTAATGAATATTTTGATAACCTTCTACTTTATACCCCTCCTACAAATCTTCCCAACAGGACACCCTCCTGCTCCTCCAACACCTATTCGCGCATCCCCCTCCAAAGCCCAAATTTCTTCCTCATCCATTATCTATCTCGACATAATTCTTCATGAAAACACATGTGCTCTCCCTGCTGATTGTGTCTGGCTAATCTCGCAAACCCCAACCCCTTCTACAAAGCAACAACTCCTTTCCTTCCTAGGCATGGTTAGGTACTTTTGCCTTTGGATACCTGGTATTGCCATCCTAACTAAACCATTCATTCTCCCCATTTCCCCATATTTCCCTCTTTCCTGTTCCCCACCCAGACCACACTTAGTTTATTGATGACAGTTCTTCCAGGCCCAATCACCAATCACTGGCAAAGGCAGGCTATGTTATAGTGTCTTCCACATCTATCATTGAGGCTACCACTCTGCCCCACTCCACTGCCTCTCAGAAAGCCAAACTCATTGCCTTAACTCGAGCCCTCACTCTTGCAAAAAGACTGCATGTCAATATTTATGCTGATTCTAAATATGCCTTCCATCTCCTGCACCACCATGCTGTTTATATAGACTAAAAGAGGTTTCCTCACTACACAAGGTCCTCCATCATTAATGCCCCCTTAATAAAAAAAACTCTTCTTAAAGCTTCTCTACTCCCAAAAAAGCTAAGGTCATTCACTGCAAATGCCATCAAAAGGCATCAGACCCCACTGCTCAAGGCAACAATTATGCTGATAAGACAGCTAAAGAAGCAGCCAGGATTCCTACTTCTGTCCCTCATGGCCAGTTTTTCTCCTACTCATCAGTCACTCCTATTTACTCTCCCACTGAAGTTTCCACCTATCAGTCCCTCCCCACTCAAGGCAGATGATTTTTAGACCAAAAAAAATCCCCTTCCAGCCTCACAGGCCCATGCTATTCTGTCGTCATTTCATAACCCCTTCCATGTAAGTTACAAGCTGCTAGCCCGCCTCTTAAAACCTCTCATTTCCTTTCCATGGTAAAAATCTATCCTCAAAAAAATCACTTCTCAGTGTTCCATCTGCTATTCTACTACTCCTCAGGGATTTCTCAGGCCCCCTCCCTTCCCTACACATTAAGCTTGAGGAGTTGCCCCTGCCCAGGACTGGCAAATTGACTTTACTCACATGCCCCGAGTCAGGAAACTAAAATACCTCTTGGTCTGGAAAGACACATTCACTGGATAGGTAGAGGCCTTTCCCACAGGGTCTGAGAAGGCCACCATGGTCATTTCTTTCCTTCTGTCAGACATAATTCATCTTCTTGCTCAGCCCCAACCTCGTCCCAGACACCAGCCCTCTAAGCGACTCTCTTCCAGTCCTCCAGCAGGCTAGACAGGAAATTCGCCAAGCTGCTAATCTTTTCTTGCCTACTCCAGATTCCCAGCCATATGAAGACACCCTAGCTGGACAATCAGTTCTTATTAAGAATCTCACACCTCAAACTCTACAGCCTCGATGGACCAGATGCTACTTAGTCATCTATAGTACCCCAAATGCCATCCACCTGCAGGACCCTCCCCATTAGGTTCACAACTCCAGAATAAAGCATGTCCATTGGACAGCCAGCCTGATCTCTCTTCTTCCTCCTGGAAGTCGCAGATACTCTCCCCTACTTCCCCTAAACTCACTCGCATTTCTGAAGAGCAGTAATAACCCTTATGAGCCTAATACATCCCTTCATTCTATTAGGTCTTAGTCCTTACCCTACTTTTTGCAACAGGGCTTTACGCAATCACCCCCACTACTTGGACTGCACACCAAAAAATTTGTCATCCCTCCTATCTTCTGTCTAGTCATACTCCTATTCACCATTCTCAACTAGTCATAAATGCCCTGCCCCTGTTTACGTTGCTGGTTTACACATTTCCTCCAAACCATCGTAGAGGATATCTCCTGGTACTATCCTCAATCCACCACTCTTGACTCCCTCTTGGAGTGGATAGATGATCTTTGCTGACAGGGCACTCTCCAATACTTTGACCCTGATGAAGTCCTATTCTTTTCTTTTATACTCACTCTTATTCTCCACCCTTTACCTCTCCCCGGCTATCTCCACCACACTATCAATCTCACTCACTCTCTCCTAGCCATTTCTAATCCTTCTTTAACAAACAGTTGCTGGCTTTGCATTTCGCTTTCCTCCAAAACCGCTGAGGCCTCGACTTACTCAATGCTGAAAAAGAAAGACTCCGTATATTTTTAAATGAAGAGTGTTGTTTTTACCTAAATCAACCTGGCCTGGTATATGACAACATAAAAAAAAAAAAAAAAAAACTCAAGGATAGAGCCCAAAAACTCACCAACCAAGCAAGTAATTATGCTGAACCCCTTTGGGCACTCTCTAATTGAATGTCCTGGGTCCTCCCAATTCTTAGTCCTTTAATACCTGTTTTTCTCCTTCTCTTATTCGGACCTTGTGTCTTCTGTTTAGTTTCTCAATTCATATAAAACCACATCCAGGCCATCACCAATCATTCTATGACAAATGCTCCTTCTAACAACCCCACAATATCACCCCTTACCCAAAAATCTTTCTTCAGTTTAATCTCTCCCACTCTAGGTTCCCAGGCCACCTCTAATCCCGCTCAAAGCAGCCCTGAGAAACATCACCCATTATCTCTTCATACCACCCCCAAAATTTTTTGCCGCCCCAACACTTCACCACTATTTTGTTTTATTTTTCTTATTAATATAAGAAGACAGGGATGTCAGGCCTCTGAGCCCAAACCCGCACGTACACATCCAGATGGCCTAAGGCAACTGAAGAATCACAAAAGAAGTGAAAATGGTCAGTTCCTGCCTTAACTGATGACATTATCTTGTGAAATTCCTTCTCCTGGACAATGAGTCTCAGAAGCTCCTCTCCGAGCACCTTGTGAACTCCGCCCCTGCCCGCCAGAGAACAACCCCTTTGACTGTAATTTTCCACTACCTACACAAATCCTATAAAACTGCCCCACCCCATCTCCCTTCGCTGACTCTCTTTTCAGACTCAGCCCACCTGCACCCAGGTGATTAAAAAGCTTTATTGCTCACACAAAGCCTGTTGACACATGGACGCGCATGACACATGCCCAGCTGATTTTTGTATTTTTAGTACAGATGGGATTTCACCATATTGGTCAGGCTGGTCTTGAACTTCTGACCTCAGGTGATCCACCCAAAGTGATGGTATTACAGGCATTAGCCACCATGTCCAGCCCAGAGTAAACATTTAATATGTCATTTTATCATTCTCCCATCCCCCCCAAAATAAAAGTAATAAATGAGAAAGTTATACACAAGAGCACAAGTGACCTGTTTAAGACTACAGATAATTAGGAGCAGAAAGGAGAGCAAAACCCACTAGCAGACCTCCCATTTAATGCTGCAGCAAACTCATGGTTCATAAACACCTGGTTGATCTGCTTTTCTGGAAATGAATATACTCACTTAGGTAGATAACAGTAATCATATTCCCATCAAAGTTAACATTAATTATTGTCAATAAATTGGAAAGACAGTTACAATGAATTTATATTAATTCTTTGAGGCATGGAATTATTTTTCCTATCTTCAGGAAAGCTTATATAAATAATTTTTATATAAGGCAGAAAGACAGCTGGCATAAGGGAAATTTGGTAGCTGGGAGAGATGTAATATATTAATAGACAGGTTTTATATAAGGTACTTTTTATATGAGGTACCATACTGGTACATCTTTTAGGAAAAAAAGATTTTAAATTATAAGTTTATATTTTATAGTTATCTTTTATCAGTAAAAGTATACTAATCACAAACATTCCAGATTTGAATTGCTTTTTAATAATTCATACAATGTACAACCCTATCAGACTTCAATGGGTGCATAAAATACTCTAAATTTGAGTTATTTTCTCATATTTTATGTACTAGCTTGTCTTAATCAAATTCATTTATTTTCTGGACCATGTACACCTTTGGGTTCTCCTCAAACCTAGAGTTGTGTCTAGAAAATATTAAGGTATTATCATTAAGCCCACATAAGCAGATGGGAAAGCTTTATCATAGGATGGCATCTATCTATCATTAATTGGTCTTCTGCTATGAGGCTGGTGCTGTACTGAGTGCTTTACACTTAGATAGTAAGAATATAAAGCACTTAGTACTTAGGCTTTATAGTAGCCCTTTGATGTAGGGACTATTACACCCATTTCACAGATGAAGTAACAGAGAAATAAGTAACTCACCTAATCTATTATGTGAAGTCAGGGGTGAAAACCCAGGTCCCTTTGACCCCAAAGACCAAATTATTAACAACCAAATGATATGTGCTCTGTTGGGCCAAGAATCAATGCATATTGCATGTCTCTCATGGCCATTTTGATCATGATAACCTGGACACCGATTGGTTTTTCTGAAGCAACTTGAGACTTAATAGAAGCCTCACCTCTCATCCTAGAGAAGCCACAAACTAGAGGCGATCTAAGTCAAGTAAATTGGTGCCACACTTGTCCATATACCTTGAATTGAACCAGATATGGCATGCAGGAAGTTGAGAAGGGATGCTGTTTACTCTTACTGTCCTCTCTGAATTCATCCACATGAGCTAGGGTGAGCAACTATGCTGTTACACCCAGGATCATCTCAGTTTTACCACTGAAAGTCCTGAATCCAAGGAAACCTGTCTATTGATGTGTTACCTCTCTCCCAGCTACCAAATTTACTTTATGCCAGCTGCCTTTCTGCATCCTAAATGTCGATTTTTTTTAAGGAAACATTAAGACTTTACTATATGATAAGCACCATACTAGGTACAAAGGATATCAAGGCCAAAAACAAAAAAAAATCCAAATTTTCCCACAGGTACTATCTGCCTGCCTGCTATAACATTCTTTCAAACAAATATCCATCCTTTCAAAAACTAGCCAAGATTAAGACCTGCCACCTGCCACTATACTCTATAAATACGAGGTCCCATCTGCCTGGTTCTTCCTCTGGTTGCCCCAGCAACTGCCTTATGTCCAATTGCCATTCCCACATGGTCTAGTCTAGTCACCCACTGGTCAAACTCATCCTACACTGACCATGGTTTCAGTACCCCTTTTTGGGATATATTCATCATTTCTTATTTCAGCATGAAATGTTTTGGATGACTTTAGGTTATGTAATCATTTTCTTTATAACGCTGATGGGTCCTTGATCCTCATTATTCTGAGATGAATTAAATTTTAAAATGGTTTCCCACAAATTGATATAGGCACTGCTTATGAAAGAGAGCAAGAATGTTTGAAAAGAAAAAATGAAAATGGATTCAAAAAAAGAAGCCACATGTCTAACTAGCCCACCTCACTAAGGGAGAAGCTGGAAGTGGCTAAAGGCAAAGAACATGCCTCAGGGCTGTTGAGTTAATGGTGTCAGTGATTTCCCAAACTCTAGACTATGGATCCTCAAGTAAAACACCAGAAGAATAGTTGTCAGATCTCCCTTCTAAAAGACAACTGCGCTTTCTAGAAATCTGGTTTTGCAGCCAAGTGCAGTGTCTCACACTTGTAATCCCAGCACCTTGGGAGGTGAAAGCAGGAGGATCACTTGAGCCCAGGAGTTCGAAACCAGCCTGGGCAATGTGGTGAAATCCTGTCTCTACAAAAGAAAGAAAGCAAAAATTAGCCAGGCGTGGTGGCATGCTCCTGTAATCCCAGCTACTCTAGAGGCTGGAATGGGAGGATGGATTGAGCCCAGGAGGTCAAGGCTACAGTCAGCTGTGATCACACCACTGCATTCCAGCCTGTGTGACAGAACAAGACCCAGTCTCAAAAATAAAAAAGAAATATCATTTATCCTTTCTCAGTATTTTTGTCTATGCTTGTGCAGTTTCTCCTACTTAATGCCACATTCAGGTTGAACATTGAGGCCCTTCTACGTACTTCCTATAACTTCTTTTCATAAAAATATATTGATGGGTCAGGCACGGTGGCTCATGCCTACAATCCCAGCACTTTGGGAGGCCAAGGCAGGTGGATCACCTAAGGTCAGGAGTTCGAGACCAGCCTGGCCAACATGGTGAAACCTCGTCTCTACCAAAAATACAAAAAAATAAAAAAAATTAGCTGGGCATGGTGGTGCACACCTGTAGTCCCAGCTACTCTGGAGGCTGAGGCAGGAGAAGCGCTTGAACCCGGGAGGCAGAGGCTGCAGTGAGCCAAGATGGTGAAACTGTGCTCTAGCCTGTACGATAGAGACTCCATCTCAAAATAATAATAATAATATATTGATGAATATATTAGTACCAATTTGGCCACTTATTACCTCTGCTACCTTGATGAAGTCACAGCATCTTTTGGACCCCACTTTCTATAAAATGAATGGATGGATAATATCCTAATATAATGAGTAACAATTATTGACTGATGTGTCACGAATAGCTAACGGTTTTACATCCTCAATATCCTTTCATCTTCTTTCTAGTAACAGAACCCATCTTATAAATAAGAAAACCATTACGAGTCATCTGCACTGAGTTTGTGCTAGCACAATACCTTTCTCCCCAGCATTTTCTTCCCTTTCCCCCACCAAATAATTCTGATTTTCTTTCTTGAGTACTCATCTTCCCATTCTTAGTCATGTTCCAAGGTGAATGAATGGATTACATTTGGCTTAATACAGTTTCTGTATCCCATCCTCCAGGCCCCAGAGATGGGTTCAAGGGGAGACATGTGACCCAATGCCAGCCAGTCAAAGAGAGAGAGAGTGAATGCCAGAAATGATGTGGGAGCACTAAAAGAGATCTCCTCTGTAAATAGAGATCATATGGTGTAAGCTGTGAAATCATTTTGACCCTGTCAAGGGAGAACCTCAGTAGCCAGGGCCATGTATGGAACCTAACAATGAGGCAATGACATAGGACAAAGAGTGAGGAGACAGGAAGAAATCCGATGTCGCCCAGGCTGGAGTGCAGCGGCGCGATCTCGGCTCACTGCAAGCTCCGCCTCCCTGGTTCGCGCCATTCTCCTGCCTCAGCCTCCCGAATAGCTGGGACTACAGGCGCCTGCCACCACGCCGGCTAATTTTGTTTTTGTATTTTTAGTAGAGACGGGATTTCACCGTGTTAGCCAGGATGGTCTCGATCTCCTGACCTCGTGATCCGCCCACCTCGGCCTCTCAAAGTGCTGGGATTACAGGCATGAGCCACCGCGCCCGGCCGGTGCTACACATTTTTTAAATAGCCAGGTCTCTGGAGAACTCACTCACTATCACAAGGACAGCACCAAGCCTTTCGTGAGGAATCCACCCCCATGCCTCTAACACCTCCCATCCCGCCCTACCTCCAGCACTGGGGATTACATTTCAACATGAGATTTAGGAGGACTAAATACCCAAACTACATCATCTACTAAGGGGTCAAAAACAAACACAACAAAATAAAGAACTACCTTCATTAAAGCCCTCAAACAGTAAGCCCATCTCATTCCATGGTACATTATGAAGTCACATCTTGTCCCATCAGCTTTCCCCTACTTTGTCAAAATAAAAAAAAAACTTCAGTGGATTGAGGGTATGATTGCAGTTTTCTCCTGTACTGCCCACTTATTACTGCCTAGACACTAGACAGCATTTAGAGCTGGCCCTAGTTTCTTCACTCCTTTCAGATGGAGTCATCCCCTGTAGCTCCAAGAGGCAAGAGTAAGGGTTTAGTATAAGCAATCGGACCCAGTCCTGCTCCTCAGGCCATGAAAGTGTGTATATCCAATGGAACTCTTAGAGTACTAGTTTCCTATTGCTGTTATTTTAAAAAAAATTACAAACTCAGCAGCTTAAAATAACACAAATTTATTCTCTTATACTTTGGAGACCAGAGGTCAACACGTGTTTTAAGGAGCTAAAATCAGGATGTTGGCAAGGCTATCCTTACAAAGGCTCCAGAGGCACATCTGTTTCCTGCCTTTTCCAGCTTCTAACAGCTGCAGCATTCCTGAACTCCTGGCAGCATCGCTTCAATATCCACTTCCATGATCACACAGCCTTCTCCTGTCTTTGACCTTCTTGCCTGCCTCTTATAAGGGCCATTAGGGTTATCTTCAAGGTCCACTGAATGATGTAGGATAATTCCAACTTACGACTCTTAACCACATTCTGCAAACTTTCTGCAACATCTGCAACATTTGCGGTACTCATGGGTTCCAGGGACTAGGATGTAGACATCCTTGGAGAACCCTAATTCAGTCTACTATCATGAGGACGGCCAGATTCCCACTGGACACTTGGTTGGAGATGAGTATTTAAAATATAGATCTAAAAATAATAAGCTAGACAGTTTTCTAGGTGGAGGGGAACAGGTATGTTTGAAAAACAGACATGCATTGTCATTTGTAGGAACAAGCAAATTTGCAACACGGTGCAATTAAGCCAAACACAAGAAAACCAGGCCTGAAATCAGGAAAAAAAAAAAAAAATAGGCTATAGTCCTCGTTCTGCCACTAACCAGCTCTGTGAGAGCTTATATGAATTATTCAACCTCTCTAAACCTGCTATACTGTCTATAAAGTGAGAGACTTGCTCTCCTGATAGTGCTATTTTGAATACAGAAATAAAATTCATGTAAAACAACTAAGCCCAATGCTTGGAATATAATAACCTATAAATGTTAACCATTTATATGATAGTAATGATAATAATAATAATAATTTCTGATTGTTCAACTTGTGAAATAAGTAACAATATTGGCCAGGGAGGTTTGAAATTTCTTAGGTTTTTGTTGTTTTGTTTTTAGTTTTGTTTTTAAAGCAAGACTAGAAAACTATTTTTCTCAGAGACTGCCATAATTTTTGGAAGTAAAAGAGATCATTTTTGCCTGAGGTCTATCTCTAGCAAACAAGAAGAAATTATTGATCCCCAACTTGTTATGCAACCCTGCACTCTTCATAGCAGGAGCTTAAAAGGACTAAGATGTGTTTTCCATCCTCAGGAGCCTTGCACTATGGTTAATATTGACGAAGCCAACTTATTTAAAACACAGAGCAAAATGACAGACAAGATCGAGTTGAGTCTAAATTATATAGAATGGTTTATAAGTGCAATAAAATTCCAGGAGAAAAACTGATTCACATGGGCTAAAGGAGTCAGGCAAGAGCACAGGCATAAACTAGAACTTGAAGAATGAATAATATTTAGATATACAGGAAGAGGGTAGTGGGAGCCTTAGAAACTGGGATGGGCAGAGGCAAAGGCTAGTGGCCAAAGACAGTAATCATATTAGCCTGGCACCACGCATGGGTATGTCAGAGACCAAAGAAAGAGACAAGTGCTAGAATTTAAAAGAAAAAAAATAGCATAGCAAAGGTTAAGCATAGATAGAGACTTTTGGAGTCAGAATATTTGGATCTAGATCAAGTTCTCACCCTTTGCTAGCTTTGTGACGTTGGACAATTCATTAAACTTCTCTGATCCTCAGCTTTGTAGCCTATAAAATCAGGTTGATAATGTTTACCTCATTGTATTGCTGTAAAAACCGAAGGACATAATGAATGGGAAGCATTCATTAATATCCCTTGCAGATATTAATAGTGTAATAAATGTCATTTACAGTAGCAGTAGTATTAGTAATAATAGTAGTAGAATAATAATTCCAGATTTTGGAATCATAGATATTCAAATATAAAAAGGGTCATAGAGATTCTTATTCATTCCCTGTAGTTAATAAAGAAGCTGAAGTCCACGCAGACTTTCACCGACACACTCAGAAGCCACTGTTGTTTCCACCACACCTGTCAGATTCAGCATTTCTACTCCAAAATATCTAGTTGTTGGTGCACTTGAATATGCTGAATTCGTGCTGATTTAGGAATCCTTTTTAAAGGACTGCTGAGTTTTAGCTGCCTCTAGTCAGAGAAAGGATATGAGAAAGCCAAATTCTGCAAATAGTTTTCACTCTGCATTAACCATTCCACCAAGAGTAGAAGAAACAAGACAAAGGCCAGTATGGGCTTAAATTCATGTGCCTGGTCTTCCTCCAGCCTACATTTTGTCCAGCCTTTCAGCTTAAAAAAAGAAAAGAAAAGAAAAGAAATCCACTTTGGTCTTCAGGGGTATAAACCAAGTCCATTAAAAAACTCTCATGCATGTTGGGTCTTTTTTTTTTTTTTTTTTTCAGAGCGCTCTGAAATTTCTCAGCCCTGGAAATATATGTAAAAATAATTTCACAAAACACTTAGTGTGATTCCTAATATAAACACTCTGAAATGCAGATTCTTAAATGAGTTGGTGCAGTAAGGGATGAGCAAACCATGTTCTTATACTGCCCCCTTCCGGCAAACGGCTGGAAGAGACAGCCTGCATATTTTGTGTTGAAGAAACTAGTTCAATTTCATTTAAAATAAAACTTCTTTTGTAATCTCTTTGCCCCAGCCCTGCTGATAGGCAGCTGTAGGTAATTTCTCTTGTTGCTTGAAAATGTTGCACAATATGAAAAAAACAATAATGTTAAAGACAAGACATCTTTGGTGCTCTAGAAGGGCAAGAAGTAGGGAAAAATTACTCAGCTGTATTTGTATCAAGCAGGCACATGGAAGCTGGGAAAAAAACAGAACTCCCTCCTTGGTTTTTGAGAATTGATGGTGTGAAATTTCCTCAGATGCCAAAATCAGCTAAAGCACAGGAAGACTATAAATATAAGGTAAACAGAAGGAATACCGATCCTAGCTTTCTTTCTTAGTAAGACAGAAATAAAGAAAGGCCAATTTCTACAATATTGTGGCTAGAGATCAATTTGTGAAATGAATCCTGGCCTCTGAAAGCTCTTCCTTCCTGAAGCATGAAAAAACAAGGCTTAAGAGATTACTTAGGCTGGCATAATCCCTCTTCATGCAGATACAGCCTGTTAGCTATGGTAAGATAGGCTATACTGTAGCAACAACCAGCCATAAAATCTCAGTGGCTTACACCAAGAAAAGTTTATTTCTCACACACATAAAATCACATGACCAGCCGGCGCGGTGGCTCATGCCTGTAATCCCAGCACTTCGGGAGGCTAAGGCGGGTGGATCATGAGGTCAGGAGATCAAGACCATCCTGGCTAACACGGTAAAACCCCGTCTCTACTAAAAATACAAAAAAATTAGCTGGGCGTGGTGGTGGGCGCCTGTAGTCCCAGCTTCTCAGGAGGCTGAGGCAGGAGAATGGCATGAACCCAGGGGGTGGAGCTTACAGTGAGCCAAGATTGCGCCACTGAACTCCAGCCTGGGTGACAGAGCGAGACTCCGTCTCAAAAAAAAAAAAAAAAAAAATCACATGACCAAGGCTCATGATCCTCATCACACTGTATTCTAATTGCCTACCTATTTGTTTCCACAGCAGACCATGATATTCTTTGGGTAGGAACTACGTCTATTCGTTTCTCTGTTGTGTCCCCAATACTTAGCACAACACCAGGCAAATAGAAGCTCAAAGAATATTTGTTCAATAAATGAAAGAATAAAGGATAGATAAAAAAGTGAAGCAAACTAAATACCTCTGGGCATCATTTCCAGGAGCTCTGATTTCTCCCTTTCTAAACTTCAGGTGCAGTCCGCCTAGCAAATGTCCATTTTACACTGGGGTTCATCCCTCTCTTCCCATAGGCTTCTGGCCATGGTGTCATGTCCATGTAACTTGTGTGATCTCTTTAAAGGTCTTCTTAGTGAGCCATTGAAAAACCAATGATGTGAATCAACAATGGTGGTAGGTAAATATTCTTAGCCACCAGGCTTTGTGGTGCTTGCATTAGGGAGAGGGTGATAGACGTAGAATACAGCCCACTGGAGCACTTAGGGATGGCTGCTCGGAGAACCACTTCACAAAATGGTACCAGTGCCAAGCACCAGAAATCAAAATGGAAATGCAAGACCCAGTGAGATCACAGGGGAGAAAGAAAAAGGGAAAACTTTTCCAGTTAGGGTTTAAAAAGAAAAAGAAAGTGGCACCTTAAGATGTGCTTTATATATACAAACATATATATATAAATACCTTACTACTTAATTACTACAACTATGGTAAGCAATCTGAGGGCAAGTAAAAGAAGCCTTGCCCTCAGACAGCTTACCAAAGTAGTAGTAATATGTGTATATATATAAATATATACATTTCCAAAAGTCTTACTAGCATAGTGGGAAGCCCAAAAAGATCCTTTTCCTTTTCCTCTCTCTTTTTTTGTTCTTTCTATGGCTCTCCATTTTCCACCTACCAAATGCTAACCAAATTACACGGTGACCAACTGTTTTGAATCCTCTTCCCTAAAGAGCTTACCATTTCCACCTGTTTTTTACCAAAGATCCTTTTAAACTATATGCTTTGATGGATACTAAGCTGGAAATTTTGGCTCTTTGTAGTCCTGAATCCTACATGCAATTATCAAAGGGCTTATGGATTACTATTTTTCACCTAAAGCAGATGAGGAGATGTGCTGTGGCATCGCAAATGCTAGGACATAAATGTTCTGAACCCTAAACCTTGCAGTTTAGCATTTATTGTACCAAGTACAATACCGAGCTTATCTATGTATACAGTTTTAGAAAAGGAGCAATTCTATGTACTTGGAGATTAAAGATTGGTTTACAATTTGTATTAAAACAAAGAGCTGCTGGTCCCAAATCCTTTCTCCTTCCTGGCCCCAATAAATCTGATTCTTGCCTCCAACAGAGGATGCCTTCCCTGCCCCTACCCTGTGGTTAGAGAGAGAACTGCACTGTCATGGGGCTTATATTTGCCTGACCTTTTGCATACTCATATTAGGCAATGATGACTATTTCAGGACTGCAGAATACTAAGTGAAGAACAGATAGATTATATAGTGTGCCTCCTAAGTGGCCTGTTGCTATGGTTTCCCACTGAAAGAACAGAATTCTCGCCATTAGGTTATCTGAAATCTGCAGGACTGCACCAAAATGTTTCTGCAGAGAAGAGGACTGTCCGTTAAACACAGCTCCATCTGATCAAATCCAGTCTCAGATCAGCAGGGAGCATAATAATGGAAGCATGACTTCAGCAGTAGGATTTGCAGGACATTTGTGGGACTGAAACTGAGGCATTGCCCTCTGTTG
The DNA here is from genome assembly GCF_000001405.40 of Homo sapiens. Taxonomy (NCBI): domain Eukaryota; kingdom Metazoa; phylum Chordata; class Mammalia; order Primates; family Hominidae; genus Homo; species Homo sapiens. The sequence continues at coordinate 163,350,548 of NC_000005.10, forward strand.
ATGAGTGACCTTTCCTATATTTGTTATCTATGTCCTCTATGCCAAAAAGTTATTGAATCTGAACCACCTGGGCATGAAAATGGGAACACAATGCTCCTGTACTTAAAACCCTCCAAAGGCTTTCCATTGCTCTTAAGATAAAAATCCAGATCCTCTTGAGTGCCTTGCAGTTCTCTGCATGGTCAGACCCCAACTGCTTCTTTATCCTCACCTCACCCCACTCCATTTATGCCTTCTGACAGGACTCTCCATTTTCGTTTTATAGCACTTATCAACATTAGAAATTAACTGTAGGTTTTTGTGCTTCTTTAATATATATCTACCCCATTAAAATAGAACTTTAAAGTCATGGGCTATGTCTTTGTTATCTTTGTTATATCCCCAACACCTACTATAAAACTTGGCACATTCTATCCTCATTTAATTAGCAATTAGAGGACTGAATGTCTACTTATTCATTGAACAAGTAATAAACTGAAAAAAAAATTTAAAAGAAGATTTGCCCTCAGATTGCTTATGAATACAGTACAAGGAAATATGTCTGGGTAAACAAATAGCTATATACCAATGAAACAGCAATTTCTTGTTATCTCCTGGAGACCTGGTGCTGACCATGATGGGTAAGTAATGCCCATGCCTTTAACACAGGTGTGCTAGACACATGTCTGAAGGACATGCTAAAAGGTAACTCAACCAGTCTAGTAGTAACTCTTAGCTCATCAAAAACCTTCAACCACAATAAAAGAAGCCCAGAGATTCTATAAGGGAGACAGAAAATACTTTGAAGGGTATTTATAGGGATAGAGTGACATTTATCCCCTCTCTCTCCTCAAGCCACCTGAAAGGTTGGCAAGAGAATTCCTTAGGGAGATGGGAGAAGAGAAACCCAGAGTGTGTGGAGAGAAGAGGAGGTAGGTACTCACATAGAAATGTAGCTGGACCAGAGTCCTCTTAAAAAGACTCTTGCTCTAGGATGAAGGGAAGCCAGCAGTGTACTGCCAATAGGCGGGAGCTAAGGGAAAGTCAAGAGCCTAAGAGGGCAGAATGTGCTCCTTATTGGGTACTCAAAGAGTTCCTATAAGTGCCCCATGTGAGGAAGAGCCAAAAGATTGCCTTGTCATGAAAGAAACCACTGGCAATCAAATAAACCAGCATCAGGCAAATAATACTTGCCCTTTCTTGGTAAATTTAGCACACATACTTGCTATACGCATATACATGCTCTCTCTCACATGCTCTTTCTCATTCTCTCTCTCTCTTTCTGTCTCTCTCTCTCACACACATGCTCAATGTTTTACTCTAAAGGAGCCAGAACACAGATGAATTGGGGAGAAGAGGCGGAGAAGGCAGAGCAGAGAATGAGTCCATGACCCTTCCCCGCTGGTGGACTTAGGAATCAGTGGCAGGCCTAGGAGGAAGGTTGGCCAGACAGAAACGTTGACTTGAATGAGAGATTAGAGTTTTGATCAAGGTTGAACTGAAATTCTTAACACCTGATGATGAGACTGTACTAATACCTGAAGGCATATAAGATTGCCTAAGAAATCTTTTGCCATAGGGAGGGAGAACCCAGAGAATGTAGGTGAAGGTAGTGCTTAGAAAATAATGAAGCTACAGAGACAGAAACTAGACAAGTGATTGCCTGGAGCCAGAGTGTAGGAGAGAGGGTCGGGGGAGGACAGAAATGAGAAATGAGTACTCATGGTTATTGAGTTCCTTTTCCAGCTAATGAAAATGTTCTAAAATTGATTGTGGTGATAGTTGTACAATTCTGTGAACATACTAAGCACCACAGAATTGTACACTGTAAATGGGTGAATTGTATGATACCTGACTTGTATTTCAATAAAGCTGTTTTAAAAAATAATAATGAAGCTGACTCCTGATTGCACCTTCTCACATCCAGTCTGTACAATAAACTAACTTCATAAAATAGAAAATAATAAGTTTAATGAGAAGAGTAAAAGTAAAGTACAATAGGATTTCCAAGTTGAGGTAATCAGCTCAAAACCTTTTCTGCTTAGGAAATTATTTGATTTACCAACCAATGTTCTAGGAATATTTGGAATAATAGAATCATGCTTGTACTTATTAAATATGCAAGATGCATTCCTATTTTTCTCCTCCTTTAGCAAAACTTATTCATGAAAAAGATAAATTTCTCATCAACTCCCAGGAGAATTGTGTATCCTGCAACCGTAGATAATTCAATAAGTCTTGTGACTATAAAAGGATGATATCTTATATCTGAATATATTATTGCATGCAAAGAACTTTTCAAGGACAAATGTTTCTCATTCAGTCATAACCACACTGAATGATTGGTAGAGGAATTATATCTGCATTTTACACACAAGGAATGTTAAGACTAAAACAGGAGTCTGCAAATTATGGCCCACTGGCCAAATTTACTCTGTCACCTGTATTTGCGTAGCCCATGAGATAAGAATAATTTTTACAAGTTTAAGTCATTGAAAAAAAATCAAAAGAAACATATCTCATGAATACTGAAAATAACATGAAATTCAAATTTCAGTATTCATAAACTTTTATCAAAACAAAGCAAATGCTCATTTATTCACATATTGTGTCACGCTTTCATGCTGCAATGACAGAGATGAGTCTTTGTATGACAGAGATTGTATAGCTGGCAATGCCTAAAATATTTAGTATTTGTCTTTTAAGAAAAAGTTTGCTGACTTCTTCTCTAAAAGGTTGAATGACCTCTCATTTCACATGCTTAGTTAGCTGTAGAAAGAGACATAAGATCACTAATTAAGGTCATAAATCATAATATCCTGTTCCCTATACAATAACATTTGTAGTATTTATATGTTCATTTCCCTCTTCTGTTGGGCCACCAAACTTTCTTTTGGAAATGAAATCTTACAAAACTATTATTATTATCACTATCATTATTATTAATATTATTATTAAGACAGAGTCTCACTCTGTCACCCAGGCTGGAGTGCAGTGCCGCAATCTCGGCTCACTGCAACTTCCATCTCCCAGGTTCAAGAGATTCTCCTGCCGCAGCCTCCCGAGTAGATGGGATTACAGGCACCTGTCCCCATGCCCGGCTAATTTTTGTATTTTTAGTAGAGATGGGGTTTCATCATGTTGGCCAGGCTGGTCTCAAGCTCCTGGCCTCAAGTGATCCGACTGCCTCGGTTTCCCACAGTGCTGGGATTACAGACGTGAGCCACCGCACCTGGCCCAAAACTATTATTGTGCTTAGAAGGCCCTTCCCCCATTTCTGACTTCCTTAACTCTTAAAAATCCCCTATGTCTCAAATTATAATATCACATCCTCAGATATCCATCATGTTAATCTAAAATAAGTTCTGTAGTCATCCAACAGTTTTTTTTCTGCCTGCTGCACAGACAAAAACCAATTCACTGAGACCACAATATTGCAGTAAAGAAAAAATATAACTAATGTGAGGCCGGCCACTTGGGAGCTCCGGATTTCTCATGCAAATCAGTCTCATGGAGGCTCAGAGGTTAGGGTTTTTCTTTTTTTTTTTGAGACAGAGTCTCGCTCTGTTGCCCAGGCTGGAGTGCAATGGCACGATCTCGGCTCACTGCAACCTCTGCCCCTCCAGGTTTAAGCAATTCTCTGCCTCAGCCTCCAGAGTAGATAGGATTACAGGCGCATGCCACCACACCCGGCTAATTTTCTGTATTTTTAGTAGAGATGGGATCTCACCATCTTGGCCAGGCTGGTCTTGAACTTCTGACCTCGTGATCCACCCACCTAGGCCTCCCAAAGTGCTGGGATTACAGGCATGAGCCACCGCACCCGGCCTAGGGTTTTTCAAGAATAGTTTGCTGGGCAGTGTGCTAGGGAATGGGAAATGTTGATTAGTTGGGGATGAAATCGTAGGGGTATGGAAAGCAGTTCTTGTGCCCTGAGCCAGCCTCTGGGTGGGAGTCACAAGACTGGTTGAGTCATGAGTCGTGGGACCGAGTAGAGTTAGTTGGTCATCAAAAAGCCAAAAGTCTGAAAACCATCTCAAAAGGCCAACCTTAGGTTCTATAATAGTGATGTTATCCATATGAACAATTATAAATTTTGTGACCCTGGAACAAGGCCAGTTATCACTTAACCATGCCTACATCTTAGCAGAATTCAGCCCCCTCTCATATTCCTAACCTTGTGGGCTTTCATTAGTTTTTACAAAGGTTGTTTAGTTTGGGGAAGGGTTATTATCATTCTTGCCTTAAGGGTAAACTATAAAGTAAATTCTTCCCTAAGTTAGGTTGGCCTATAGCCAGGAATGACCAAGGACAGCTTGGAGGTTAGAAGCAAGATACAGTCAACTATGTCAGATTCTCTTACTGTCATAATTTTGCAAAGGCAGTTTCAGTTCCACTTTATACTCTCTGACAGGATCCTGCAGTCAACTATAGAGTGCTATGAACCAGGAAGAACCTTAACAACCATATAATTCAGAAGTCAGCGAACTTTTTCTGTAAGGGCCAAATAATATTTTAGCTTTGCAGGCCATACTGTCTCTGCAATAACTACTCAATTCTGCCATCATAGCACAAAAGCAACAATAGATAATACCTAAAGGAATGTCATTCCAATAAACCGTTATTTAGAAAAACAGACAGATGGCTGGATTTGGCCCATGAACTGTAGTTTGCCAACCCCTGATACAGTCTATACCTTTATCTTACATGTTGTGAAGCTGAGTATGAAGAGAGTACAATAGCATGAATGTTTATGTCCCCTCAAATTCATATGTTAAAATCCTAACCCCCAATGTAACAATATTAGGATGTGGAACCTTGGAAGGTAATTAGGTCATGTGTGTGGAATCTTCACTATTGGGATTAGTACCCTTATAAAAGGGACCATAGAGAGATCCCCACATACCTTTCCACCATGTGACCTCACTGTGAAAGGACAGCTATCTATGAGGAAGGAGGTCCTCACCAGACACTGAATCTGCTGGCTCCTTGGTCTGGAACTTCCCAACCTCCAGAATGGTAAAAAATAAGTTTTTGTTGTTGACAAACCACTCAGTCTATGGTATTTTGTTATACAGACCAAATAGACTAAGACAAGGAAAGTGACTTGAGAATTAGAATCCATCTTCCTGACCCAAAGCCTAGTCCAAGGTGTTGCAACTGAGAGGTGACAGCGTGCTGGCAGCCCTCGCAGCCCTCGCTCGCTCTCCACGCCTCCACTGCCTGGGTGCCCACTCTGGCTACACTTGAGGAGCCCTTCAGCCCACGGCTGCACTGTGGGAGCCCCTTCCTGGGCTGGCTGAGGCTGGAGCCAGCTCCCTCAGTTTGCGGGGAGGTGTGGAGAGAGAGGCGCGGGCGGGAACCGGTGCTTGTGGGCCAGTGCGAGCTCTGGGTGGGCGTGGACTCGGCAGGCCCCGCACTCGGAGCAGCCAGCTGGCCCCGCCGGCCCCGGGCAGTGAGGGGCTTAGCACCTGGGCCAGCAGCTGCTGTGCTTGACTTCTCCCCGGGCCTTAGCTGCCTCTCCGCGGGGCAGGGCTTGGGACCTGCAGCCTGCCATGCCTGAGCCTCCCCCCAACCTGTGGGCTCCTGCGCAGCCCGAGCCTCCCCAACAAGTGCCACCCCCTGCTTCACGGCACCCAGTCCCATCGACCACCCAAGGGCTGAGGAGTGTGGGCGCATGGCATGGGACTGGCAGGCAGCTCCACCTGCAGCCCCCATGCAGGATCCACTGGGTGAAGCCAGCTGGGCTCCTGAGTCTGGTGGGGACTTCGAGAATCTTTATGTCTAGCTAAGGGATTGTAAATACACCAATCGGCACTCTGTATCTAGCTCAAGGTTTGTAAACACACCAGTCAGCACCCCGTGTCTAGCTCAGGGTTTGTGAATGCACCAATCGACACTCTGTAGCTAGCTACTCTGGTGGGGACTTGGAGAACCTTTGTGTCCACACTCTGTATCTAGCTAATCTAGTGGGGATGTGGAGAACTTTTGTGTCTAGCTCAGGGATTGTAAATGCACCAATCAGCACCCTGTCAAAATAGACCAATCAGCTCTCTGTAAAACAGACCAATCGGCTCTCTGTAAAATGGACCAATCAGCAGGATGTGGGTGGAGCCAGATAAGGGAATAAAAGCAGGCTGCCCGAGCCACCGTGGCAACCCGCTTGGGTCCCCTTCCACAGTGTGGAAGCTTTGTTCTTTCACTCTTTGCAATAAATCTTGCTACTGCTCACTGTTTGGGTCCACACTGCTTTTATGAGCTGTCACACTCACTGCGAAGGTCTGCAGCTTCACTCCTGAGCCAGCGAGACCACGAACCCACCAGAAGGAAGAAACTCTGAACACATCCGAACATCAGAAGGAACAAACTCCGGACAAGCCGCCTTTAAGAACTGTAACACTCACCGTGAGGGTCCGTGGCTTCATTCTTGAAGTCAGTAAGACCAAGAACCCACCAATTCCAGACACACTACAACCTGACATTGTCCTTAAAAAAAGCTTAGACTGACGAATCTAAGATACTCAAAAACCCAAAGAAATTAATGGAGCCTCTAAATCTTTGGAAATTAGAGGGGGATATAATTTCATTTCTTTTTTTGAAACATGCAGGAATAGGTACGAACAAATACTGCTTTTACAAAGCCAATCTTCCTTGCAAATAGCACGAATGTTACTATCTTGAGCATAGCTTTCCTATGAAACTGAACACAGGGATAAATATTGAAAAGAGCTTGCCTTCTCCAAGAAATTTTTGTGGTACACAGGATTTTGAAGACAAATGTATTTTAAAATACCAGATCAATTAAAAATACAATCAGTTGCATTTGTTGAGCACCCACCATGTCAAAGCACAATGCCTAAAACTTCTTCATACCTAAAAAGACTGTCTGACCCTCAACAAGTAAAATTCACCACTTGTTCCTACAATTCCATTCCCTTTTCATCACATTAAAGATAACTTTATTGCAAGGTGTTATAGGTTGAATTGTGTCCCCCTAAAATTAAAATGTTGAGGTTCTAAACTCCAGTCCTTGAGAATGTGACCTTTCTTGGAAATAGAATAGTTGTGTATGTAATTAGTTAAGATAGTCATTATGGCAGGTCCTAATGCAATATTACTAGTCTCTTTTGAAAGGAGAGCATTTAGACAGAGACAGGCACACAGAAAGAATGCCATGTGAAGATGAAGTTTGAGACACAGGTGATGCTTCTCCAACCACAGAATACCAAAGATGGCCGGAAAACCACAAGAAGCTGGGAAACACAAATTAAATGGATTCTATTTAAGAGCCCTCAGAAAGAACCAACCCTGACAACACCCTGATCTCAGACTTCTAGTTTCAAAACTGTGAGACAACACATTTCTGTTGGTTAAGCCACCCAGTTTTCAGTACCTTGTTACAACAGCCCTAGAAAATTGATACAAAAAGGTTTACACGTCTTTATCTAGCCCCTAGAATAGAGGTCCCCAACCCCCAGGTCATGGCCTGTTAGGAACCTGGCCACACAGCAAGAGGTGAGCAGTGGGTGAGCGAGCAAAGCTTCATCTGTATTTATAGCCACTGCCCATTGCTTACATTACCACCGGAGTGCCACTTCTTCTCAGATCAGCGGTGGCATCAGAGTCTGATAGGAGCGTGAACCCTATGGCGAACTGCACATGCAAGGGATCTATTTTGCATGCTCCTTATAAGAATCGAATCCCTGATGATCTGTCACTGCCTCCTGTCACCTCTAAATGGGACTGTCCAGTTGCAAGAAAATAAGCTCAGGGCTCCCACTGATTCTACATTATGGTGAGTTGTGTAATTATTTCATTATATGCTACAATGTAATAATAGAGATAAAGTGCACGATAAACGCAATGTGCTTGAATTATCCCGAAAATATCCCCCACTGTCACCTTGTCCATGGAAAAATTATCTTCCATGAAACCAGTCCCTGGAGCCAAAAACGCTAGAGAACGCTGCCCTAGAATATAAGTGCTTTAGAACAGATATGTTCTTTTTATGTATTCATCCATTTGTTCCAAAACACTTTTTACTAAATGCCTTATGTCCCAGAACTTATCATAAAACCTGACTTACTGCAGACATTTGATAAATGTTTGACGGATAAATGAACAAAGGTAGATGATAAGGTTTGGCTGTGTCTCCACCCAAATCGCATCTTGAATTGTAGTTCCCACAATCCCCATGTGTTCTGGGAGTGACCTGGTGGAAGGTAATTGAATCATAGGGGCAGTTACCTTCATATTGTTCTTGTGACAGTGAGAGAGTTCTCACGAGCTCTGATGGTTTTATAAGTGGCTTCCCCCCTCCCCCACTTTTGCTTGACACTTCTTCTTGCTACCACCATATCAAGAAGGACATGTTTGCTTCTCCTTCTGCCATAATTGTAAGTTTCCTGAGGCCTCCCCAACCATGCTGAACTGTGAGTCAATTAAATAGCTTTCCTTTATAAATTACCTGGTCCCTGTCCTTTTAGCAGCATGAGAGCAAAGTAATACAGTATACCGGTACCAGGAGTGGGGCACTGCTGTAAAGATACCTGAAAATGTGTAAGTGACTTAAGAACTGGGTAATAGGCAGAGGCTCGAACAGTTTGGAGGGCTCAGAAGAAGACAGGAAAATGTGGGAAAGTTTGCAACTTCCTAGAGATTTGGAGGGCTCAGAAGACAGGAAGATGTGGGAAAGTTTGGAACTTAGATTGGGAAAGTTTGGAACTTCGTAAAGACTTGTTTAATGGCTTTGACCAAAATGCTGATAGTGATAATGGACAATGACATCCAGGCTAAGGTAGTCTCAGATGGAGATGAGGAACTTGTTGGGAACTGGAGTGAAGGTTACTCTTTCTATGCAAAAAGACTGGTGGCATATTGCACCTGCCCCAGAGATCTGTGGAACTTTGAACTTGAGAGAGAAGATTTAGGTTATCTGGTGGAAGAAATTTCTAAGTGGAAAGCATTAAAGAGGAAGCAGAGCATAAAAATTTGGAAAATTTGGAGCCTGATGATGCAAAAGAAAAGAAAAGCCAATTTTCTGGGGAGAAATTCAGGCTTGCTGCAGAAATTTCCATAAGTAACAAGGAGCTGAATGTTAATAACCAAGAAAATGGGGAACATGTCTCCAGGACATGTAACAGACCTTCATGACAGCTCCTCCCATCACAGACCTGGAGGCCTAGGAAGGATAGTGGTCTCCTGGGCTGGATTCAGAGCCCTCCTTGCTGTGTGCAGCCTTGCAACTTGGTGCCCTACACCCTAGCCACTCCAGCCATGGCTAAAAGGAGCCAATGTATAGCTCAGGTCATTGCTTCAGAGGGTGCAAGCCCCAAGCCTTGGCAGCTTCCACATGGTGTTGGGCCTGCAGGTGTGCAGAAGTCAAGAAGTGAGATTTGGGAACCTCTGCCTAGATTTCAGAGGATGTATGGAAACACCTGGATGTCCAGTCAAAAGATTGCTGCAGGGGTGGAGCCTCATGGAGAACCTCTGCTAGAGCAGTGCAGAAAGAAAATGTGGAGTTGAGACCCCACACAGAGTTCCTACTGGGACACTGCCTAGTGGAGCTGTGAGAAGAGGACTGCCATCCTCTAGACCCCAGAATGGTACATCCACCAAAAGTTTGCACCACGTGCCTGGAAAAGCCACAGGCACTCAACATCAGCCCATGAAAGCAGCCAGGATGGGGACTGTACCCTGCAAAGCCAAAGAGCAGAGCTGCCCAAGGCCATGGGAGGCTAGTTCATGCATCAGCGTGACCTGGATGTGAGACATGGAGTCAAAGGAGATCACTTTGGAACTTTAAGGCATAATGACTGCCGCAGTAGATTTCATACTTGCATGGGGCTTGTAGCACCTTTGTTTTGGCCAATTTCTCCCATTTGGAACAGGTGTATTTACCCAGTGTCTGCACCCCCATTGTATCTAGGAAGTAACTAACTTGCTTTTGATTTTACAGACTCATAGGTGGAAGGGACTTGCCTTGTCTCAGATGAGACTTTGGACTTGGACATTTGAGTTAATGCTGGAATTAGTTAAGACTATGGGGGACTGTTGGGTAGGCATGATTGTGTTTTGAAATTTTTGAAATTTCGGAGGGGCCAGGGGGTAGAATGATATGGTTTGGCTGTGTCCCCAGCCAAATCTCATCTTGTAATTCCCATAATCTCCACATGTCATAGGAGGGACCTGGTGGGAGGCAATTGAATCATGGGGACAGTTACCTCCATGCTGCTCTCATAAGATCTGATAGTGAGTGAGTTCTCACAAGATCTGATGGTTTTATAACGGATTTTTTCCCCTTTTGCTCGGCACTTCTCCTTGCTGCTGCTTGGCACGGAAGGACATGTTTGCTTCCCTTTCTGCAATGATTGTAAGTTTCCTGAGTTCTCCCCAGCCATACTGAACTGTGAGTCAATTAAACCTGTTTCCTTTATAAATTACCCAGTCTCATGTATGTCCTTATAGCAGCATAAAAAGGAACTAATACAGTAGACAAAAAGGAAGGGAGAAATGGAAGAAGGAAAAAATACAAGTGAATGTACTCAGAGTTCTTTTCTTGAAAGTGCTCAAAGTAGTGTTAGCGAGACAAAACTTACACATGTGAAAATGTCTTATATTACAAAGCAGTATAGAATAAATGGCCCAGATATTGAGTACCATCTGAACTCAGGAGACATCATAGGTAAAGTCAGATGTGAGGTGTGTATTAGAGTTTTTGTTTGTTTTTGTTTTGGGGTGTTTTACTTAGCAGCATTAATCAAATTTGAATTTGATGAAGAGACTCATCACATATGCATAAAAATCACTGTTTTTTAAAAAGCACATTGATCTTCTTATAAAACAAGAAATGCTTAAGTAATGCATATAACCATTATCTAGTCATTGTTAGTTCCAGGATTTTTTAATGTTAGGTTTTCTTAATTCATGGCATATTTTTGTTTGAAGCAGCAAAATTCCAAAGTAGGATTTTGCTTAGGCCAGTGGTTTTCAAATTTTAGAGTGCCCAAGAATTACATGGAGAAATATGAAGCATGATGGAAGTCCTGGGCCCCACACTAGTCCATCTCAACTAGCATCTCTAGGGCAGAACCAAAGAATTTGCCTCTTAAATATTCATCCCTCATGTAATTTCTCTACAAGTGGTGTGTGGAGAACATGGCCTTAGGCCTTTGTTGTCATGAAAACTGAACTTCTGTTTAATGGTAAAGACATTATAATTTTATTTAAAAATACTTTGCCAGGAGCAGTGGCTCACGCCTGTAAACCCAGCACTTTGGGATGCCCAGGTGGGCAGATGGCATGAGCTCAGGAGTTTGAGACCACCCAGGACAACATGGTAAAACCCTGTCTCTACAAAAAATACAAAAACTAGCTTGGCATGGTGGCAGTCACCCGTACTCCCAGCTACTTGGAGGGATGAGGTAGGAGGATTGCTTGGGCCTAAGAGGTTGAGGCTGCAGTGAGTCAAAGTTGTACCACTGCACTCCAGCCTGGGCAACAGAGTGAGACCCTGTATCCACAAAACAAACAAACAAACAAACAAACCTCTATAGTAGAGAGTAAATAAATGTAAATATCTCAAAAACCATTGATTGTGGTTTGGGATTTTTTGTTTTTGTTTTCATTCTGAGTTTGGGTTCATTTTTTTGTTTTGGGGGGTTTTTTGCTGAATTTTTTCCAAGTCTGTATTTTTCCAGTATCTTCCAGATACTAATCACCTTCCAAGATTGCAAGTTTTTTGTCTTCAACTGACAATTAATTCATTAATTTAAGGGAGAACTATGGCTTGGTTAATATCATCTGCCTTTTTTTTTTTTTTAGATTTCTCAATGCATTAACTATGCCTCTAAAAATTAGAGAGCTTAAACATACACCAACTATTCTATGAAGTTGCAGAAAGGTTGAATGTTGTTTTGTTTTGAAGCCAATTTTATAATCTTGAAAAATCAAACTACTACTTCTTAAATACACATAGTATCATAAATTCAAAACGTCTCCCTGATCTGTATTTGGTACCCCAAGTTGATGACAGGGTCCACTGACCATTATTATCAATAAGTGTGTGCCAGCCATCAACAGACAGCACAGTATTTAAAAACCTTAAAAATTTTCATTCTTCCTACTCTCTGAGAAAATGTTTCCTATAGAAGGACATTTACAATCATCAGGCTAGCAAGTCTTGATCACTGGACTGAACTATTAGCATATATAAAGTCAAATATGCCTTTGCAGATGCTCATAAACAAAATATCCATTCCTTTGCCCTCCCCGCTAAGAAACACCATTTTTATATTGTTACGTGAAAAGATTTGGAGCCATGCTGATAAAAGCTAATTAACTGAGCAGTTACTATTTACCAGGCACTATGATAAGCACTTCAAATTCAAATATCAATTTATCATCATGACAGCCTGTGATAGCGGTTTCATTATCATTCTCATTTTACAATTTAGAAAACTGGTGATTAATGATTAACTGGCTGAGATCTAACAGTTATTAAGTAACAGAGATGAGGTTTGAATTTGTGGTCATCTGACTTCAACTCCTGTGCTACAAGTTTTCCTCCAAATTATCAGATTCTGGTGAAGTACAATGAGAACTGGGCTGAGATCCAAGAGATAAAAATGTTCTTCTCTCAGCTGTGATACAAAGTAACTGGGTAGTTTTGACCATGATATTTACCCTCTTTGGGTTTCCGTTTCCTCTTCTATAAAGAGTGGTAATTGGACTACTAGATGAATAATAAAATTGCTTCCAACACTAATATACCATGATTTAAGAGCAGCCACTTTGCACAAAAAGAGGAATAGAAAGACAATGGGAGCCATCTGGATGTGAAAATGATGAATGGCAAAAGCTTTTGGAGGGGATAGTCTCAGATTAGCATTCAGTGCCTTGGGGCCCACACACCACATTGCCAGTCTCCTGCAAATTGCCTGCAGCTGCACTGACCTAGCCTCTTAGACTGCAGAACCCTTGACAAAGTGTTCAAGGTATTTAGCCTTGGGTTTCCCTAAGAACCCATCTAACCCATAAAAATTAGAGGTCTTGTAATTTTGCCAATTTTGCTGTTAGAAGCGTAACAAAGCTTTTTTGTCTGAACTAAATTATCCCTTCATTCCAGATAGCAAGAATGCCTTTGCAAATTCTTTCTAGAGTAGCTGATAGTAGAGGATTTTCACATCAGTGAAAAAATGAAAACCATCTAAAGAAACAATCATAATGATATCATGATGGAAGAAAAGCTGTGTTAATCTCAGAAGCTATGTGTCTGTATCCACTTTTATAGGGTCATGCCTCAAAAATTCACCTCAATCCATAATGCCCAAGATTTCTACAGAATTTTAGGGATTTATATTCTCATTATTACTACTTCCTCTTATTTAGAAATCCTTCTTAAGTCTCAGTCTCACTCATGCTAGCCTCCCATTATGTTCTTTCTACCCTGCATGAACCCAAACATCTTCCAAATTATGATTCCCACAGGGCAGCGCTGGTGATGACAAAAGAGGATCTCTTCATAGCATACAGAGCAAACAGTCCTAAATCTAATATTACAAATCTCTGTTCTTAAAAATTTCAAAGCCATCTTTGCCATTGGGAATTTTTCAATGGCTATATTTTGTCTTGAAGTCCTGGCATCTCTCATCAGGTTGCCTGGCCCTCTCTTCATCTCCCTGGACCCTTGGGATACTCTCTCAAAGTCATATATCCCAAATGTTTTTATGCAGAAATGCTGGCTACTTCTCTTGCATTATCCTTCCAGACCATGTCTAGTGCCTATTTCTTCATACCCAAAAAGAACTCTACTACTGGCATGCCAATTTATAGTAAATTACTTTCAACTACATTGTCTGCTACCCAATCTTTGTACAATTATGTTATTGGAATATAAGTGGGAACTTTATGGCCCAGTCTCACCACAGTGTATTATTCAAACAAACAAAAAGCAATTCTGATTCTGACTCTTCAAGTTAACTGAGAGATTTGATTTAAAACAAAGTAATACTTTACTGCTTCACACTGATAGTGGCAGGAGGCAGACAAATGCCTAGGCAGATAGGGGTGGGTCCTTGGTGAAACCCCACCTTCAAACCAAAGACAGTTTAAAGTCTGAAAGCCAAGCTACAAGTCTTGAATAAATCCATGGACCAGATTAAGAGCCTCTCTTCCCATCTGGCATGCTTTCCTATCATTGATCCCTACCCCTTCACCTATTTACATATACTTACCCTTCCCTAATTGTTTTTTAACACTGTTATGTCCATCTTTGAGTGGTGGCTTTGTTTTAGCCTTTTTTGCATACTCACAAACCAATCAGCACGCACTCACCCATTCTGAGCCAATAAAAGCCCTGGGCTCAGCCACACTTAGAGACTGCTCACCTTTGGGCACCTGACTTCAGAGAGGAGGCTGCCCTCTTGGATCCCCTCCCCACTGAGAGCTGTCACTCAATAAAACTCCCTTCATACTTCAGTTGTCAGTGTACCCTAATTATTCTTGGATGTGGGACAAGAACTCGGGACCTGCTGAATGTGGGTACAAAGAAAGACTGGAACACTGTAGCCCTCTGCCCTTCACTGGCAGAGGGCAGCTGCCCCACATGATGGGAAGCAGCACTGAGGTGGAAGCAGCAGCAGGGCCAGTCCCCAGAGCCACAGGCCGGAGTGGGACAATGGGACTAAAAGAGCTTGGCATGCTGTAACAACCCCTATAGGGATTTGGGGTCACTGGCATCCCTGTTCAGGTGCCACTGTGTTCTCCTCATCCAGACACCACTGCCCAAGGCAAAAACAGGTCATGTACACCCAGCCCAACTGCAGGTTGAGTGTAGATCCTGCAGCAAGCATTAGATATGGGCAGGAGCGCAAGCCAAGTGCTTCCTGCTGGGCCAAGTAGGTGGGATACCTCCTGCGGCAAGCCCGGGCCAGAGCAAGGCCTGGGCAGGGGTGTCACCAGCCACAGAGGTCTCCAGCTGGAAAAGCAGCTCTGAGAGAAATCCTGTGTCAACACCTTAAAATTCTTCTCCCATTTCTCTCCACTGCCAACTTTCATGTTAACTGCCCAAAATTGTTCTCCCCATTCTTCACTCTTCATTTTTGAAAAAAAAAAAAAATTACCCAATATGCTTATCTTCACAGACACTCCTATTTTCTCATTCCCCTCTTGACCCCCCTTTTGTAGTGGCATAACACTTTTTGTTAATTTTTTTGCATTTTTAAATTTTGCAATGCTTCTCAGCCCATTTTGAAATAAACCACTCCTCGTTCTTAGTTCATTCATTGGTCTAATCAACATAACAGGTAAACAGAGAGATAGCATGGGTAGGAACAACATTTTCATCAAGTAGTGGAAAAGAAAAGGGCAGTGTGAGTACTTATGCATTTTTATTTTTGTCCCTTTTACAAATAAATTAACATTTTTGAATGAATGGAAAAACCAAAACAAATGAATTGCAGTAGACTCATGCAGTGACAATTGTCATGTCTGGAGTTCTTAGGATTTACAGAGATAACATGGCAGAAATAAATTAAAGTTCTTTTTGACATAATAAAAGGCACCTTGAAAAGAGGTTTAACTTGAGAACTGTACCTGGAAAATGACAGCTGTGAATTAATTTGAATGCAGCAACATACGTTAAAGGAAACCAAAAACAACTATTTACTACACATACAAAAGAATCTTCTGTAGATCTAGGCAACATTCAGGCAACAGAACAAAACAGAACCCAGTATAAAGAAGTCCAGTCCAACTGAGTATTGACATCAAAATTTGTATGCAAGAGGCTGGGCGCGGTGGCTCATGCCTGTAATCCCAGCACTTTGGGAGGCTGAGGCGGGCAGATCACGAGGTCAGGAGATCGAGATCGTCCTGGCTAACTTGGTGAAACCCCATCTCTATTAAAATACAAAAAATTAGCCGGGCGTTGTGCAGGCACCTGTAGTCCCAGCTACTAGGGAGGCTGAGGCAGGAGAATGGCCTGAACCCAGGCGGTGGAGCTTGCAGTGAGCCGAGATCGCACCACTGCACTCCAGCCTAGGCAACAGAGCAAGACTCTGTCTCAAAAAAAAAAAAAATCCGTATGCAAGAAAGCTCCTTAACCTGTTGAAGTTTATTGATTGCAAACAAAATAAATGATCCTGACTAATTTAAACAGAATAGAATATCATTATAAAAAATATGAAGGAATGCAAAGGATAGAGAGAAAGATTTAAATCTGGCTATCTCTCTCCCCTGCTGAAAATGCTTAAATAAATTTCTTCTAAGTATAATTAAGATCAAAACCAAACCATCAACACTGCCTACAAATTGTGGATGACCTGCCTCCTTCTTCCCACTCCAGCAGTTTATTCTACCTATCTCTCCATGTTGCACTCACACTGGCCATTTTGTGGTTCCTTATCTATCATTGTCCCCTAGCCACAGGGCCTTTGCACATGTCCTTCCTCTTTCTAGATGCTCTTCCCTCCCATCTCCCCCACTTCTCATCTACTCATCCTACAGGCAAAAGATAAAGCTGCACTTCTCAGGTTAATGAGTTTGGATGTTGGTATCTACATAAAAGTATAAATAAAACAACAAAACAAAATTATTAACTCCAACAGGGAACAAAGAGTGAAATAAAAGAAAAACAATTATTGTATACCACATGAGTAAGGCATGAATAGTGTTTACAGACAACAGTCATATTGCTGAACACTGAATTTTCTGACCAAAATTATGAGATAACTCTATTGGGTGTGAGGTGTTGGTGCAGGAAAACAGGACAGTAATTACAAGTATTATTGGACTACTAGATGAATAATAAAATTGCTTTTATTTTAGGGGGAAACAAGGAGGGGGTGGTCAGGAAGTAGAGGGGGAGAAAGCTAAATATCTTCTTCCACAATGGAAAGGTCTCAAAAATGTGCCCTAAACTGAAAAAAATAGCTGTAAGAGTTCAGTCTTTGCAGCTGGAGGATCACAGATGGGGGAAAGTAGAAAATAGCATATAAAGATGCTGCTGTCTTTAAAATAAATCTTAAGAAATTATTGATTCTTAAAGCCAGGTATATACATCATTTTATTTTTAAAATGATACTATTTCCTAAAAGCTAAAGGGAAATTAAAATAGGAAAGAAACAAGAAAGGTAGGTGAGAGGCTAATGCATGTTGTCAAAACTTGTGCATCTGCTAGAGATGGGCCAAAAATTTGGCCATGTCTAATAATGTATTTTCTGAGAAAACTTTTAGGCAAAACTTATTATCAAAGAAATAGAAATCTTGGCTGTGCGTGGTGGCTCATGCCTGTAATCCCAGCACTTTGGGAGGCCAGTGAGGGCAGATCACTTGAGACCAGGAGTTCGAGACCAGCCTGGCCAACATGGTGAGACTCTATCGCTAATAAAATACAAAAATTAGCCAGGCATGGTGGTTCATGCCTGTAATCCACGCCACTCTGGAGCCTGAGGTGGGAGGATTGCTTGAGCCCAGGAGGTGGAGGTTGAAGTGAGCCAAGATCGCACCACTCTACTCCAGTCTGGGTGACAGAGCCAGACCCTGTCTGGAGAGAAAAAAAAAAAAAAAGAAAAGAAAAGAAATATAATCTCTATGATTGCAATTAGCACCTTGTGTCTAATAATGTGTTCTCATTTGAAATTGTTTATTGACAAACTACTGGTAGAGTTTCCTGAAGTGGTAGGTCTCCAGGGAAGGTTTACCTAGAAGAATTTCTTCCCCTAAATGCATCAGGACCACAAGTGACATTTTTTTCAAGATGAAAAATTATGTTTAATGGCCCACATATGTTGTAAGACAATTATTTCTGATATGGAAAATAACAAGAAAGTCATGTGAGAAGCAAAGAAACCATATGCTCAGGAATTAGGAGAACTGAACTTTGGATTTTTCTATAGTTTGGATGTTTGACCCCTCCAAACCTCACATTGAAACTTGATCTCCAATGTTGGAGGTGGATCCTAATGGGAAGTATTTAGGTCAACACTCATGTGTTGACACCCTCCCATGGGGGTGAGTGAGTTCTCTCTCTAATAGTTCCCCCAGAGCTGGTTGTTAAAAAAGAGCCTGGCACCTCTCCTCTCTCTTGCTTCTTCTCTTGTCATGTGACCTCTGTGATCTTTGCACACACAGCCCCCTTTCACCTTCTACCATGAGTGGAAGCAGACTGAGGCCCTCAACAGAAGCAGATGTCTGTGCCATGCTTCTTGTATAGCCTGCAGAACTGTAAGCCAAATAAACCTCTTTTCTTTATCAATTGCCCAGCCCCAGATATTCCTTTATAGCAACATTATAAAGGAATTTAGGACAAAGTAGACCTGTATTGTCCAAAACAGTAGTCATTTGTCACATGTGGCTATTGAGTATCTGCAATGTTGTTAGTCCAAATTAAAATGTGCTGTAAACATGAAATATACAAAGGGTTACTAGAAAATTTAAAATCACATCTGTGGTTTGTATTGTATTTCTGTTGGACAATACTGCTTATTCTGAGTTCTGTCATTAGTGGTTGCATGGTAGTGATATGAATGTGAGTCATTTAACTTTATTGGGCCTTGATTTTCTTAAGTAGAAAATTGGTTGGGGGAGGTGGTTAGATAGATGGCCTCCAAAGCCCCTTTTCATTCAGAAATGTTACAAAGAATCCTAAGATGGGACACATATTAATGACTTGAAAAGCCAGCAGATTGTTCCTTCAAATAGCTCAACTCCACCATGGAGAGCTTCCCTCCCTGCCCCTGTCAAACCCAGCCAGACATCTTTACCAAATGATGTTCTCACCAGTCACTACTCTATGTCCTGTGCTGAATGCTTTACAAGTATTTCATTACATACTTATCCCTGCACTATGAAAGCAGTAGTATTACACTGTTTCACAGATGAGGAAACTGGAACCTGAAACTGTTAGCTGACGTTGAAAGGCTTCAGAGCCAGGATTTGGAGGAGTCAGGATCCATATTCCTCTGAATCCAAAACCTGAGCTCCTTATCAGTGTGCTCTGCTTTTCTTTACAGAAGCCAAATTGGTTTTCCTCTGGAACCTAAACTATATTACCAACTTTTTGAGTCAGTACAACTTTTTTGTGTTGTTTTTCATCCCTGGATCCTCAGCACATAAAAAGGATGATTAATAAGCAGTACAGTATGATTAATACAGGATGATTAATAAATAGGGCCATAATATTCTGAATTTCTGTGTCAGTTGGTTAAAAATTAAGATTACATTTAAAGTATGCCTATAAAATAATGTGACATTGTTGGGTTTTTAAGAATATATGTACATATCAGCCATATCTAGAATGCAGTACATAAATGACCATCATCTACTTCAGAGGAGAAACTTTGAACAGTTATTTCAACATTGTTTACTTAGTGTTTTTTAATCCTTTTTATAAATTATCTTCAGAGCCCAGAATATATTTTCTTTGAATGTCTGAAGCACAAATTTTATCTCTTCTTTCATGTATTGTTTATGTTAGGCCAGAGAACAAGATATCAAAAGTACTTGAGAGCCAACTTGGAAAGTCTCCTAACGGCCTACAATGGGACAAATTTGAGCATCAAAAAACAATAATAATAGTATCTGATTGAAATATAGCAGATAATTTTAAAAATATTTTTAAAAACCTATTGGTTGTCACCAGAATTTGCTGTGTCATCAACCCATCATTATAAAAAATGACAAATATATTGAATATATTGAGCATTTAATTCCACTTTTCTGCATAAGTTATATTTCAGTATAACCAATTGTTGCTGAGGAAAAGGTCTTATGCAGAACATTTCTAGCAAATAAATGCAAAAACAATGATAAAATAAGAAAATCACCATTTGCAACCCCTAATAAAATAATGGTTCAAGGCAATAATCATCATAGATACTAAAACCATTAGTTAAAATTTGATGAGCAACTTTAAAAGGAAGAAATCATGCTGACTGCATTTGAAAGTGGAACATCCAAAATTATGTTTACCCTCATGTGATGCAATAAAAAGTACAAAGCATTTGCTTTTTAAAAAAGAAAGAAAGCTGAATCTAATCAAGCCTTCAGAGTTCTAACTTCCCATTTACAAGAAGTATAAAGGCTAGAAAAAAGTTAAACAACACAACACTAGAAGAAAACAATCAGCCATATCTAGGATGCAGCACATCCTGCAGGACAATAAGCTTGGTGTATTCAATAAATGGATGATGTTCTGTAACAAAAATTGTAAAAGGGTGAGAGTGGTATCAGCAAGATGGCAGAAAGGAGTTCTCTGGCTCCACTCCCTCCTCCACAGATGCCCAACTTGCAACTATCCAAGGGCAAAAATACCTTCATGAATATCCCAGAACTCCAGAGTGAAGCTGAGACATCCCCTTCAACTGCACAACTGAGAAAACCCAAGATAAAAGGTCCTCCCCAGGCCAGGAGGCAACTATAAGTTAGCATTTACCTGCAAAAGGAGCATCTGGTCCCTCTGAACCCAGCAGCTAAGAGGTGATCCAACTAAGACCAGGACAGGAGGCAACTGCAGGTTAGTGAGTACCCACCTGGCCCTGCCCAACTTCAAATGCAAGTCTCAGTGCTCTGCTAAAGCCTGTCCTAGGCCAGGAGGCAAGCCTACATACATGTATATCTGTGGAGCATAGCCTCTGGCCCTACCCAACTCAAATGGCCAAGCAGCAACCTCAGAGACCTCATCCAGCCTGGGAACCCAGCATCCAAACCTCCCCAACTGGATTCAAAACAACAATACTGTCCAGCCAGGGAAGAAACCTGTAATCCTGCCTGACCAGAGATGATTGCAAAGCTCTGCCTGATGGCAGCATCCATCCGGTGGTCTCACCAGACCATGGAGCACAGCCAGCACTACCCATCTGGCCACAGACAGCAGGAAGGCACCTAGCCCATCTGGACAGCCTGATACCAAAACCTGCCTTTCCAGGTTTGCTACTAGCTTGCCCATCCAGGATTCTAGGCCAGACTAAATAGTAAAGATCTACCACCATCAAAGTATGCCTGCAAAGGCTGGAAGAAGTAGCTATCTCCTCAAATGTACAGGCATCAATGTAAGAACACAAAGATTATTATAAATCAAGGAAATATGATACCACCAAGAGAAACTAATAAACTTCAATAATTGGCCCAGAAGAAAAGGAAAGCTATATAATAATTGACAAAGAATTTAGAATAAACCTTTTAAAGTTCAGGGAACTCCAAAAAATATTAATAGAAAATTAAATGAAATTTGGAAAACTCAATACATAAAAATGAGTCTGACAAAGAAATATAACAAAAAATAGAAAACCTAGAGATAAAAAATACAATAACTAAATGGAAAATTTTCAGTAGAAACCTTCAACAGCAGAGTGATCAAATGGAAGAAACAATCAGTGAGCTAAAACATAGGACATCTGAAGTCATTCAACTAGAAGAGCAAAAAGAAAAAACAAAGAAAAAAATAAAGAGGGCCCATGGTAATCATGAGACACCATTAAGGGAACTAACTTTCACATAATAGAAATTGAGGAGAAGAAGAGAGAGAGAGAGAAAAAAAAACTATAAACCATATTTAAGTAAATAATGGCTGAAATTTCCCCAAATCTGGGGCAAGACAGCAACATCCAGGTACAGGGAGCTCGGAATCACTAACCAAATTCAAACCTAAGAGGAGTTCACCAAAGCACATTGTAATAAAATTATTAAAAATTTAAGACAAAGAATACAGAAAGCAGCAAAAGATAAGAAGCACATCATGTTCAAAAAGCTCTAATACACCTTTCAGCAGATTTCTCAGCAGAAACTTTGCAGGCCAGAGAAGAATAGAATGATATATTCAAAGTGCTGGGGAAAACAACTGCCAATCAAGGATATTTTAACCAGCAAAACTGTCCTTCAGAAATGAGTGAGAAATAAAAACTTTCCCAGGAAAACAAAACCTAACAGAGTTCACCAGCATTAGGCCTATGCTATAGGAATTGCTAAAATTCATTTTTAGGCTGAAATAAAAGCTAATTAATAACAAAAAGACACACAAAAGTAAAAAACTCAATAATACAAGTAATACATAGTCATACTCAGCATTCTCAAATACTGTTACAGTGATGTGGAAAGCATTTGTATCACTACTATGTGGGTTAAAAGAAAACTATTAAAAACAACTGTATCTACAATAAATTATTAAATTATAATTATATATAAAATTATATATAATTATAAATTATTAAAGAATACAAATTACCAAACAAAGGTAAATCTTGACATCAAAATTATAAAAAGTGGGAAGGGAGCGTGTAAGTGTAGAGTTTCTGTATGTGAGTAAAGTTAAGTTATTATCAGCCTAAAGTAGCATGTTAGAAGGATAAGATGTTTTATGTAAACATAAACATGGTAGCCACAAAGCAAAAACCTATAGTATTTCTGCAACATGCAAAAAGAAAGGATTGAAAGCATACCACCGCAGAAAACCATAAAACTGTTCTGGAACCAAACTGAGGGTCAGGCTTCTATTTCTCGTGGCCCAATAATGAGATGCAGATGAACTGGGGAGGAAGAGAGTTTTCATTTCTGTAACTGGTTATAGGGACAAGGCCTGGAAAATATCACCAGACCAACTCAAAATTACAAAGTCTTCCAGAGCTTATATAACTTCTAAGCTATATGTCGATGTGTAAGTGTGCATTCATCTAAAGACATAAGTGATTAACTTCTTTTAATCTACAACTAAGAACTGAGTCCTGAAGACCTTCCTCTGGAGCCTCAGTAAATTTCCTGATGGGTAAGTTTACTCAGTGTATTTACTAAATGGGTCCGAGTGCTGAAGTGATTACCCTTATCTTGTCTCCTGCTAAATCATGGAGGTTTGGGGAGTTTCTACAGACTCCCAATAAAACTTGTTTAATCTTAAACAGATCCTGTTAAGAATTGCTTTATTTTTACATCCTTTAAGACCCAGAAAAGGCCTAGGCAAAACTCTTAATGAGCTTTTATTACATTCCAGCCTTTGTATAAGGGCACTGTCCCTTTCAGCTTTTAATATTTAACTTAAGCACTCAGTCAGTAGTAAAACAGTTGTTATGGAGTTCTGTGTTATAGTGAGACCTGCCCTGTCACAAAACCACAAAGAAAGACAGCAAGAGAAGAAGAAAGAAACAAAAGACATGCAAAACAGTCAAACACATTACTCACAATAGCCAAGACAGGGAATCAACCTAAGTGTCCAATAACAAATGAATGGATACAGAAAATCTGGCATATGTACACAATGGAATACTGTTCAGCCTTAAAAAAAGAAAATTCTGTCATCTGTGACAACATGAATGAATCCAGGGGACATTAAGCTAAGTGAGATAAGCGAGGCACAGAAAACAAATATCACATGATCAACTTAGATGGAGAATCTTAAAAAGCTGAACTCATAGAAGCACAGAGTAGAATGATGCTTACCAGAGGCTGGCAGAGGGTGAAAGGGGGCAGGGGAAGGGGGTGTAACAAGTCAGTGAGGGAGCAAATGGAGAACTGTTGATCAAAGGGTACAAAGTTTTAGATAGGGAGGAGAAATAGGTTGCGAGATCTGCTGCACAGCAGAGTAACTATAGTCAATAATAATGTATTATATATTTCAAAATTACTAAGAGAGTACATTTCAAATGTCTCACCATAAAAAAGATAGGTAAACAAGGTGAAGAATATGTTGATTAGCTTGATTTAATCATGCCACATTGCATACAGATATCATAACATCACACTGTACCTTATAAATATTTACAATAGATTTCTCAATCAATAATATTGACAAAATAAATGAGAAAAGATGACAAAATTAAAAGAGACTATTATAGATTAAAAGGGTTAAGAATATAAATGCCAAATGCAACGTGAACACCTTGTTTGGACACTGATTCAAACAAACTAACTTTAAAAAAGTCTTTTTGAAGTAATCAAGGAAATGGAATATGAACTGGGTATAAAATAATGTTAAGAAAGTATTGTTCATTTCGTTAGTACGATAACAGCAGTGTGATTTTGTTTTTTAAAATGTCCTTATAAGTCAGGGATGCATAATAAACTAGTAACATAAGTTAGATGACATGATATTAAGGACTCTAAAATATAAAATATACCAGCAAAATTTAACACTACCACCAGCAATAGTAGCAATGGTAGTTGTAGTGGAGATGAAAAATAAAGTGAACAAAATATTTATAATGTGGAAACTGCAAAATATGTATATTAAGGTTCACTTTCTTTTTCTCTCTACTTCTGTAATGTTTGAAAATTTCCATAATAACAAATAATTTAAGCCTCAAATAATTTGGAAGCATGTCTCATGAGTTAGGTGGTGATTAAAATGTGTTACTCTATTTTGGTCAAAAACAATGCCTGTCTCTACTATAATAAGCAGTTTTCCTGTGTGTTATTGAAGGCAATTTCAGAAGAGAAGAACTGGGTTTGAATTATCATTCTGGGTGATCTTGTGTGCAGAGATCTGTGTCTCTGCATACCTTGTTTTCCTTATAGGTTAACTAAGGAAGTTAAATTATTGGATCACCAAATCTTTTCCAACACATTTCTAGAGCTGTTTCACTTAATGACAGATTATTAGATAAGGGAATAGCTTTTTATGGCCATAATAATCCTTTGAATATGTAAGTATTCATTTTCAAAATAATTTTTAAAAACAGCTTCATTACCTGTAATAATGACTATATTTAATATTTGACCACAGCAATTATACAAGGTCAGAAATACTCAAAACCAATTAATTCCATGAACAATAGCATATGAGAAAACTGCTTCAATATATTGTATTCCAGTCAGAGTGAACCTATAATCCCTGGAAATTCTTACCTGCTAATAGTTATCTAATTCTGATTATCTGCATGGCTCAGGTCACCAGATAACAGCTTAATTTACTACAGTGAATAGACTGCTTACCCTGTTACATCTCAAAGATTCTCCAAAACAGATAACTGGTACTGAATAAATTAAAAGAAACAATTTGGAGGTTTTCTACTCTTCAAACCAGTTATACTGATGATGTATAGTGTACTTAACCTTGTGAATCAGATATTTGACAGTAAATTAAACTAGCCATTATACCCCACTTTCCAAATACACAGAGGTGAAGTGAAGCTATCGGGATAATCTATTATTGGGTTTGGTTTTTTATATGGTTTGGCTGGGTCCCCATCCAAATCTCATCTTGAATTATAGTTCCCATAATTCCCACGTGTTGCGGGAGGGACCCAGTGGGAGGCACCCAGTGGGAGGCAGTTGAATCATGGGGGTGGTTTCTTCCATATTGTTCTCATGGTAGTAAATAAATCTCACAAGATCTGATGGTTTTATAAGGGGAAATCCCTTTCACTTGGTTCTCATTCTCTCTCTTGCCTGCTGCCATGTAAGACGTGCCTTTTGCCTTCCGCCATGATTGTGAGGCCTCCCCAGCCATGTGGAACTGTGAGTCCATTAAACCTCTTTTTCCGTATAAATTACCAAGTCTCAGGTATGTCTTTAACAGCAAACAAACTAATGCAGTTTTTTTGTTTGTTTGTTTTGTTTTTCATTCCTTGCCACCCTTTTATTCCACAATTCCATTCTATACTTCATCAGTTCCTAGGAACTTTTCCAATGTAGTCAAACAAATCACTCCTTAAGAGTAATGTTTCTATACCCTTTCTTTGATAATTTTACTTAATTCAATTGCTAAAATACCACTGGCATAATTTTATTCTTAAACTATTTTTATAATGCACAGCTATTGTTAGTATCTGGTGTTGTCCTTTTTTACTTAAGCTGATTATAAAACTAGAAGTCACTGTTTTTTAACATGGGAGGAAATATAACTTGCACTCACTAAAGTAATTAAATATTTGTATTGGGACATGGCAGATGTAATTAACCTCAACTCGAAATAGATTTAAACCTAAAATATTTGTGTAATGACTAATTACCTTAAAAAATAAAATTGCAATTATCTGACTCCATTACTCAATATGAGTACTTTTCCCGCTTAATTGCAAATAATGAACTAACCTGTCAATAATTGTACATAATAAAAGATGTCAGATCTGGAAGAGAGTAGAATTTGATACTGAAGTTTTTAACTTTTTAGAAGTATCTCTGTTTTCTTGCTCCAACTTAGGAAGAACATAATCACATTCGGATTTAGAATTTTGAGAAAGTTTAGGCAATTGCCTTTTGTTTAAGCCTTTTCAAGGTAAAACTATTTATTGTGTTGAAGAAATTAGAGGTCTGATGAATTTGAAACAAAGCATTGCTTTTGAATTCCTTCATGAATTTCATATCAGCATATAAAATTCCTACTAGATAATCCTGCATTTAAATGTGTAAACTTTCCTTGAAATAAACTTCCCAATACAAGCTATCATTATCGCTTTCAAAAGACCTTTGGGACACAGCTTGAAATTTTTGTATACTTTAATTGCTCAACCAAAAAAATATATACTTCAACCTCCAGCAGGCCACCACATTGCCTATCTTCAAGCAACATCATGGCATTCGGCACCTAGAAATGATGTTCCTAGGGCTGTGCTGCATGGGGGTGTGCAGTGCCCCTCACTTCAAGCAAACGCATGCTCCATTTAATCAAAATGTTCTACCAAGAGGCAACACTCAACAGATATTTGTTAATTCACTAGTAGTGCCTATAGCAGTAGGTTATTTGAATATTAGTGGAATATTAGAAGACTTAGATGCCAGAATTTCTTAATAATAAAAAGTATGAAGTGAGTAGATATTTGACAATCTTTGAATTCATTTCTTAGGGAAAGATTACCAAACAAGATTTGTAATTCAAATCCACAGTGTGATAGTAGGCATTGATCGCACAAATACAATAAACACCAAAATTCTGTTTTGCTCTTGGAGACCTAATTAATAACCACTTCAATGCCTAGCACAAAAGAAAGCTTTCTGCAAGTGCCTTCCTCTTAACGAAATATCGTCATAGACATCTTAATCTTTTCTTTCTCCTTTTACAATAATTTGGTATTATTATCAATATTGTTATTTTTTATGATGATTATACATTGGATTTGGAGACATCCAATAGCTTGACCAGGTCAGCAAGTGGTAGCCCCAAAACTGATATCCATGCCTTCTAATTCCAAGACTTGAGCACGTTCTATCCCAAACCTCAAATTCCATTTGAGTCATTCTTTAATTCTATAACCTGATTTCTAGTCACTTGAAAGTAAGAGCACAATGAAAAGAGAACTAGGTTACTTAAAACAATTGTGATAAAGAAAACTGCCAAAAATAAAGATATGCAAGTCTTTTTTCCCACCTACTGATTTGAAATTCTATAAAACAAAGGGCATGAAACAAGGAACCTACAGGTTGGCCTTTCTCATTAACAAACTTTTTCCCCTTCAGTAACTGGCAACAGTTTGTGGAGAAATAGAATAGTAGAACTGGAGGCATTCTTTAGAGTTGAAACTGATTCCAAAAACCTGAGTTCTCACCTCTGGGTCCCTCTTAAACTCCTCTACCCTTCACCTTCTCAGATCTCCTCCTGGGCCGAGATTCCCATGCCACAGCCTTCCCTAAGGAGGGGCTGTAGCACGTGATAGCTCAGAGACACCGCGGGCAGAAAGAAGGCACAGGGCTGTGGCCAGATGTGCCAGCAGGTTGGTGTTTAGGAAAAGAGGAGGCTAAGGGAAAGCACTGTTTTCCCAGGGAGCAGGCGCCAGCCCGGCTTCCTAGATTCCTCTTCCCTAAGTCCCTCCTGGCAACCCTTCAGTTTAGCACCCTCTTTATTCTCAGATCCTCCCACTCTCTAGATTTCATCCCTTCCATCCCTGGGCCCAAACTCTTTTTCAAAAGAAGTGCCAGAAAGCCCAGCTCTGTCTGCCTCTCCCCCGTTCCTACAAACTCTTTCCCTCTATTTTCCTGAACCCCCAGCCTGAGAACCGCATCCTCTGCCCTGGCCTCTCCACAGGCTGCACCTTATTCTCTCCTGGCCATTGCCTTCACCACTGACATGCATTCCTCATATACTTACCTCAGTTAAAAGGAAAGAGAGAGAGAGCCTTTTAAAAAAATATTAGAAATATTAGAATAATATTCTAATATTCTCTATATATAATTTCTATATATATTTCTATATATATTTATATATATATTTCTATACGTATATAATATTCTATATATATAATTTATTTCTAATAAAAAATATTAGAAATAAACAAATATTATGCCACATCTATAATAATGGGATATGACCAAAAAATGAAAGCTATGCACATAACTGAAGTCAGGAAACATTGAACTAACCTGTCTTCTTTGGAAATGAGAAAACTTAAAATCTAGTGATGCTACAGGAATTGCTCAAAGTCACAAAAGGGATTAGTACCAGAGGCTGAGCTATCCTTAGCATTTTTGCAGTGTGTCTCTGAAAGCAGAGATGCATTCAGAATAGCTGTGTTTATTCAACACAAAAAGACATAGCATGCCTATTATAAAGAGGCCCAGTTTCCCACTCATTTGGACACACTTTAATGTCCTTTGTTTAAAGACTTCCTAGCTTCTTCTATTCCCCCATTTTCAATCACAGCTTCAAACTGTAGAAAAGCTATTTGTTAAAATTTGGGGAAAGACCCCAGGGACACAGGCAGGTGAACAACACATACTGGGGCCTGTCACGGGGTACAATGGGAGGGAGAGCATCAGGAAAAATAGCTAATGCATGCTGGGCTTAATACCTAGGTGATCGGTTGATAGGTGCAGCAAACCTCTGTGGCACACGTTTACCTATGTAACAAACTTGCACGTCATGTGTATGTACCCCAGAGTTTAAAATAAAATAAAATTAAATTTAAAAAAAGGATTTGGGGAAAGAAATGTGGCTAGCAAAATATTACCTTCAGTAGGCCCTATTAGTATCTTTTGAATTTATTGGTATAAACACACACAACACACATACACAACAGCACCCACACACAACACACACACACACGACTCAGAGAGTTACCTCATTGATAGATTTAAGTAAGAAAAGAAAACTGCATCTTTTTTCTTGTGGTGAGAAAGAACTGAAATGGGGACTAAATCATAATGGGGCTCTTCAAAAATGCTGAACAACAATATTTGAAATTTTTATGCAGACCTCCAAATGCTGCAATCATCCCACTGTAAAAACTTAGTCAATTTTTTTTTCTAAGAAAGAAAGTAAAGATAATAAAGACCTGTTACCCAATTCTGAGCAGAAGCTGAGTCACTGTGTAAACACACTTCAACTACCGGCCTGCTTTCTCAAGGGTGAATCAATTGCTTTGAACAATGAATGTACTGAGTTCTTTCCAATTTTATCCTGCAGAATAGTACCACTCATCATTGTTCTGTGAAAGCATGAATATAAAGAGTCAATATCTTCTGGGTTTGTTGGCTATCTTCTGTTTTGGAATTTGAATTTGTCCAGCAGGCCTACAAAAATGAGCAACAAAAAGAAAAGGAGAGTTCACATGGTGCCATGAAGGCACAAACGACAAGAGACTCGGAGACCTGGACTCCTTCTGTGGCCAAAACCACATAAAATCCCAAAGGCCGTGGAAAAAGAAAATTTACCAAATTATTCACACACACAAAAAAGCAATGAACTGACCGGGCATGGTGGCTCATGCCTATAATCCCAGCACTTTGGGAGGCCGAGGCAGGGGGATCACCTGAGGTCAGGAGTTCGAGACCAGCCTGGCCAACATGGTGAAACCCCTTCCCTACTAAAAATACAAAAATTCGCTGGGCATGGTGGCACGTGCCTATAATCTCAGCTACTCGGGAGGCTGAGGCAGGAGGATCACTTGAACCCGGGAGGCAAGGATTGAAGTGAGCCAAGACCACGCCATTGCTCTCCAGCCTTGGTGACAGAGCAAGACCCCATCCATCAGGACATAGGCATGGGCAAGGACTTCATGTCTAAAACACCAAAAGCAATGGCAACCAAAGCCAAAATTGACAAATGGGATCTAATTAAACTAAAGAGCTTCTGCACAGCAAAAGAAACTACCATCAGAATAAACAGGCAACCTACAGAATGGGAGAAAATTTTGGCAATCTACTCATCTGACAAAGGGCTAATATCCAGAATCTACAATGAACTCAAACAAATTTACAAGAAAAAAACAAACAACCCCATCAACAAGTGGGTGAAGGATATGAACAGACACTTCTCAAAAGAAGACATTTATGCACCCAAAAGACACATGAAAAAATGCTCATCATCACTGGCCATCAGAGAAATACGAATCAAAACCACAATGAGATAACATCTCACACCAGTTAGAATGGCAATCATTAAAAAGTCAGGAAACAACAGGTGCTGGAGAGGATGTGGAGAAACAGGAACACTTTTACACTGTTGGTGGGACTGTAAACTAGTTCAACCATTGTGGAAGTCAGTGTGGCAATTCCTCAGGGATCTAGAACTAGAAATACCATTTGATCCAGCAATCCCATTACTGTGTATATACCCAAAGGATTATAAATCATGCTGCTATAAAGACACATGCACATGTATGTTTATTGAGGCACTATTCACAATAGCAAAGACTTGGAACCAACCCAAATGTCCAACAATGATAGACTGGATTAAGAAAATGTGGCACATATATACCATGGAATACTATGCAGCCATAAAAAATGATGAGTTCATGTCCTTTGTAGGGACGTGGATGAAGCTGGAAACCATCATTCCAGTTTGCAATAGTAAACTATCTCAAGGACAAAAAACCAAACACCGCATGTTCTCACTCATAGGTGGGAATTGAACAATGAGAACACATGGACACAGGAAGGGGAACATCACACACTGGGGCCTGTTGTGTGGTGGGGGGAGTGGGAAGCGATAGCATTAGGAGATATACCTAATGTTAAATGACGAGTTACTGGGTGCAGCACACCAACATGGCACATGTATACATATGTAACTAACCTGCACGTTGTGCACATGTACCCTAAAACTTAAAGTATAATTAAAAAAATGCAATGAACTAATTTCACAGCCTTTCTTTTTCAACAAAACTCTGCTTTCAGGAAAAAACTAGAGCACTACTGTTCCACTGTCCCCTCAATCACTTAGTAACCAGCCTTAGGCAACTCATTTAAGCTTTATCAACTGCATCTTCCCCCCATGCACCTGTAAAATAAGATTGTGCTACTGATACCTACTGTTCATATGAGAATTAGATGAGATAATACATCTAAAGCATTTAGCAATATGCCTGGCATGAAGTAAGATCTCAAAAAATGACATCTATTATTTTGAGTATATGACAATGACATGTTGCTGAAAGATAGCTTGAAAATTAAATCAGCTTACATGTGGTGAGACATAAAGGGAAAGGTAAAAAGGGTTTTTTTTTTTAACAACAACAAAAAAAAAACAGGGAACAACATTCCCCTTTCTTTAGGATTTTGCTGAAGAATGATTCCAGGTTTAGAAATAGTCCGTCGCTAAGGCCAAAGGGTGTTTTCTTAACTATTCTCATAAAACTCAATCATTCCTCATACTCATGAACCCTTTATTGACCTAAGTAGACTACGGTTACCTTTGGCAAATAAATATTCTGGAGGCCCAATTAAATTTGAATTTCAGGTAAACAATGATTTTTAGTACAAGTACAGTATTCCATTAAATAGCTGAAACATATCTTTACTAAAAAATTATTAGTTATATGTCTGAAATGCAAATAAAATTGGGAATCTTGTATTTTATCTGAGAATCCCAATGAACACCTGGACTCCAAAAACCAGGAAAATCTAGATGGTGCACCCACAGCAACCCTCAAAGACCACAAGCGTGAGCCTGGGGGCTGATGAGAATACTTTTTTAAATTAGAATATCACATATACGTTCACTGGCTTGAGTGAGTTTTTTTCCTTGCAATCAAAAGGCTTGACTGCCAAAACACGTGTCTGTTTCAGCTTTTCTGTCTTAAAAGATGGAGGCGTAATACTCACCAGGCTCTTGTAAAGAGAAAATAGAAACTAAATATGAAAGTACTTTATAAACTAGGTTTTGGGGACTTCCGGGTAAAAATACTAGATTGAACACATGCTCCCTCCAGAAACCTTGCTAAAATAACAGGATAGAAATTGTTTAAGGCATGAACCCAAAAGGAAAGAGAACAAAACCCAAAAGGACAGAGAGGATACACCAGCAACAGCAACCCTCCCAAGGAGCAAGGCAGGTGAGTGAAGCTGTCTTGGACCTTCTAGATCAGACCAGCTAAATACCATTGAGTGACCATCAAACAACAGGCGAAGAGGAGCAAGCCCCCAGCTAAGTTCTATTCAAACCTTTAACCAAGAAGATGATGAGATAATAAAATAGTACTTGTCTTAACCCATTAATTTTGGGTGAATTATTACACAACACTGGAACACACAATAGAAGGCAGAATGGAATAGATGTCATTAAGACACAGGGCTATATAGGACACAGGTGGAGACCCATTGTTAACTAAACAAATTAGAGAAGAGTTCACAAAGATAGTGGTATCTCAGCTGGTCTTAAAGGATAAACAGGCTGGGCGTGGTGGCTCACGCCTATAATCCCAACACTTTCGGAGGCCAAGGCGGGAGGATCACTTGAGGTCAGGAGTTCGGGACCAGCCTGATCAATATAGTGAAACCCCATCTCTACTAAAAAATACAAAAATTAGCCGGGTGTGGTGGTGGGCACCTGTAGTCCCAGCTACTCAGGAGGCTAAGACAGGAGAATTGCTTGAACCCAGGAGGCAAAGGTTGCAGTGAGCCGAGATCGCACCACTGCACTCCAGCCTGGGCAATAAGAGCAAAACTCCGTCTCAAAAAAAAAAAAAAAGAAGAAGAAGAAAAGAAAAGTGAAAGTTTCGCCAGGTGCAGTGGCTCACGCCTGTAATTCCAGTACTTTGGGAGGCCGAATTGGGCAGATCACCCTAGGTCAGGAGTTCAAGACAAGCTTGGCCAACATGGCGAAATCCCGTCTCTACTGAAAATACAGAAATTAGCTAGATGCAGTGGCATGTGCCTGTAGTCCCAGCTACTTGGGAGGCTGAGGCTGGAGAATCACTTGAACCCGGGAGGTGGAGGTTGCAGTGAGCTGAGATCACACCACTGCACTCCAGCCTGGGCGACAAGAGTGAGACTCCATCTAAAAACAGAAAGAAAGAAAAGAAAAGAAAGGAAGGAAGGAGGGAAGGAAGGAAGGGAGGGAGGGAGGGAGGGAGGGAGGAAGGATGGACAGAAAGGAGGGAGGGAGGGAGGAGAGGGAGAAGGAAGGAAGGAAGGAAGGAAGGAAGGAAGGGAGGAAGGAAGGAAGGAAGGAAGGAAGAAAGTTTCTTTCCCCCAATCCCTCCTTATTAGTATGTAAAATCCCAGGGAAAGCCTCTGACTGGCTAACTTGTCCATGTCCCCTCCCTTAGACCAATCATTGTTACCAGCTGATAGGGTAATATTATTGGCCAGTGCCCAAAAACTGAGTTAATATAATCTACAGTCCCAACAGAATCACTAGTTATGAAGGAATGACAGTTCCTACTAACGATAAAGGAACAGTGCTGTAAATCAGAATCAGGATGAAAATATTATAGGGCCGATTAAAAATAAAACCAAACAGGCCAGGCGCAGTGACTCATGCCTGTAATCTCAACACTTTGGGAAGCCAGGGCAGGAAGACTGCTTGAGGCCAGAAGTTTACGACCAGCCTGTTCAAGATAGCAAGACCCCTCTCTACAAAAAATTAAAAATTAGCCGGGCATGGTGGTGCACACCTGTAGTCCTAGCTACTTGGGTGGCTGAGGTGGGAGGATCACTTGATCCCAGAAGTTCAAGGTTGTAGTGAGCTATGATTGTGCCACAGCTCTCTAGCCCGGGCAACAGAGCTAGAATCTGTCTTAAAAAAAAAAAAAAAAAAAAAAGTCCAGCACATGGATATAATGACTGACTTTGTTTGCAGATTTACCATGTGAACAATGGACCCTCACACTTTTAAGGGCTGCATAAGTATTCATTCCTCATGCCCTCCTTTCCCCATTCAACCCCAGTCGAGGCCAATTGACTCTAAACTTAAGAAATCATAATCCTGAAGGAGTTAAACAACTTTCCTATCATGTAAAGGTCAATGAATAGATCTTGCACCAGAATTCACCAATTCTGCATTCCTGACATGTGCAGCAAAGGCAAAACATTCAAGCACGGATACATACTTCTTGAGAATGCAAAATAAAAATATAGGCAACAAAAATAATGTGGAAAGTGGATAAATTTTCCACTCCTGCACAGCAGATTTTATTTCCAAACATCTCATTCCCTCCTAAAAAACTGCAGTGCAGATTTTGCAAACACGATGGGTTACATAAGTAGGATTATGTACTCTTCATGCAAACTCTGAAGCCAGCTGTCCATCCAGTTCTATTTCCCAGATAGGAAAAAGCATTACAACCCAGTTTCAACACAATGCTGGATAGATATTGATAAATTCTGACTCTCTCGTTTCAAGTTAGAAAAAGGAAAATATATTTTAAAAACGTATTCACCTAGACTCTTTTAATAAAGTCAGTGGCATTTAGACTATAGGATTATGGTTTTATAATTATATATTCAGTAAGAATATCAGGAATCCATACAATATATTTAAGTGTTATACGTTTGTTTCCTAAAAAATTCATATGTTCAAGTCTTAACCCCCTGAACTGCAGGATGTGACCTTATTTGGAGAAAGGGCCCTTACAGAGGTAATCAAGTTAAGATAAGGTCATTAGGGTAGGCTCTAATCTAGTATGACTGATGTTCTTATAAAAAGTGGAAATTTTGAGACAGCAAGACACAGAGAGCGAATACTACATGAAAATTCAGGCAGAGAGCAATGTGATGATTCTACAAGTCAAGGAACAGCAAACATTGCCAACAAACCACCAGAAGCCAGGCGAGAGTCTCCCTCTCAAGTCTCAGAGGGAATCAACTCTGCCAAAAATGTGATCGTGGATTTCCAACCTCCGGAACTGTGAGACAATACATGTCTGTTGCATAAGCCACTCAGTGTACAGTACTTTGCTATGGCAGCCCAAGGAAACTAATGCATTAAGCAAGAAACATCATGTAAGAAATGAAAGACGGAATACATTCCCTCTGAAAACAACTTTAATCTTTTATTCCTACATTTACTCTAACGAAGAGTTTAGTCTATTCTCTCCAGACCAAATAATCAGAAATTGAAGGTACTGTCTTCACAACACAGGCCCAAAATTCCACTATGTTTTATAAGTAAAGTTAGATTCCTTCCTGGTCCCTAAATTATGCAGATAACAGTCTCAACCCTCAGTTTTGGCTAGTCATTGGGAAGTAAGCCTGATTTCAAGTAGAGGAGTTTAGACCACCTTTCACCAAAAAAGACTACACTTCCATTTCACTCTGTTTGCTGGTCCATAGAGAAGAGACCAGAAAAAGGCTAGGTTTTCCCCTGCTAACCTGTGACTGCCTGCTAACCAAATCAGCCCGAGATTTATTATCTGCCCTAATCCTCCTGCTCAGTTCTATGAGGGTTCATGTTCCCTCTTATGCAAGTGCTGGGGGGTAGGGAAGGGAAGATAATGTTGGAAATGCAAGAGTAGCAATCTTTACTATCTGTAATAGTATATGTCAGGTAGGGTTGGGATCCAGTACCTGCCTAGGAGACTAAGGTTTTTCAACTTTTCTGTTTCAGATGCATTAGCCTCCCACCTAGCCAAGAAAATAAATCAGAACTTTAGTGAAGAGTTATAAATCTGATATCCCTGACGCTATGACTCCAAGCAGCTTTTTCCATAGGTCAGTGTACAGTTTTGGCAGAATTATATGGTCCATAGCTACTTATTCATTGGCCAATCTGATCATGAAATTCAATTGTTTCTCCAATAGGTAGCAAGAAAGCAGGATGCAGTGAAGGCAGTTACCAATTGGCCCTCAGCCTGGAAAGTCTGGACTTTGTTGCCATTCCAACCTCCTTGGGAGTCACTAACAGGCACAGAAATAAAATTGGGTTCAGGGTTATTGCATCATTCAAAAAACAAGGGTTCTAGGAGAAGCCTATGGTCCTGTTCTTGCCTCTGTTATCTTTTTGTTACAAAATGTAGCTGTTTGTCAATTGCAGAAGCTCACTGAAGAATGCAAAGAGCATGGTACATGTGCCAACCTATGCATTCAAAATGGCAAATGCCAAATTGTATTGTATAGGTAGATGGTATGGAGAGCATTTGGAAAAGGCATTGAGGTGCATGTGTTCTCAGCAGAAATAAAAGTTCAAAGCTTCAGGAATCTTTTAAATTTCAGCCCCTCTACTCTCCCAAATCTGCCCAATCCATCTGGCTGACATTCCTTTCACTTCAGGTTTCACTATTGCCTCTTTGCATGCCCCATTCCTTTGAGATTTGACTCTTCACGCATTGCCTTTTTTCTTTTCTTTTTTTTTTGGTTTGGTTTGGTTTGTTCTTGCGTCCAATACCTTTATTTTACATATAGAAGCTGAGACCAAAAAGAAACTTTGGGTAGTCTGCTCCAGGTCAAACATCCATGTCAGGAATTCTGATTCCCATGACAACGACCTGTCAACAACATTATACTTTTGAGCCACTGGAATTTTATTTAACTAATTGTGCTGCATTTAACTGTGTTTGTTATTTAAGGTATTCACAGTTATATTAGTTTAGACATCAGTTTGAACTCCATAATTGTAGACACACTTTAATCCTCCATATATGTTAAAACAAATGAACACTTGAGCTAACAGCAAAATAGTGTCCAGTGGAAATTATATGAACTTTAAGGAGTCAAGTGTCCTCCTTACTTTAAGGAGTAAAGTTTCATTTACAACTACAAATATATTGCATCAAGTGATATTACATTTAAACATCACAGGAGAGCCAGGCACCGTGGCATGTACCTATAGTCCCAGCTACTTGGGAGGGTGAGGCAGGGGTATCAGTTGAGCCCAGGAGTTCAAGTACAGCTTGGGCAACAAAGGGAGACCCTGTCTCGAAGAAAAATGGCAGTCATCCAACATTTTTAATTTTTTATTTTCCTTTATATTCCTGAGAATCACATTAAAGTAATACATTCTGAAATAATTTGCTTTATAGTCCTGAGAGTCACATAGAAGTAAAACATTCTTACCTACTGACTTTGAAATCACGTCCACTAAATTTCTCTATTCATACTACCTCCCTACTCCTACCTCGGCTCTACTCCTGTAGCTGAGAATCTTCTGTCTCTTCCTACAGCACAGCACCAGGTCACCAGCCAGGTCAGTCAAAGCCTTGATTTATTGTTTTTGAGGAGTGGGGGTAGGGGGACTTAAAACAACAGGAATTTATTCTCTCACAATTCTGGAGGCTAGAAGTCCAAGGTCAGTAGGGACCATAAGCTCTAGGAAAGAAACATTTCCATGATTTGTTCAGCTTTTAAATCCCCAAGTTTTCCTTGCAGCATCTTAATTCCAATTCTGCCTTTATCTTCACATGGTGTATTAGTCCCTTCTCATGCTGCTAATAAAGACATACCCAAGACTGGGCAATTTATAAAGGAAGGCAGTTTAATTGACTCACAGTTCAGCATGGCTGGGGGAGGCCTCAGGGGACTTAAGGAGACTTACAATCATGGTGAAAGGGGAAGCAAACATGTCCTTCTTCACATAGTGGCAACAAGGAGAAGTGCCCAGCAAAAAAGGGGAAAAGCTGCTTATGAAACCATCAGATCTTGTGAGAACTCACTCACTATCACGAGCACAGCATGAGGGTAACGGCCCCCATGATTCAATTACCTTGCACTGGGTCTCTCCCACAACATGCGGAGATTATGGGAACTACAATTCAGGATGGGGTTTGAGTGGGGACACAGCCAAACCTTATCTTTCCACCCTTGACCCCTCCCAAATCACATGTCCTCACATTTCAAAACACAATCATGCCTTTCCAACAATCCCCCAAAGTCTTAACTCATTCCAGCATTAACTCAAAAGTCCAAGTCCAAAGCCTCATCTGAGACAAGGCAAGTCTCTTCTGCCTATGAGCCTGCAAAATCAAAAGCAAGTTACTTACTTCCTAGACACAATGGGGGTACAGGCATTGGCTAAATGCTCCCATTCCAAATGGGAGAAATTGGCCAAAACAAAGGGGTTACAGGCCCCATGAAAGTCCAAAATACAATAGGGCAGTCATTAAACCTTAAAGTCCCAAAATGATCTTCTTTGACTCCATGTCTCACATCCAGGTCATGTTCGCTGATGCCAGAAGCGGGCTTCTACAGCCTTGGCCACATGGCCTTCTTCCTCCTTATGTGTCTGTGTCCTCTACCTCATCCTCTTCTTTTTTCTAATTATTACATAATGAGTGTAAATAATTCTGCTACTCATGTGATATTTTGATACATATATAAAATGTATAATAATCACATCAAGATATTTAGGATATCCTTCAACTCCAACATTTATTATTTATTTGTGTTGGGAACATTTCAAATCTTTTCTTGCTATTTTGAAATTCAAAAAATTATTGTTAAAACTATAGTCATCCTACTGAGCTATTAAATATGAGAATGTATTCCTTCTATCTAACTGTATATTTATACCCATTAACCAACCTCTCTGTATCTTTCTACCATGCTTTGCAGTCTCTGGTAATTACCACTCTATTCTCTACTCCATGAGAGTCACTTTTATAGCTTCCACACATGAGTAAGAACATGCAATATTTGTCTTCCTGTGCCTGGCTTATTTCACTTAGCATAATAACCTCTAGTTCCATCCATGTGGCTGCAAATGAGATGATTTTATTACTTTTGATGGCCAAATAGTATTACATTTTGTATATATACCACATTTTCTTTATCTGTTGAATTGCTGATGGAACTGTTGATTCCATATCTTGGCTACTGTGAATAGTGCTGCAATAAATATAGGAATACATGTACCCCTTTAATATATTGGCTTCTTCTCCTTTGGATAAATACTCAACAGTGGGATTGCTAGATCCTGTAGTGGTTCTATTTTTAGTTTTTTAAGAAATCACCATACTGTTTCCATAATGACTGTACTAATTTACATTCCCACCAACAGTGTGTAAGCATTTCCTTTTCTTCACATCTTAGCCAGCATTTGGTATTTTTTGTCTTTTTGGTAATAGCCAATCTGACTGGGGTAAGATGGTTTCTCCATGTGGTTTTGATTTGCATTTCTCTGATAATTAGTGATGTTGAGCAATTTTTTTATATACCTGTTGGTCATTTATATGTCTTCTTTGGAGAAATGTCTATTTAGATTTTTTGCCCACTTTTTAATGGGATTATCTGTATTTTTGCTGTTTAGTTGTTTGAGTTCCTCATACATTCTGGATATGATTCTTTTGTTGATAAATATTTTGCAAGTATTTTGTCTCATTTTGTAAGTTGTCTCTTTACTCTGTTGATTGATTCCTTTGCTATGTAGAAGCTTTTTAATTTAATATAGTCCCGTTTGTCTATTTCTTGTTTTGCTGTCTGTGCTTTTGAGGGCTTGCCTCAAAATCTTTACCTAGACCAACGTTCTGGAGTATTTTCCTGTTTTCTTCTAGTAATTTTATCAATTTAGGTTTTATGTTTAATTCTTTCATACATTTTGAGGATTTTTTTAATATCATGAGATATAGAAGTCTAGTTTCTTTTTTTATAGATACTCTATGTATACTGTACATATTTTTACATATATACTATATATACTTTATATATACTTTTTAATATATATAATATAAAAGTATTTTATACTTTTACTTTAAATTCAGGGGTACATGTGCAGGTTTGTTACTTAAGTGAGCATGTTTCATGGGAGTTTGTTGTATAGATTATTTCATCACCTAGGTATTAAACCTAGTACCTATTAGTTATTTTTTCCTGATCCTCTCCCTCCACATATCCTCCAAACTCTAATAGGAAGTCTAGTTTTATTCTTCTGCAAATGGATATCCAGTTTTCCTGGCACTACTTATTGAAGAGAGCGTCCTTTTCCTGTAGTATGCCCTTGGTGCCTTTGCTGAAACTCATTTGGCTGTAAATATGTGGATCTATTTGTGGGTTCTCTGTTTTTGTTCCATTGGTCTATGTGTCTGTTTTTATATCAATACCATGCTGTTTTGGTTATGATACCTTTGTAGTATATTTTGAAGTCAGATAGGATGATGCCTTCAGCTTTGTTCTTTTTACTCAGTATTTTTTTGGTGCTTTTTTTTTTAACATATTCACATTTTATTGCAGTTTTCTTTTAAAATTCAAAAATAAGAACATTATTTTTTCAAAGCCAAGTAACAGAAGAGTATATAAAAAAGTCAATTTTGTGCATTTATTTTTACATTTCTTTCTATGCTCATATAAAACATACATGGCTTATGTAATTATACACATATGCTCCTGATCTCATCTGTATTAAATTTTTTTTAATTGTACTTTAAGTTCTGGGACACATGTGCAAAACATGCAGGTTTGCTACACAGGTATACACGTGCCATGGTGGTTTACTGCACCCATCAACTTGTCATTTACATTAGATATTTCTCCGAAAGCAATTCCTCCCTAGCCCCCCATCCCCCAACACTCCCCAGTGTGTGATGTTCCCCTCCCTGTGTCCACATGTTCTCATTGTTCAACTCCCACTTATAAGTGAGAACATGCAATGTTTGATTTTCTGTTCCTGTGTTAGTTTGCTGAAAATGATGGTTTCCAGCTTCATCCATGTCCCTGCAAAGGACATGAACTCATCCTTTTGTATGGCTGCATAGTATTCCATGGTGCATATGTGCCACATTTTCTTTAGCCACTCTATCGTTGGTGGACATTTGGGTTGGTTCCAAGACTTTGCTATTGTGAACAGTGCTGCAATAAACATACATG
Organism: Homo sapiens; assembly: GCF_000001405.40. NCBI lineage: Eukaryota > Metazoa > Chordata > Mammalia > Primates > Hominidae > Homo > Homo sapiens. Next base: position 163,391,399 of record NC_000005.10, read on the forward strand.
TGCATGTGTCTTTATAGCAGAATGATTTATAACCCTTTGGGTAAATACCCAGTAATGGGATTGCTGGGTCAAATAGTACTTCTAGTTCTAGATCCTCGAGGAATCGCCACAATGTCTTTCACAATGGTTGAACTAATTTACACTCCGACCCACAGTGTAAAAGCATTCCTATTTCTCCACATCTTCTCCAGCATCTGTTGTTTCCTAACTTTTTAATGATCGCCATTCTAACTGGCGTGAGATGGTATCTCATTCCTTTGACAAACCTGACAAAAACAAGCAATGGGGAAAAGATTCCCTATTTAATAAATGGTGTTGGGAAAACTGGCTAGCCATATGCAGAAAACTGAAACTGGACCCCTTCCTTACATCTTATACAAAAATTAACTCAAGATGGATTAAAGACTTAACATAAGACCTAAAACCATAAAAACCCTAGAAGAAAACCTAGGCAATACCATTCAGGACACAGGCATGGGTAAAGACTTCATGACTAAAACACCAAAAGCAATGCCAACAAAAGCCGAAATTGACAAATGGGATCTAATTAAACTAAAGGACTTCTGCACAGCAAAGGAAATTATCATCAGAGTGAACAGACAACCTACAGAATGGGAGAAAATTTTTGCAATCTATTTATCTGACAAAGGGCTAATATCCAGAATCTACAAAGAACTTAAACAAATTTACAAGAAAAAAAAACAACAACCCCATCAAAAACTGGGCAAAAAATATGAGCAGACAAAAGAAGACATTAAGGCCAATAAACGTATGAAAAAGGCCTCATCATCACTGGTCATTAGAGAAATGTAAATTACTCAGTATTGTTTTGGCTATTCGTTTTTTTTCCGTGATTTCATATAAATTGAAGGATTTTTTTTTCTATTTTTGTATTTTAAAAACAGCATTGGTACTTTGATAGGAATTGCATTGAATCTATAGATGGTATTGGGTAGTGTGGTCATCTTAACTATATTAATTCTGATCCAAAAGCATGGGAGATTCTTCCATTTGTGTCCTCCTCAATTTCTTTCACCAGTGTTTTATACAGTTTTTCTTGTAGAGTTATTTCACCTTCTTAGTTAAATTTATTCCTAGGTTTATTTTGTTTTCTTTTGTTTTATTTGTTTGTTTGTTTTGGTAGCAATTGTCAATGGGATTGCTTTCTTGGTTTCTTTTTCAGCTAATTCATTACCAGTGTGCAGACATGCTACCGATCATTTCTATATACCAATAACATTGAAGGTGAAAGCCAAATCAAGAACACAATCCCATTTACAATAGCCACAGACACACATGAAAAAAGTACCTAGAAAATACATCTAATCAAAGAAATGAAAGATCTCTACAAGGAGAACTACAAAGCACTGCTAAAAGAAATCAGACATGACCCAATCAAATCGAAAAATATTCCAGGCTCATGGATTAGAAGAATTAATATTGTAAAAATGGCCATCCTGCCCAAAGAAATCTATAGATTCAGTGCTATTCCTATCAAACTGCCAACATCATTTTTAACAGAATTAGAAAAAAGTCTTCTAGAAAAAAATTAAATATTTCACAATTGTGAAATTATAATTTAATGTAAGGTAAATTCAGGTAGAACCCATCATCTCCCAACCCACTTCCCTACAACACTCTATGCCAAGAAGAGATCTTCCTAAGATATTTTCCTTTTCCCAAGGAGAGGTTGGGGTGGAACCCCCGTGTGAAGGATTTTAAAGAGGAAGTTTCAGGAAAGAGATGACATAGGGGAGATCAAGGCAGAGAATGAGAGAGCTGCCATGAGGGACTAGAAATAGGGACACCTTTGTTTGGTGTGGGGGAACAGGTTAGGAAAAAAAAAAAAAGAAAAAAGTCTTGTAAAATTCATATGGAACCAAAAATGGGCCTGAATAGCCAAAGCAATCCTAAACAAAACACACACACACACAAACACACACACACACACATACACACATACACAAAGCTGGAGGCATCACATTACCCAATTTTAAAACTATACTACAAGGCTACAGTAACAAAAACAGCATGATACTTGTACAGAAACAGACACATAGATCAACAGAAAAGTACAGAGAACCCAGAAATAAAGCTGCACACCTGCAGCCATCTAATCTTTGACAAAGTTGACAAAAATAAGGAATTGAGAAAGGACTTCCTATTTAATAAAAGGAAAAACTGAATATCTATATGCAGAAGAATGAAACTAAACCCCTACCTTTCACTGGATACAAAAATTAATTCAAGACGGATTAGATTAAAGATTTAAATGTAAGACCTCAAACTATAAAAATTCCAGAATAAAATCTAGGAAATGCCATTCTAGACATTGGCCTCAGCAAATAATTTATTACTAAGTCCTGAAAAGCAATTGCAGCAAAAAGAAAAATTGCCAAGTGGGACCTAATTAAACAATAGAGTTTTTGAAAATAAAATACTTAGGAATATACTTATGCAAGCAGGTGAAAGACTTCTGCAAGAAAAACTGCAAAACACTGCTGAAATAGCTCATAGGCAACACAAACAAATGGAAACACATCCCATGCTCATGGGTAGCTAGAATCAATATTGTCAAAACGGCCATACTACCAAGAGTGATCCACAAATTTAATGCAATTCCCATCAAAATACCATCATCATTTTTCTCAGAACTAGAAAAAAAATCCTAAAATTCATATGAAACCAAAAAAGACCCTGCATAGCCAAAGCAAGACTAAGCAAAAAGAACAAATCTGGAGGCATCACATTACCTGACTTCAAACTATAGTATAAGGCTATAGTCACTAAAACAGCATGGTATTGGTATAAAAATAGGCACATACACCAATGGAACAGAATAGAGAACCCAGAAAAAAAGCCAAACACTTACAGCCAACTGATTTTCAACAAAGCAAACAAAAACATAAAATGGGAAAAGAACACCCTATTCAACAAATGGTCCTGGGATAATTGGCAAGCCACATGTAGAAGAATGAAACTGGATCTTCATCTCTTACCTTATACAAAAATCAACTCAAGATGGATCAAAGACTTACATCTAAGACCTGAAACCATAAAAAATCTGGAAGATAACATCAGAAAAACCCTTCTAGACATTGGCTTAGGCAAAGACTTCATGACCAAGAACCCAAAAGCAAATGCAACCAAGACAAAGATAAATAGATGGGACTTAATTATACTAAAAAGCTTCTGCACTGCAAAAGAAATAATCAGCAGAGTTAACAGACAACCCACACAGTGGGAAAAAATTTTGCAAACTATGCATCCAACAAAGAACTAATATCCAGAATCTATGAGGAACTCAAATAAATCAGCGAGAAAAAAACAAATAATCCTATTAAAAAGTGAGCTAAGGACATGAATACACAATTCTCAAAAGATATATAAATGGCCAACAAACATATGAAAAATGCTCAACGTCACTAATTATCAGGGAAATGCAAATCAAAACCACAACGTGATACCACCTTACTCCTGCAAGAATAGCCATAATTTAACAATAAAAAATAATAGATGTTGGTGTGGGTGTGGTGAAAAGGGAATACTTTTACACTGTTGGTGGGAATGCAAACTAGTGCAACTACTATGGAAAACAGTATGGAGATTCCTTAAAAAACTAAAAGTAGATCTACCATATGATGTAGCAATCCCATTACTGTGGATCTACCCAAAGGAAAATAAGTCACAATATGAAAAAGACACTTGCACCCACATGTTCATAGCAGCACAATTCACACTGGCAAAATATGGAACCAGCCCAAATGCCCATCCATCATGAGTGGATAAAGAAAACGTGATACACACACACACACACACACACACACACACACACACCATGGAATACTACTTAGCCATAAAAAGAAACAAAATAATGGCATTTGCAGCAACCTGGACGGAGTTGCAGACCATTATTCTAAGTTAAGTAACCCAGGAATGGAAAACGAAACATCGTATTTCTCACTTTTAAGTGGGAGCTAAGCTATGAAGACACAAAGGCATAAGAATCATACAATGGACTTTGGGAACTAGGGGGAAGGGGTGGGAGGAGGGTGGAGGATAAAAGATTACACAGTGGGTGCAGTGAACACTGCTCAGCTGATGAGTGCACCAAAATCTCAGAAATCACCACTAAGGAACTTATCCATGTAACCAAACACCACCTGTTCCCCAAAAACCTATTGAAATAAAAAAAAAGGGTTTTGTACAGCAAAAGAAACTATCAACAGAGTAAACAGACAACCTACAGAATGAAAGAAAATACTTGCAAACTATGCATCTGACAAAGGTCTAATATCCAGAACCTTAAGGAACTTAAACAACTGAACGAACAAAAACCAAATAACCCCATTAAAAATGGGCAAAATATATGAACAGATGCCTGTCAAAAGAAGACATACAGTCAATTACATATGAAAAAATACTCAACATTACTAATAATCAGAGAAATACAAATTAAAACCACAATGCCATACCATCTCACACCAGTCAGAATGACTATTATTAAAAAGACAAAAAATAACAGATCCTGAGAAGACTACAGAGAAAAGGGAACACTGAAATGTTGGTGGGAATATAAGTTAGTTCAGCACTGTGGAAAGCAGTTTGGAAATCTCTCAAAGAACTAAAAACAGAGCTACCACTCAACCCAGCAATCCCATTACTAGGTATACAGGCAAAGGAAAAATAAATCATTCTACCAAAAAGAACATGCACACGTATGTACAGCGCAGCAGCATTTGCAATAGAAAACACATGAAATCAGCCTAGGTGCCCATAAATAGTGGATTCAATAAAGAAAATGTGGTACATATACACTATGGAATAGCGTGCAGCTGTAATAAAGAATAAAATTATGACTTTTGCAGCAACACTGATGGAGCTGAAGGACATCATTCTAAGTAAATTAATGCAGAACAGAAAATCAAATGCCACATGTTCTCACTTATAAGCGGGAGTTAAACACTGGGCCCTTATAGATGTAAAGGTGGGAACTATAGACAATGGGGACTACTAGAGGGTAGACAAGGGGCAAGCAGCAAGGGTTAAAAAAGTACCCTTTGGGTACTATGCTCACTACCTAGGTAACAAGATCATTCATACCCCAAACCTCAGCATCACACAATATGCCCATATAGCAAACCTGCATATGTACCCCCACTGAATCTAAAATAAAAATTGAAATTATTTCTTTAAAAAGAAGAAAAAAATGCTACTAATTACTCCCATCCCAACTGATTTCTCCTGAGGAAGCTACTGATGTTTTTTATGTTGATTTTATATGCTACGACTTTACTGAATTTGTTTATCAGTTCTAAGAGATTTTTGGTGAAGTCTTTGGTAGAAATCTTTTCTTTCTTTTTTTTTTTGTTTGTTTGTTTGTTTGTTTGTTTCGAGATAGAGTCTCACTCTGTTGCCCAGGCTGGAGTGCAGTGGCACCATCTCATCTCACCATAACCTCCGCCTCCCAGGTCCAAGTGATTCTCCTGCCTCAGCCTCCTGAGTAGGTGGAACTATGGGTGTGCACCACCATGCCCACCTAAGTTTTGTATTTTTAGTAGAGACGGGGTTTCACTATGTTGGCCAGGCTGGTCTCGAACGCCTGACCTTGTGATCTACCCGCCTCGGCCTCCCAAAGTGCTGGGATTACAGCCGTGAGCCACCATGCCCAGCTGGTAGAAATCTTTAGGTTTTTCTGTATATTAAGATCATGTCATCTGAAAAGAGGAACAATTGGACTTCCTTTTTTCCAGTTTGTATGCCTTTTATTTCTTCCTCTTGCCTGATTGATCTGGCTAGGACTTCCAGTCCTATGTTGAGTAAGAGTGGCGAAAGTAAGCATCCTTGTTTTATTCCAGTGTTGTTGTTGTTTTAAGCTTGCTCTATATGAAGAAGAATATATGATTTTGTCCCCATTGCCATTCATTATTAACCGATAGATGCTGCTCAGGTCTTATGTTAATAATTATTCTGAGATAGTGGAAAAGGGTGTCACAGAAATCTCAGCCATAGTCACTGAAAAGAGGAATGGAAAAACAACTGATATATATTTTCCAACCATCCTCTGTATTTCTAAACACTATGCTTTGGTTTAATTATTTCCTCAAACACACACACACACCTCCTTTTAAAAGATTTATTACAGTCATGTGTTCCTACCTCTGATAGTTGCCATGTGATCCAGGCAATTCTATCCATGTGGTAGCCACCTGGTGTTGCAAGCTCAGACATTCAAAAATGGGGTTTGCAAATTTAACTTGTAAAAAGAAAATAGTAACCTGAAAAAGTATAAATATTAACACACACACATACACACACTTGTTTATTAACCATATTGCTTCAAAAGATTCTGAATAAACAGAGTACCAAATAAATCATCTTGATAAACCAAAAGTGGGGAGAGATAAGGTCTAAAACATGAAGGTAGGGTCTGGAAGTTTAAGCCTAGTAGAATGGAAGGTCTTTGACAGACCAATCTTAAGAACATGGAAGAGACTCTGAAAACAACAGAAAAGGAAAAAACACCAAAATCAAGCCTCTTTATTTCAGGATTTCTGAAGGTAGAAGCTGACTCTAAGGAACATCTTGTGAATGAGATGGTGTTAGACTCTGTCCCAAAATGAATAACCCTGAAACTGAAATCCACAAAGAGAAAAATCACATGAATTAGAGCTTCCGTAGTCTATCTTTAAACAGAATTTTTGGGGGAAAATCTATTTAAAACAAGCATTTAGAAAAACATCCTTTTCCTGGCATGATTATTATGTGCTTCATGTTGGCAGGAAGACTTCATTTCCAGTGATATTTTCCAATTGTTAAAATAAAAAAGTTCCTGCTGCTTTCTTTGCAATCCATAATTTTGTATTTTTAATTTAGATAACTCAAGTGTCTCAAAGCAGAAATAAGCTGCATATTCATGAGCCCTGATTTGCTGTAATCATTATTTCTGAAGCTCTGCATCAGTGAAGACTCCAAGTATTTGAGTCCTTGTTCTTAAGCAATTATAACAGATTGGCCTGGAACTGAGGGAGTTGGGAGACCCCACTTCTTCGTTTTTCTCTTTGACGGGCTCTATTGGTCTATCTGAGGTCAACTTTCTCTGCTCCCAAACAGGGCTGATAATCAGTTGCTTCAACATTGGCAGGAGGGATAAAAGTCTATTTAATATGTTAATTAGAGAATTGTTAACCTTTCATCAATCAGCCTTTGGTCATAAACAGCAAAGGGAAAACCGGAGGAAAAGACGGATATATTAAAATGATCTAAGAAAAAAGTAAAGGAAATTTGGAAATATACGCCAGTACACAGAAAGGCAAACAAGGTATGATCTCAGTTAAAAACAGAGAGTAGAACGTTAGTTATCAGAGTCTGCTGGAAAAAGCAAGGAAGGGGAAAAGGGAAGATGTTGATCAAAGAGCACAAAGTTTCAGCTAGACAGGAGGAATATGTTTTAGTGATCTATTGCACTGCGCAGCTTAAAATAATGTATTGTGTATTTCAAAATTGCTAAAAAAATAGATTTTTAACATTCTCTTCACCACAAAGTGATAAGTTGGTGAGTTGATGGATATGTTAATTAACTTGATTGAACCTTTTTATAATGTATACCTAGATCAAATCATCACATTATACCCCATAAACACACACAGTTATTATTTGTTAATTAAAAATAAAAGAGGCCAAGTGCAGTGGCTCATGCCTGTAATTCCAGTACTTTGGGAGGCTGAGGCAGGTGGATCACCTGAGGTCAGGAATTCAAGACCAGACTGGCCAACATGGTGAAACTCCATCTCTACTAAAAAAAAAAAAACAAAAATGAAACAGGCATGGTGGCACACACCTGTAATCCCAGCTACTTGGGAGGCTGAGGCAGGGAGAATTGCTTGAACCCAGAAGGTGGAGGTTGCAGTGAGTCGAGATTGTGCCACTGCACTACAGCCTGGGTGACAGAGTGAGACTCCATCTCAAATAAATAAATAAATAAATAATAACAAATAAAAATAAAAGAAAAAATAAAAAGGATTTTTAACTTCAAAAGAAGCAAACACACCAATAATGTTTTGTATATGTGAAAAATGTGGATGTAGGGATAAAAAAATTAAAATATGGCCAAAGAGTAAAGCCAAAAATAGTAGGAATTACAAAAACATCTAGAAATCATCTATCTTCCCATCTAAAACTTGGTTTCTCTTCATGGAAATAGCCCACATTTGTGATTCTAAGAAATGGGAGTTTCAATGTCACCTGTGCTACTTACCAGGTATCTGCCTAAGGACGAGTTCCTTAACCTCCTTATGTTTTGCTTTCTTCATCAGAACTGATATCTTCATCTGTGAAAGGCAATGATCACACTTTCCTCTTAAAGCTTGTCGGGAAAATTGAATGAGATGTAAGTAAAGAATACAGTATTGGGTCAGGCATAATGGCTCACACCTGTTAATCCCAGCAATTTGGGAGGCTGAGGCAGGCAGATCACTTGAGCCCAGGAGCTCAAGACCAGCCTGGGCAACATGGCAAAACGCCATTTCTACAAAAAATACAAAAATTAGCTGGGCATGGTGGTGTGCACCTGTAGTCCCAGCTATGTGGGAGGCTGAGGCACAAGAATCGCTTGAACCCGGGAGGCAGAGGTTGCAATGAGCCGAGATCCTACCACTTCACTCCAGCCTGAGGGACAGAGCAAGACATTATCTCAAAAACAAAAACAAAGAATATAGTGTTGAATCAGCACAAAGTACACACTCAATAAATGTTAGTATCTTGCCTTGCTTGATTTCTCCTTTTTACCCTCTGGCTAAATAGCTTTTGTGTTTTAAAGCCCTCAGAGCTCCCCTTATCAACAATTCCAGACTACAAGTATCCCACTTAGGTTTTTCTTCAAAAAGATAGCACTAGAAGAAATCTCTAGTAAACCGTATAAAGTGCTTGCCCCAGTAGCTGGACAAAGTAGTAGATCAACAAATTTTTATTACTGTATGTCTATTCGTCTATTCTAATCTTTCCATTTTCCCCAAGAAAATGTCAGCAAGAAGAAACAGAATACATTTGGAAACTGTGTCCTTTTTTTTTTTTTTTGGTAATTATTTGGCAACAGTTATGTGGACACATCATTCAGTTCCCGAATCAATTTGAATCAACAGCTAGGTTCCACACAAAACCTTCATTTTTCAGATGATGTATTTGAAGCACAGAAAGGTAAAAGCCCCCTTCCAGAGGTCACGTAACAGTGGAAATCTGAGATTTTTAAGACCATGAGATCAAAAAGAATTACGGATTTTGGGGCAACTGCTCAGCTTCTTCATATGGCTATATCTTATCTTTAAAAAACTGTATCTTAAAAAATCCAATCATTTCTGTCTTAAAAACTATTTTTTTTCTGTTTATTAGACAAATTTAATTTGAGATATATGGCCAGGTGCAGTGGTTCATGCCTGTAATCCTAGCACTTTGGGAAGCCGAGATGGGTGGATCACCTGAGGTCAAAAGTTCCAGACTAGCCTGGCCAACATGGCGAAACCCCATCTCTAATACAAAAATACAATAATTAGCCAGGCCTTGTTGCTCATGCCTGTAATCCCAGCTACTCGGGAAGCTGAGGCAGGAGAATCGCATGAACCCAGGAGGCAGAGGTTGCATGAGCTGAGATCCTACCACTGCATTCCAGCCTAGGTGACAGGGTGAGACTCTGTCTCAAAAAAAAAAAAAAAAAAAAAAAAAAAAAAGAGATATATTATCCACATATATAAAGCTACAGTATATCCATTGATTTATAGAATTAATCTATACTAACGAAATAATAATCTTTTTCTGTTGTTGAGGGCAAGGATTACATCTTAATCTTCTTTCTATCCCTAAAAGTGCTTAGTAAAATGCCTCCTAAAAAGTATTTGCAAAATAAATAGAGAATTGTGTTTTTTTGTTTGTTTCCCTACTCTTCCTGACGCTTTCCTTACTGTGCCGTTCACCAAAGACAGAGCTGCTCTTTCCTACCTCTCAATCTTTGCACCTGCTGTTCCCCTCCCTGGAATGCTCTTCCTCATCTCTTCAACTGACTGGCTTATTCTCATCCCTCAGTTATTGGCTTATGAGTCACTTCCTCTGCAGGGGCATCCTGGATCACCCATCGTGAACCCAAACAACTTATTATCTTACACCCTGGCGGCTCATTTACTTGTGCCCATCACAGTGTGAATGACCAGTGCTGTGTTCTACATAAGCTAAATAAGACAAGGAAGCTTAACTAACTGACTCACTGCTATATGCCAAGCATTGTGCCAGCAACTTAAAAAAGGCTCAACAAATATTTATTGAAAAAAACGAGCAAAAGAAGCTAAAGCAGAGACCAAGAATGAATTTTTTACCTAGTATTAGGAATAAAGGAGCTGACTCTTACTTGTCTTATGTTAGAATCAGAAAATATGGACTCAGTGCACTTGATTTGCTTTCTTCGTTATTACAAAATTAATCAATTAATTAAATTCATTGCCGTGTGCAAGTTTAGTACATTGGTGGGTTCTAAAATCTTCACTCCCCAATCTGAAGCGTTGGCTTGATTCTAGGCAACTATTATACCCTCTAAAATTAAAACTGGTTATTACATTGGAGATTTTGTGTTTCTTTTAATAATTGAGCTCCACTGGCTATTCAAGAAATCAGCACTTATGCTTCAGTTTTTTCTGGTTTGGTTACAGAGAAACAGCATGTCGATTCTCAGGACAATGACTAAAACGGCATTTCCCCCTCACCTCTACTATTTTTCTATGTAAGTGGATCAGAGCTGACAGGCCATTATAGCAGTACAGTACCCAGCTGACATTATTGACTGAAAAGCAACTACCTTGCTTATTTTCTGTTGACTTAATGATGGGACAGGCACAAATAGAGCTTGGTGTCTTTGCTTTTAGCCCTTAATCCCACCATGGTGCTCAACCACTACCATATTGGTCATGTAGAGAGAAATATCCAGCTAAACATAAAAACCAGCCCAGGGATCTTTTGAGATGACCACAATCACTCTTACATCTACAGTTTTCCCCCTTTCATCATATCAATCATAGGAAAATGCATCTCAAATCCCTCATTAAAAATAATTTTGGCTGTAATAACATCCTAAAACATTTTATAAATTTTATTTGTTAAATTATTTGACTCTAAGTAATATATTATACTTCATTTATACAAGCAATCATCCCAAATACTTAGAAATGCTTACAAGGAAAGAAAATCTAAAAAAGATTTTAAATTGAATACAATTCTTATGACTAATATATTAAAGAATCATTAAAATTGACAAAATATGTTTTATGAGTATTTGATTTAATATTCATCCTTTTTTGTGTGTTTTTCTTGTATCTTTGAGCCAGTTTAAACAATTTTTTTTTCAGGTCTCAAACACAATTCCTACAAAGTTTCTAAAACCCTAATCTGTCTGCCAGTAGTGCCTAAGCAGAAAAATCAGCCTTACACTTGACTAATTCCTGCAAAAGTCAGAGTTAGAACTGATCACTTTCAATAATCATTCTCTATATGAAAACTGCTGGTGGATTATCCTGAAAATGTGTAGTAAAGTAAAATAAATAAAGTAAAATAAATAACTTTCATCAAGTAGAGAAATGAATAGGCTCTTAATCTCTTTCAGAAATATTTTGACAGCCATAAATACGAGGTCTATAAAATAGTAAGCCCTCAAATATTTTTACTCATATGAGTTTCATTAGAATGGCTCAGAAATATCATCAGTTTTCCCCCTAAATCAAATACCCACACATCTTCACCTGGTGGTAGAAGCGATTATATTAAAATATTTTACCCTGAACTTGTATTTCTTTGTGTTTAACTGTTTAGAAACTTCTGACATGCTGGAATCTCTCTGCAAAAGTTGTCGTAATCAGTTTCAAAGAGATAGTTTACATACAAAACATTCTTTCCCATATCACGAAAAGAACTTCTAGTCACCAATATTTTTTAAGAAAGTGTATGTGGGGTGCAAATGAGAAGATAAAATAATCCAGAGCATGACATATTCATATTCTTATTCCCTAACCATTCAGTTTTAGCATTTGGTGTAATTTGAAGCAACCTTTCAAATTGCATTGTTGATTAGGTAATTTTCCTCTGCAGCTATCCAATTTTTCTGAAGCTCTTCTTGAATTGAGTGCATTAATATTAAAGTTTGCAAAATAGCAACCTTGGAAAAAACGTGCACTCTGACTTTTCCCCTTACAGAAGTGACTTCATCAGTGGCTCCAGCTCTCTGATGCCCAATCAGCTCCATAATGATGGTGATAATTATTATTTATTGAGCACTTGCAATACGCCAATGCTGCCAAGCACTCTACATGCATTACTTCATTTAATTTCTACAACAACAATATGAGACAGATATTATTATCTCCATTCTATAGATGAGGGAGCCGAGGCTCAGAAAATTTAAGTAAATTACAAAATCTCACCAATGAGAGACAGTATAATCGGAATTCAAAGCCATGCTATGTGACCCAAAAGTTCACACTCCTAACTAGTTTTTTATTAAGTGGATGGTTTAATCCAACTAGTTGTTTAATAAGGACAAGCAAAATTCTAAAAGATGATGATTTTTTTAACTAGTCCAACAATTTTGACATTGTGATGACAAAAACACTAAAGCCTGATCTCCCAACAACTGAGCTGATTATTTCTTATCGTCAATTATTGAAAACGATTTAACTGGTAGTAAATACAGATAAAAGCTTTCTGAATGTGGTGTGGAGGGCTCAGGTATTCTCATTTCAGTGGCATCAGCTTAAAATATGTACTCTAAGAAAGCTAGAGCTTTTCATCTTCAAAGTAAATATTGATTGACCTGTTTTTTTTTTCTCTAACTTTTGAGAAAGACGTGGAAAGAGAATAAAAGGGTAAGCTCAGCTAAGAACATGATCAAGGAGAGGATCAAAAAATATAACTCCAATGTTCTGTGTTCTTTGGCTTTAAATTTTTCCAATGAAGTAATAATCTATTCTGATATCTATTTGAATAACTCCACTGGACTTGAGTGATTTGTCAGAGAAATCGATAGCCATAGAACTGCGAATATCCTTTTCCACTTGTGAAAATCTGCATTGTCTTTTTGAAGCTTCCTTCTGTGTGATCTTTATTAAACATAAGCAAGGGAAGCACAAAATTCACTAGAATTCAATGAAGCTTTTCATTTACTTTCTTATATGTTATCCCTCTCTCTCCCTCCCTCTCTCTCCCCCCTCCCTCCTTACACACACATGCGTGCGCACACACACACACACACACACAAAACGAAATGACCTTTACTTACTTCACCGTTGCGTGCACACCTCAGCTACTTATGGGCTTTTATGTCTCTAACGTTATTTATTTCTGTATGCTTTCATCAAAGATTTATTGAGTACTGCTATGTCCCAGGCACTATGAACAACATCAAGTACAGAAGATGAATGATCTATAACTGCCATTGAATTTTGAAGGATCTTTAGTTTAAAAGAGTCATTTTAGAAAAAAAAAGAGCTAACATTTTTCCAAGCATTTATATGCCAAGCCAAGTGATCTTCATTTATTCTCTGCCTTAGTCAGCACAAGAGCCTCAGGAGGTAGGTACAATTATTTTCTTTCATTTGTCAATTGAGATAACTAAAGCTTACATAAGCCAAGTAATTTACAGAGGATCACAGAGTTAGTGACAGAACTATTGCGGCCGTTACTATAATAGTAGAAGCTCACTTATATTAAGCACCTACTATGTACCATGAATTGTTGTAAGCACCTGATATAGTTTAGCTTACTACTCTTATTACCCACCATTTACTGATGAAACAGTAGTACAGAGATGTTAAATAAGTTCTCCAAAGTTACCAGTAGAACTGGGATACCAGTTGTCCTTTTTTTAATTTATTTATTTTTCTTTTTTCTTTTTTTTTTTTTTTGACGGAGTCTCCCTCTGTCGCCCAGGCTGGAGTGTAGTGCAGTGGCGCAATCTCGGCTCACTGCAATCTCTGCCTCCCGGGTTCAAAGGATTCTCCTGCCTCAGCCTCCTGAGTAGCTGGGATTACAGGCACATGCCACCATGCCCACCTAATTATTTTTGGATTTTTAGTAGAGACAGGGTTTCACTGTTAGCCAGGATGGTCTTGATCTCCTGACCTCATGATCCACCCGCGTCGGCCTCCCAAAGTGCTGGAATTACAGGCTTGAGCCACCACACCAGGCCCCAATTGTTCTTAATAACTCACAGACTCAAGTCTGGCTGTGCCAAAACTCATGCTTGTAATCACTATGAAACTGAAAGATAACGTATGGTCTCCATGATTAGGACAATATTCCAATCTGCCTGGTCAAGGGATACTAATGAAAGAGAAGATCTTGAAGAACATGGTTTATTCAACACATCAAACATAAGACTTTGTGATCTCAATCTACAAATTGTTTTCTGAAGTTACAAAATTCAGCAGAGACATGGGGGCCATGAAAGTCCAATTCCATGGCTCTAGTTTGCCACATTTTCCTTATCTACAACAAAGGAGTAAGTGACTAAGAGTCATCTATTATCTAATAATACTTTCCAGCTAAGAGTCATCTATTGTATAATAATACTTTCCAGCTTTGAGCAGGGTGTTCCACAAGTATCAGGAAAGCAGAAATCAGGTACATTCTAACTTAATGTTTTGTTTCAAAACCCGATCATAGTGACGGGTGCACAGTAGCCAGTCAATAAATTGTTATTAGATAAATGTTGGAAAAAAGCTTTCTGAACAAGCACTTTGTAGTATTTGCAGGGCTGGGCCTAGGGCGAAGCAAATGAGGCTCCTGTCTTGGCACAGAATTTAAGGGGCATCAAAAAATTCCCTTGGCTTCGGGCTCCAGTATGGTTCAGCACAACGTTATTACTGATCCTGTTCTTACGAAAATTGTAGATGTTTCACTTATCATAAATTATTTTGCACCAGTGTTGCCCCAGCCCTGATTACACACACTCTTCCTGATAACTTCCTGCCACTTACTACCTGTTTTATCACATGTAAGTTACTGAAAGTGTTCTGAGACTGAGTTTCCTTATCGGTAAAATGGGAATAAGAATTTTTAATTTATCATACTGTTGTAAGGAGCGAATCAGGTGGCATGTGTGCAATCTCTGACTCAGTGCACAGCATAAAATTGGAGCTCAATAAACATTACTTCCCTTGCCTGACAAGAGAAGTGTCTGTTAAATCGTTTCTTCACGTGGTTAATTATTTTGCTTAGTTTTTCTTCCCCAAGAAGATCAACCAATCCTTACAGGATCTCTCATTCAAACTGGTTATTTCTCCCAACAAGTTGCCTCTCGGGCAGATTGTCTGAGCTCAGGGGTTCGAGACCAGCCTGGGCAATGTGGCAAAACCCTGTCTCTACTAAAAATACAAAAAATTAGCCAGGCGTGGTGGCACACTCCTGTAATCCCAGCTACTCAGGAGGCTGAGGCAGGAGAATCACTTAAGCCTGGGAGGCGGGAGGTTGCAGTGAGTCAAGTTCGTGCTACTGCACTCCAGCCTGGGCAACAGAGCAAAACTCTGTCTCAAACACACACACACACACACACACACACACACACAAAGGTGCCTCTATATGATGCCGAGATATCAGTTGATTCAGAAAAGTCAGACAGATAAAATGGCAGCCAAATGTTGCTTTATTATTGAGATGGACTAATACCATTCATGGTTTCCACCTTGTGGTTTTGTCAGCCTATCTGAGAGACACAATCCAGATACAGTAGAAACTC
Source organism: Homo sapiens (assembly GCF_000001405.40). Lineage (NCBI taxonomy): Eukaryota > Metazoa > Chordata > Mammalia > Primates > Hominidae > Homo > Homo sapiens. Next base: position 163,407,162 of record NC_000005.10, read on the forward strand.
TCTTACTAGACTCAGTAGATTAATGCAAATTCTCGAGCACCTCTGCAAAACCTACTGACTAGTGGCCAGGGCAGGCTGAATGTTTGAGGCTTGTATGTGACTTCCTGGAATGCCCACACACTTCTGCTGCCTCCAGCTGTGTTGCATGCTTACTAAGAGTGTGTTTGTAATTAGACAGTAAAATTTAATACACAAGGCAAAGAAAACTTAGGGCAAAAAGGGAGAAAAGTTGCTATTTCTATGAGAACTAAGTTGAATGCTTTGGGAAAACAATCAATAAAGGCAACGTAAGCCAAAAATATTAAAAAATGACTCAGGCAAGGAGCCTGTCTTCCTGGATTCACAAGGAAGTAGAGGATTTCAGGAACTGATGCAATTTTAATACAAAGTAGAAAGTGGTGCCTGCTACAAGAAAATCACACCTAAATTTCTATGCAAATAGATTACAGTTTGGAGCTTAGGGGTTACAATTCTAACATTCAGTTAGATTCAGAGATTTAATTTCTAAATCCTAATTAAAACTGATTTATTTCCAGCCGAGCACGGTGGCTCACACCTGTAATCCCAGCACTCTGGGAGACCGAGGCGGGCGGATCACTTGAGGTCAGGAGTTCAAGACCTGCCTAGTTAACATGGCAAAACCCTGTCTCTACTAAAAATACAAAAATTAGCCAGGCGTGCTGGTGGGTGCCTGTAATCCCAGCTACTCGGGAGGCTGAGGCAGGAGAATCGCTTGAACTGGGAGGCGGAAGTTGCTGTGAGCCGAGATTGCGCCTCTCCACCACTCCAGCCTGGGCGACATAGTGAGAGATTCTGTCTCAAAAAACATAAAAATAAACTGATTTATTTTCTATAATAAATCTAGAAAAGGCTAACATGCCATTCTGCAAATAAAACCAGTGGAACTTAGAATGTTGCAATACTGAGAATATATTTTTTTAAAAAAAAACGTGTATAATTCTCATTTCATCATAAAACCTCGGGCTGAATCTAGCTGTACTTTCCTAAGATTGCAATAAATCTACTAATTGCAATGACTATTCCTCAAGAATTTAATGAGCGTGGTTTACTGGCAAATTCATTTCTACCTTTCAGCTGGGTGGTCTTGGGCTCTTGCTAAGCCTCTCTGACCGTCAGTTTTCTCCTATGTAAAACTGTGGATAACAACACTTATTTCATGAGGATGCTGTGAGAATTAAATGAAACAATTTATGTAAGCGCTGGCACATGGTAGTTACCCTTCTCTGCCGCAAGGCAGTGCCCCCACGGGTTTAATTAAAGCTTTGGCTCTTTGCCTCTCAGTGAACAAAAAACTTTGAGTGTCATAATTAATGGATGAAGTCCAAAAAAATAGAATGTCAAAACCACGCGCAGGATAAAAACGAATAAGCTGGCACCCTTTTCAAATTCCTAGGCTCATTTCCCCCCCTAAATTTAGACAGGGTTGGCTGCTTGAAAAATGGCGTGAGCCTGCCATCTAGTGGCTACATGGAGGAACACCAAACCCCTTGTGTTCAGGAACCAGAGCTAGAGAATCTTTCCAAAAGGCATCTCTAATTTTAAAAACACCCCCTCAACACAAGATTTGATTGGCAGCAACATGCCAACTTCCTTAATCACAGCAACGAAACTACTAACACATTCTTCGAGTTCTCCTCCACTGTGTGCCCCACATTCCCAGCCAAGGCCTTGCTGTTCTGTGGTCTCACAGGCTTTCACCCTGTCAAAACCAGCTGTCAGTCAGCTGTTACATTAAAAAGAATCTGATTCATTTACTTTGTAATCTTATTAAAAATAATTCCTACTGCAAAGTATCCCCATGGGGATTTGCATTTTGATTTGATTTCACTTAGATACTATTTGACTTTGCGTTGGGTTTTACTATGTATTTAGCTAAGGATGCAATTCTTCAAGGCAGTGTCTCTCCAGCTGCATCAAAGTGCATCAGAATATTCTGGAGGGCTTTTTAAAGCTCAGAATATGGGGGCCCCATCACTACACTTTCTGACAATGTGACTTTCTAATGAGTTCCCAGATACTATTGAAGGAAATCAAAATTTTTTACCCCAAAGTATATTTACTTGACATATTTTGGGAGATAGATGGTTGTCAAAGAGCCCGCAAACAGAAGTGGCCCTGCAAGGCTATCTTTAGTGGGGAAGATTTGCATCTGTAGAGAATCTACATTAATGCAGCTAGGTCCTCCCTTGTCCAGATGTAGGAAGATTACCTGAGAGTCTGACACCTTTAAACATCAGAAAGAAACATTTACCACCTATCTCTCTGAAGGTTGCTACTTTGTTACCTAACAAGATCACCTTTTCTAAACAAGCCACTTCTTCTCCCCGTCCCATAACCTGTCTTGCCACTATAACCTGATTGACCACCATAACCTGGTTTCGGCCATGCAGTGAGCCTTCATTATTTCTGTAAGCTCAAGTTGCATTCCATTACGGGGTTGGGCAGTCACACTGTAGTCCTTCCCACGTACACGTTAATAAATTTTGTATGCCTTTTCTCTAATTAATCTGCCTTTTGTGAGTTCATTTTTCAGCAAACCTTCAGAGGGCAAAGGGGAAGTTTTCTCCTTGACCCCTAGAATACGATATTGTTTATCTGGGGACCACAATTTGGGAATGATGGACCAACTTCTAATGACACAATTTCATAATAAGACACAGCTAATGAGCAAGACCATTTTTAAAAGGCATTTCTGCAGGCTGAGACAAGAAATTAACATGTGAACAACACAAATTATTTTAAATTACCAGGCCTAGAGAGACATTAAAATGAGACCAGCATATGCCCTTTGAACTATGTATTCATCTCTTGAAACTGCTTACTGTTGCTATAAGTAGCTATAAATTATCTAACAATGCAACAATGGACACCATAATCCATACTCTATAACTTAACAATGTGTAGCCAATCATTAATCACTGTTATTTCTATAAACCAATGAGAATTCCTGACAATTTTATATCAGCCGCTCCCTGTCCCCCTTTTTTTGCCTTTAAAATCCTCCCTGCAGCTGGGTGCTGTGGGTCACGCCTGTAATCCCAGCACTTTGGGAGGCCAAGGCGGTGGATCACCTGAGGTCAGGAGTTCGAGACCAGCCTGACCAACATGACAAAACCCTGTCTCTACTAAAAATACAAAAATTAGCTGGGCATGATGGCATGCGCCTGTAGTCCCAGCTACTCGGGAGGCTGAGGCAGGAGAATCGCTTGAACCCAGGAGGCAGATGTTGCAGTAAGCCAAGATCACACACTGCACTCCAGCCTGGGTGACAGAGCGAGACACTGTCTAAAAAAACAAAAACAAAAACAAAAAAAACAAAAAAACAAACTTTCCTATGTTACCACCTACATTTCTGAAATTCTCCACTGCCACCACTGCACTTGAGGTGACCACCCTCTCTCTCCAAGTCTCAGTATTTATGTCACTTCCTCCAGGACAATCTCCCTGACCACTAGTCTAGGTTCGGGGCCTGTCTGAGGACTTTCACAGCACTCTACACTTCCTTCCACACTCAGGCCATGACCACAATAAATGTAAATTGAGTGTTCACTTGTTCCAATCCCAGCCCAGATGCTGAGGGTTTTACCATACACACATTGTATCTCAAATGCCTGGGGCAGGGCCTGGCTCAGAATAGGTGTTCAGTGTTTCTTAAATGGATGAACAAACGAATGAATAAAAATGAGTACATGAGTAGCTGCCCTCTCCACTTGGCCCCTTCTATAAGACATAAAAAAAAATGGGTAGCTCTGAGTAAAGTGTTTTCCAGTTCAGAGATGTCTGGCCTTGGTAGGAGCGTGCTGACTTCCCAGAGTATCGTGAGTGGCTGTGATCTGAATAACATATCACGGCTGAGTGTGAGCCAGGCTTACACTCAGGACATGATGCAAGCGATGCTTTGCTTAAGTTCAACAAACACATTGAAGCCTTATGGTACATCAGGCATCATGCTAGAGACACCGAGTATAAAGATCTGCTAATCACTCCTGTGAGACAGGCGCACAAACAGAATAGTACTGCAGCATCCCAGAGGACGGAGAAGCAGTGTGGGCCAATCAGGAAAAATGAATTAGGCCTTTGTAATGAGTTTCATAGTGGCCCCTGAAAGATGTATCCAGGCCCCACCCTCAGTATCTGCGAACATGATGTTATTTGGAGAAAAGGGCTTTGCAGATGTAATTAAGTAAAGACTCTTGTGATGAGATCATCCAGATTTAGGAAGGCCCTGTGTTCAATGACTAGCATCCTTCTAAGAGAAAAGAGAGGGAGATTTGAGAAAAGGAGAAATATGGAGATGGCTATGGGAAGCTGAAGGTAGAGACTGGAGTGACAGGCCAAGGAATGCCAAGGATTGCCTCGTAGGCATTTATTATTTCCCACTCACTACAGGATTTTTTCCTTTACTTTTTCCTTTTACCTGAAATCAGCCACTTTATAACTAGAACACACTGTGCATCCATACGGTTGAATTCCAGGCGTTGGAACGCCTTTTGTTGTTGGTAAGAGACTCCCTGTCTTCTTCAACAGATCCTGTAAACTACTTAACGGTGCAATGCTGTTTACTCATAGCATTTTTTTTTTTTTTGGATGGAGTTTCACTCTTGTCACCCAGGCTGGAGTGCAATGGTGCTATCTCAGCTCACTGCAACCTCCACCTCCCAGGTTCAAGCAATTCTCCTGCCTCAGCCTCCCGAGTAGCTGGGATTACAGGCATGCGCCACCACACCCAGCTAATTTTTGTATTGTTAGTAGATGGGGATTCACCATGTTGGTCAGGCTGCTCTCAAACTCCTGACCTCAGGCGATCCACCTGCCTCGGCCTCCCAAAATGCTGGTATTACCGGCAGGAGCCACCACGCCTAGCCACTCATAGCATCTCTTAATAGAGAACTCTGTAAAATAAGATATTGAAAATGAAAATAAGATAAATACGTATTTTTAACCCAAACAAGATCTTGTCAGGCTACTTACTTTGAAACACATGATCTTCTTCAGTACTTGCCCCTAATGGCAGTAGTCTTAGTAAAGATTTAATTTTACAGGAAAAATGTTCCTTCTCAGCCCCCAAGCCAAATGTCCTCATCATCCTACCCTCAGAAACTCTATCCACACTTTGCCCAAGCCCCCGGAACTCACCAGTCTGGATTTGATCCGTCTCCAAGACCAAGCGGGGTGGTGCTCACACACCCCTGATCCTCCATCTGTGAAAGCAGAGACCAGAGAAGCATTTGATCTGCCTAAGACATCAGAGACAAGTTCAGTGGGCGCTCTCTGAGCCATTTCCTAAAAGTAGAGCCTGGGCTTCTGGTCCAATCTAGGGAGAGAGCACATGGTCCTCCAGACTTTGCTGACCTTATACTGGTCTATATGGTCTAGGTTCATCAAAGTGTTACTTTTGCCCCCTCTTCAAATTGTGCTGTTTAAACTTCTATTTCTCCATCTTCATCACTATCATGTCCCCTTGGGGTTGGAATCTCAAGAAGCCAACATATTGAAATGTTCAGAGCAATAAATGGTCTCCATAATCTTTGCAGTGAATACATCAACTCTATTTTGCTATCCCAATAAGCTTTTAAATATCCTAGTTTCATATGAATTTACATCAGGCCATAATGAGGCAATGGGACAACATTTAAACCACATATAGACTAAGTGGCGTTTAACTCACCAACTCAAGTGTGGAAGAAATTTCACATTATTTCCTTTAAACCTACTTTTCTCATTATGTCCTTCTGTAGACTTCCATGGGAATCTGGGGAGCTTATAAATACTTGAAAAAGTCAACAAGAGTTATTTAATCTTCAGCCCATTGTGATTGCTGCCACTATCCTCACTGTCTGATTCTGCAGGGCCCCTTGAAGTGGGCGGCTCCACCGCAGCCATGACACTGGGGCGCAAGGCACCTTGCCAAGCCGACCTAGGTTTCAGGCTTCTGGAGTTGAGCACTCCATTGGCAGTTTCTTCTGCAGCTTTGCCATTCTCTAGGTAAGGGCTAGGGCTGCTGCCAAGATTCCATCACGTCATAGTGCTATTGTATCATGGCCTCTTACCACTCTAGGAGAGGGGCTGGAGCATCCCTAATTATGCAGGTGAAAGCCCCTCTCAGGCAATCTGAAGTCTGGCTTTGCTAGAACTCTGTGCTGGCCTAGAATAAACAGGCCAAAGGTGCCCACGTGCCTGCTACCCCTACAGTCTGAAACTTCTCCAGTGAACACTGCTGTTTCAGGTCTGACAATCTGTGCCCCCTGGTCATTTGCCCTTATTTGTACATCAGATGCCCTATCCCAGAAAAGGAGATGATGAATCTCTGGAGTATGAATCACTTCATTATTTTATATCATTTTTTAAAATTATCTGATACTCTAAAGCCACGCAAAAAGATTAAGGGCATATTTGAACTACCTTTTAACAAGGCATGCTGAATATATGGTTGATTGTCACACGGTTCAATAAAAATTCACTAAAGCAATAGTGAAATAAATGTAAAAAGTCTAAATTCAAAATGTAAAGAGAATGGGAGAGGAGACAATGAAGAAGAAATTAACATGTTTTTTTGAGACTGAAAGTTGATATAGGAATGGTAACTGATTTACCAGAGCTGAGAAAGCTTAAAACATGACTTCAGGAAAGGTTTCCAAAAAAGAAATCCTATTCAGGAAAGAAAGAAAAAAAGGAAGGAAGGAAGGAAGGAAGGAAGGGAGGAAGGGAGGAAAGGAGAAAGGGGGAAGGGAGGAAGAGGGGAAGGGAGGGAAGGAGGGAGGGAAGGAGGAAGGAAGGAAAGAGGGGAGGGAGGGAGGGAAGGAAGGGAGGGAGGGAGGGAAAGAAAGGGAGAAAAAGAAGGAAGGAAAGAAGGAAGAGATGGAGGGAAGGTGAGACGGGAAGGAGGGAGGAGAGAGAAGCTCACAGAAATTGAAGGCTCCAGGTAACCTAGAAGATAGACTGAAATGTATGTGATCAGTTGATAATCTGTATAAGGAGCAGTTAAGCTCTCAGATCCCCATGCCCTCATCACAGCCAAGCAACTGCTCTTCCCTAACCCCCACAGCATACTGCAGTGCTTGTTCTCAAAGGACACTGCAGCAGAGAGACCCTAGACTCTGGAACACCTGGCACCCAGAAAGCAGGAGAAGGCATCCAACTAAAGACAGGTTCTGAGAATGCCAGCTCCCTTCCCTACCTCACTCTCAAAACACTTTCAAATAAATTTAATTTTAAGAAAATATCTGCTGACAGAATATCAGAGGATCCCTTGGTGGAGAAAATAAATGCCCCCCAAGAAGCTCTATATATAATTTTTGTGAAATAGTTTTGTGAATAGATCTCTCAGTTGTCTAATCATCAATATGCCGGAGATGATGATGCCCAGTCACTTTGGCATGATTGACGTTTTGGACCATAGAATTCCTTGTTGCTGAGGCTGTCTTGTGCATTGCAGGATGTTTCAAAGCATCCTTGGTTTCTCCCACTACATGTCAGTGATGGCCATTCAAAAATGTCCCGAGACAATGCCAAATGTCTCCTAGGGGAAACAATTATGCCCCATATAAGTACTGCCACCCTACAAGGAAACCCATTAGCCCATTAGTCAACAAATACCACAAACATACACACAGCTCCCAAACAGCTTTCTAATTACTCACTTCTAATGATGAGCAGCCAACAGAAACTCCAAAGCAAAATAAGACAGAAACTAAAATAAACAGAACAAAGAAACTCTTAAAAATCAAACAGGGAGAATTTCTATGTGTGTTTAAAATTGTCTGTGAGAAAAAAAGTTGTTAAGTACAAAATAAATAAAAATATGGAGATAAATGTAACAAGCAGTTAAAATGCTAAGGACTTTTGTCTCAAAAATGAGGTTTTGGTGGCTCACGCCTGTAATCCCAGCACTTTGGAAGGCCAACACAGGCAGACTGCTGAAGTTCAGGAGTTCAAGACCAGCCTGGCCAACATGGTGAAACCCCATCTTTACTAAAAATACAAAAAATTAGCTGAGTGTGGTGGCACATGCCTGTAGTCCTAGCTACTCAGGAGGCTGGCGCAGGAGAATCACTTGAACCCAGGAGACAGAGGTTGCAGTGAGCCGAGACTGCACCACTGCACTCCAGCCTGGGCAACAGAGCGAGACTCCACCTCAAAAAAAAAAAAAAAAAAAGCGGAATGTGGAGATGATTTGAGTGACATCAGTAGATATGGAATTACCTGTCACTATTAGTGCTAAGAAAACATTAGGTGATAACTGCCAAATGTGTACACAGACAAGTGATATAAAAATTTAAAACAGAGGAACACACTTAGCTTAGCTTTAGGAGATTCTGGCATCTCATAGGAAAAGGGATCAAATTATAAATGATATACGTCTGGAAATTCAGTAAAAATAGTAGGTTGTGCACAGTGTTTTTGCCATAGTAGTGAAGGCACGGATTTCTTTTGTTTGGTGTTCTTGGGGACAAGATGACAAATGTAAAAGTCCCTTAATTAGTGAGAAATCACCAGCCTTCTTTGGATCTACCCCACTTAGGGAGAGGAGATGGTAAAATGACGAATAAAGGGAAAAGTGACTGAGGAAAGAAAGGTGAGAGGAAGCTGCAGAGGCAGGAGGTGGAGGGAAAGTGCAGATCTGCTGGCGCGGGGTCTGGGGTCTCAGGTCTCGGCCGCCTGGGGAGCCACCTGCCTGGAGAGGCAGGTTGCGATGGCAGCGCTGGGCTACAGACCCCGCCTTATCTGCGGGGAGGAGAGGACGGGTGGAGTCACTTGCCGCATTGCCACAGCCCCCTCCTCCTAGTTTTAAGAAGAACCGAAGCATTGTTTCTGCTTTAACAGCAGTCACTCATTCCTTATAACTGAAAACAACGACGGTGGGCTCTGGCACCTCTTTCGGCTCCTTGTACTGTTGGAAAAAAAAGTCTGGGAAAACGTGTACCTTGTTTTTTAAATGGGGATGATTGTGATAGCCAACAGGCATATGATAGTTTTATTTCCTTGCTTTTTCCCCCCAGTACATTGACGATTCTTTGTAGCTACTTGAACTGATTTTAAAGACATTTCGAAAGAACTATAAGTCAAGCTATAAAGTATTTGGCTTTTGCGGGAATAAAACACGCCTTTTGAGTCAAACACAGGTCTTTCAGGCACTAAAAACAAGTAGGAAATGAGAAAAAAAATTAAAACCAGAAGACTTCAGGAAAGTGACAAATTGGAAAGCATTCTAGAAGACTCATAGGACGACTTTATGTGAAAGAAGCACTCTAGGAGCTTTAAAAGCTTATGGGCAATTTATATTATAAAAGGATTTTAGGCTCAAAAGTTTTGGGGGAAGGCACAGAAAAAACAGTGCCATATTCTTAAATTGGCGGGGCGAGCAAAGGTCGTGGAGAAGACCCCGGGAAGCTGCTGGAGCCGGCAGAGGAGGAATCCCAGGTTTTGCGCGGAACTGGCCACTGTAAGTGGTTCAATGTGCGCATGGGATTTGGATTCATCTCCATGATAAACCGAGAGGGAAGCGCCTTGGATATTCCAGTCGATGTATTTGTACACCAATTCCTGTGATGTCACCAAATCCCCAAAAAGAAACACATGCCTAGGTGCTGTACTTTGTCTCTCTTTAGACATGTTGATAAATGCTGTGAGATTCTGCTGTTTGAGGATGAGACAGGATCTCGCTCTGCTGTCCAGGCCGAAGTACAGTGTTGTGATCATAGCTTGCTGTAACCTCAAGCTCATGAGCTCAAGTGATCTTCCCACCTCAGCCTCTCATGTAGCTAGGACTACAGGTGTACACTACCATGCCTGGCTAATTTTTTTCTTTTTTTTTTTTTTTTTTTTTTGGTAGAGACAGGGTCCCAGGCTGGCTTTGAACTGCTGGCCTCAAGTGATCTTCCTTCTTCCACCTCCCAAAGTGCTGGCCATAACACCTGGTCTTTCTGAACATTTTCAATTGTATATTTTTATTTTACAAAGCCAGAGATATAAATAATATTCAAGGCATCCAAGAAAAAAAAATTTAAAACAGAAAAAGTTATTTTTCTCTCCTCCTAAGAGATTGAGTGAATGATCTTAAAGGGCTGGTAAAAATTGAGAAGGGTGGAGGGAAGTGTGGGGCGGGGGAAACATTTCAGGCAGAATTCTGTTTAGATGAGACCCCACACGCAAGTTGGGAAAGGTCCAAGCATATGGAGACAACAGAATCAATGTTACTAGAGCAGTTAACAGGGAAACCAGGGTCGGATTTGAGTTTCCTCAATGGGAAGATAGGAGGGCTCCAGTGGAAAATCTCCAAGGTCATGTCAAACTCTAACTAGAATGTTACTAACTAGAATGTCTAACTAGAATGTCCAACTGTAATCTAATGTAGAATATCTAAACTGAATCTACTGTAAGTCTAAAAATTGTTAAGGGTGATATCAACCAGTATTTAGGATTAGGAAGTATCTTTAGGGTTCCAGTCCTGGAGAGAGAATATGTTCATATCCAGGCCTTTGAGAAACTGACAAGATGAAAAGTATCAGTTTATAACGTCATTATTTGAAGATAATTCATAAAAGAAACATTAAATCCACTAAAAATGGGAATATCATTTATTATTAAATAATGGAAAAATTTTATAGGGACAATCATATTGCAAAGAGAAACTAAAGATTATTTTTTAAAAATCAATCTTACACTTAAAAATTTGTTTATAATAACAATTATGTCCTAATTCCTACAAGAAACAAAAATAGAATTAAGGATTGACTTTTTGCTTTTGGCATGATCCTTTTGATAAAATTATATGAAAGCTCCTATGTCAGTCTTTCTTTCATATTCCATTTTCAGACTTTTGAAAAGTCTTCTAGAATTTCATCAATTTTCCCAAGGACTTTACCTTACCCTTTGATATTCGAATCCCTCATTTCTAAAGTATCTGTGTTGCCATCATCCTTTTTTTCTTTTTTTCTTTTCAGACGGAGTCTCGCTCTTTTGCCAGGCTGGAGTGCAGTGGTCCGATCTCAGCTCACTGCAACCTCTGCCTCCCGGGTTCACGCCATTCTCCTGCCTCAGCCTCCTGAGTAGCCAGGACTATAGGTACATGCCACCACACCCAGCTATTTTTTTTTTTTTTTTTTTTTTTTTTTGGTATTTTTAGCAGAGATGGGGTTTCACCATGTTGACCAGGACGGTCTCGATCTCCTGACCTTGTGATCCGCCTGCCTCAGCCTCCCAAAGTGCTGGGATTACAGGCGTAAGCCACCACGCCCAGCCGCCATCATCCTTTTACAAGGTTTGCAAATTTATGGTGTAATATATTTGGGTTCTATTTACATTACATATTCTGCTTGACATTGACTGTTGCGGGAAGTCAGGGATCCTGAATGGAGGGACCGGCTGAAGCCATGGCAGAAGAACGTGGATTGTGAAGATTTCATGGACACTTATTAGTTTCCCAAATTAATACTTTTATAATTTCTTATGCCTGTCTTTACTGCAATCTCTAAACATAAATTGTGAAGATTTCATGGACACTTATCAGTTCCCCAATCAATACCCTTGTGATTTCCTATGCCTGTCTTTACTTTAATCTCTTAATCCTGTCATCTCATAAGCTGAGGAGTATGTATGTCACCTCGGGACCCTGTGATGATTGCATTAACTGCACAAATTGTAGAGCATGTGTGTTTGAACAATATGAAATCTGGGTACCTTGAAAAAAGAACAGGATAACAGCAATGTTCAGGGAACAAGAGAGATAATCTTAAACTCTGACCACTGGTGAGCCGGGTGGAACAGAGCCATATTTCTCTTCTTTCAAAAGCAAATGGGAGAAATATCACTGAATTCTTTTTCTCAGCAAGGAACATCCCTGAGAAAGAGAATGCGTCCCTGAGGGTGGGCCTCTAAAATGGCCCCCTTGGGTGCGGCCGTCTTTTATGGTCGAGCTGTAGGGATGAAATAAGCCCCAGTCTCCCATAGTGCTCCCAGGCTTATTAGGATGAGGAAATTCCCGCCTAATAAATTTTTGGTCAGACCAGTTGTCTGCTCTCAAACCCTGTCTCCTGATAAGATGTTATCAATGACAATGCATGCCCAAAACTTCATTAGCAATTTTAATTTCGCCCCGGTCCTGTGGTCCTGTGATCTCACCCTGCCTCCATTTTCCTTGTGATATTCTATTACCTTGTGAAGCATGTGATCTCTGTGACCCACACCCTATTCGTACACTCCCTCCCCTTTTGAAAATCACTAATAAAAACTTGCCAGTTTTACGGCTCAGGGGGCATCACGGAACCTACCGACATGTGATGCCTCCCCCCAATGCCCAGCTTTAAAATTTCTCTCTTTTGTACTCTGTCCCTTTATTTCTCAACCTGGCTGACGCTTAGGTAAAATAGAAAAGAACCTACGTGACTATTGGGGGCAGGCTCCCCAATAATTGACCTGATGGGTGGGCTAGAAACAAGTGCTAATGATTGAATCACTTAGATGAGACTAATTTCATAAGTGTTTGGTTCATTAGTGAGTACATTCATTTACACATTTATTCTAACTGTGGAGTAGCTTGGATCCTGAGCACTTACTTAACAAGAACTCCCTGTACCTATCACAATGGTCTTGAGATTACATATAAAATAAAGGCCCTTTGTCCAGAGGAACGGTAAAGGAGAATTAGTCAAGTATTCTGGTTAACTGATAACTTTGGGTTTCCCTAACCTTTAACCTTCAACTCATGGGAGTAAACAGGGAGTGACAACAACGGACTGTAACAGCCGTCAAAACCCCGTCTCTACTAAATACACAAAAATTAGCTGGGCGTGGTGGTGCCTGCCTGTAATCCCAGCTACTCGGGAGGCTGAGGCAGGAGAATCACTTGAACCAGGGAGTTGGAGGTTGCAGTGAGCCGAGATCCTGCCACTGCACTCCAGCCTGGTGACAGAGTGAGACTCCATCTTAAAAAAAAAGAGTATGAAGCAACAATCTCTTTCTTCTCAAATCAGAATCATAACTAACTCTCACAACCCAATATTCACTTAGTGCTCTATTCCAGTAATTTTCAGTATTTGGTGCCAGTAATTAGACTGGTATTTGCATAAAAGTGTAAAATGTGTCCATTTCTAGAAATTTCTGATTGGCAAAGGGACAAACAAAAAAATTTTGGAGTAGTTCTTTTCCCCACCAGCTATGGAACTTTCTCAATGGACACGTATTGACCGTGGAAATTATCAGGCCTGGTTATAGAAATGTCAATCACTTTTAGCCTTTAAGTTCAAAAACAGCATGAAGAAGGCACTGCTGATATTCTTGGCACTCAGTTGCAATAGAATCATTCTTTCTTTATAGAATTTTAGATGACTTTCAAGTCCATTTCCTTTTCTGACTTTCCTTGACATACTACTTTTTTTGATATACATCTTACAAACTGTCTAATCTGTACTAATTTTATACTTAGGTGATTTCAGAGTTTTAAAAGAGAACCCACACTGATAATATTTTGATCATTTTGGATGGCAATATTTCTGTACAAGTTGAAGCAGCGGTGACAACAGGCTTCTTAAAACACTCTCTTCATATTTTGAGATTATTAAATTTACAAAAATAAATTCTACTTTGCATGGAAAGCTGGGCTCACTTGGTCCTTACAAAAGTTGATTGTTTCCACCAGGTGTGGCAGCTTACATCGGTAATCTCAGCACTTTGGGAGGCCAAGGTGGGTGGATCACAAGGTCAGGAGATCGAGACCATCCTGACCGACACAGTGAAACCCTGTCTCTACTAAAAATACAAAAAATTAGCCGCGTGTGGTGGTGGGCGCATGTATTCCTAGCTACTTGGGAGGCTGAGGCAGGAGAATGGCGTGAACCCAGGAGGCGGAGCTTGCAGTGAGCCGAGATGGAGCCACTGCACTCCAGCCTGGGCAACAGAGTGAGACTCCATCTCAAAAAAAAAAAAAAAGAAAAGAAAAGAAAACTTGATTGTTTCTTTACAGAACTGGCCCAGGTATTGCAGCATATGTGGTTGCCTCCACAGTATTTGAAAGTTATTGAACATGCTGCCTAAATATCTCCCTGAGAGGTATGCTTTATTGTCTAAAATTCTGACTTTGACATTAATTCCTTTAGATCCCAATGTTGCCTAATTAAAATTTGTATACTACCATTGAGAAATGTGGCAGATTGTATTTTCCAAAAATAGCCACAGCAATATTTCTGCTTTCACACACTCTATCAGATCGTTACCACTCCCCATCAAGATTTGGAGCCTCTTTTCATTTTCCTTGAATTGAGGTAGGCTGTTTGGACTGCCTTGGCCAACAAGAAAACAACAGAACAGATGCTGCATGACTTTTGTGACTAGTTCATAAAAGACAATAAAGCTTCTGCCTGGCATGCTCTCTCCCTCTCTCTGTCTCTCTCTTTCTCTCTTTCTCTCTCTATCTCTGTGCTCATCCTTGGAACCCAGACGCCATGTAAGGAAGCCAAGTAGCCACATTGAAAGGCCACATGTAAGTATTCTGGCCATACCAAAGTTGAAGTTCCAGCTCACAGCCAGCATTGAAGCCACACATGTAGGCAAGTGAAGTCTTCAGAAGATTCTGGTACCCAGCCTCCAAGCCACTTGAGCTGCCTCTAGCCAAGTGTAGCAGAAATGAGCTGTCTACATGTCTTCCCAAGTTACAGAATTGATGGTAAAGCAAATGACATCATATCTTTAGTTCACTTCGTTTTGGGGCTTTTTTTTTTTCAATTTTTGGTGTTTTGTTTTGTTTTTATGTAGCCATTGATAACCAAAATAGGACTAACACATTATATTGGTACAAGTTAGTTTTTTAGATTAGCTATTTTGTAGCAGATATAAGAACCATGGGGATGATAGCATGGTACAGATAAGATTTAATGAAGAGATTTTTCTACTTATGGTGAGATTTTTCTACTTATGGTGAGTCGACCTGGCAGGGATGGGAAACGGGGGAGAGAAGAGAGATGGCAGGATGGCAAGAGGAGAATATAAGTAAGAATTTCCAAAAACAAATTCTTTGGATGGGGAGTATAGATTAGTATTCCATATTTTAGAGCAATAAGACTTTTTAAAAATAAACATGCAATGCCTAGTTATACTTACCATTATCAGTAATTTTCAAGACGAATTTTTCATTCCATGTTTTATGAAGTAGCCAAGACTCCAAACTATCTACAGCAGAGTTTTCCATACCACTTCCACATATAACAAGCATTTTAGAGGAAAACAACCTTCTACAACCCCTTTCCTCTACACCAGGAAAGCTCAAGTTATCCACAGACTTCAATGTATATGACTTATTGTTCTCAGGAAACTGTTATGACTTCTTTCTATGTAATACACACACACACACACACACACACCTCGGTATATAACTATATATATAAAAAGAATCCCATACACACATATTTTTAACCTCAGTGATGATAGAATACAATAGTGTTGCAAAATAATAAACAAATGGATATAGCAAATGATTTACCTTACTAATTGCTATTTAGTTTAATACTGTCATTATGGCATAATTTCCCTGGAGACAAATCAATTATAAAATGCAGGGGTTTCAAAATCCATCCAAAAAAAATCATAACAAGAAAAAAAAACTGCATGAAAAGTTACTATAGAGAAACTTAAAATGATCTAAAAAATACATGAAGCAAAAACTCATGGAATTGAAAGGTAAAATAGACAATTCCACAATAAAAGCTGGATACTTTATACTCTGCTTTTAATGATGAATAAAACAATTATGCAGAAGATTTAACAGGAAACCGAAGACTTGAACAACACCATAAGTGAATTAGACCTAACATACATCTAGAATACTCCACCCAACAACAGCAAAATACACATTCTTATTATTATTATTATTATTATTATTATTATTATTATTATTAATAGAGATGTGGTCTTGCTGTGCTGCTCAGCTGGTCTCGAACTCTTGTCCTCAAGTGATTCTCTGCCACAGCCTCTCAAAATGCTGGGATTATAAGTGTGACCCACTGTACCCAGCCAGTACACATTCTTCTAAGGCACAAATAGAACATTTTTCAGAATAAACCATAGACTAGGTCATAAGCCAGGTCTCAATAAATGTAAAGGAATTAAAATCATACAAAATATATTCTCCAACTACAAAGAAATAAAATTAGAAAATAACAATGAGAGAAAGTTTGAGACATCTACAAAATAATTGAAAATTAAACAAGAGACTCTCAAACAACCAATGGGACAGAGAAAAAATTTAAATTTGAAAATCCCATGTGATGAATGAAAATAAAAACAACATACCAAAGCTTATAGATGCAACTAAAGAAGTGCTCAGAGGGAAATTTATAGCTTTAAATGCTTTTTTTAAAAAAAATCTCCACTCAACAATGTCATCTTCCACTAAAATCAAAGCAAAACCAAGGATGGAAATAATAAGGTTAAAATGAAAATAAATAAAGTAGAGAAGAGAAAAACACTGAGCAGATTTTTAAAAACACAAAAATTGTTTGCAAAGATGAACTAAAATGACAAACCTTGGCTAGGAATGGTGGCTCACACCTGTAATCCCAGCACGTTGGGAAGCCAAGGCAGTAGGATCACCTGAGGTCAGGAGTTTGAAACCAGTCTGCCCAACATGGTGAAACCCCATCTCTACTAAAAAATACAAAAATTAGCTTGTCATGGTGGTGCGCACCTGTAATCCCAGCTACTCGGGAGGCTGAGGCACAAGAATCACTTGAACCCAGGAGGTGGAGGCTGCAGTGAGCTGAGATCATGCCACCGCACTCCAGCATGGGCAACAGAGTGAGACTCCATCAAAAAAAAAAAAAAAAACCCACAAACTTAACTAAATTGGCCAGAAAAAAATAAAATTCAAATTACAAAAATCAGGAATGAAAGAGGGATATCACAACCAACCTCAATAAAATAAAAAGAATTACAAAGAAATAATATTCACAACTATACACTAACAAGTTAGATAACTTGGATGAAATAGAAAAATTTCTAGAAACACACAAACTTTCAAAATTAACTCAAAAAGAAATATAAAATCTGAATAACCTTACAATAATTAAATATAATAAGTTTAGTAATTTTAAAACTTTCCATGAGAAAAGTCCATGTCGAGATGGCATCACTGGTGAATTCTATCAAGCATTTAAAAAAGAATCAATACCAATGTGGTTCATTACGCAAAAATCAGTGTAATACACCACATTAAGAGAATGAAGGGGAAAAAACTGTATGATCATCTCAATTGAGGCAGAAAGAGCATTTGACAAAACTGAACACTCATGATGAAATCACTCAACAAACTAGGAATTTAAAAAATTACTTTCCCATAACAAACCATAAATGAAAATCCCACAGCTGACTTCATATTCAGTGGTTGAAAGACTAAAAGTTTATTCTCTTATATCAGGAAAAATTGCCTGCTTTCAATATTCCACATAGTCCTAGTAAGAACAATTAGACAAGAAAAATAAATAAAAGGCATTTTTGATGGTCAATTTAATGTGTCAACTTGACTGAGCTAAGGAATACAAAGATAGCTGATAAAATATTATTTCTGGTGTGTCTGTGGGGGTGTTTCTGGAAGAGATTAGCATTTGAACCGGTAGACTGAGTAAAGAAGATCTGCCCTTACCAGTGTAGGTAGGCATCATCTAATCTGTTGAGGGACTGAACTGAACAAAAAGGCAGAAGGGACAATTCGCTCTTTCTTCTTGAGATGGGACATCCATTTTTCTCTTGCCCTCAAATATCAAAGCTCCTGGTTCTCAGGTCTTTGGACTGTAGCCTTACACCAGTTTTCCTCCCATCTTTGGTTCTCAGGCCTTCAGACTCAGATTGGGAGATACACCATTAGCTTCCCTCTTTCTCAGACCTTCAGATATGAACTGAATTACAACACTGGCTTTCTTGTATCTCCAGCTTGCAGACTGCTGTCTGCAAGATCATGGGACTTTTCAGCCTCCATAATCATATGAACCAACTCTAATTTTACATATTATGTAAATTCACATTTTATACATATGTAATATATATTTATATATATATTTTATTAGTACTGTTTCTCTAAAGAACCCTGATTAATACAGCATTCGAATTAGAAATAAAGGCCAGGCGCAGTGGTTCATGCCTGTAATCCCAGCATTTTGGGAGGCCAAGGTGGGTGGGTCACCTGAGGTCGGGAGTTTGAGACCAGCCTGGCCAACATGGCAAAACCCCATCTCTACTAAAAATACAAAAATTAGCCAGGCGTGGTGGTGCATGTCTATAATCCCAGCTACTTAGGAGGCTGAGGCGGAGGCTGCAGTGAGTTGAAATCGCACCACTGCACTCCAGCCTGGGCAAAACTCTGTCTCAAAAACAAACAAACAAAAAAACAAACTGGAAACTAAAAAGTAAAATTATCTTAGTTTTATGATTTTATATATAGAAAACTCTAAAGAGGCCATGAAAATATTATAATTAAGGGGCTTGGCACAGTTGCTTATGCCTGTAATCCCAGCAGTTTGGAAGGCCGAGGCAGGCGGATCACTTGAGGACCGGAGTTAAAGACCAGCCTGGCCAACATGGTGAAATCCCGTCTCTACTAAAAATACAAAAAATTAGCCAGGCATGGTGGCACATACCCGTAGTCCCAGCTACTCGGGAGGCTGAGGCAGGAGAATCACTTGAACCAGGTAGGTAGAGGTTGCAGTGAGCCGATATCACACCACTGTACTCCAGCCTGGGCGACAGAGTAAGACCCTATCTCAAAAAATAAATAAATAAATAAATAAAATAAGATAAGATAAAAAGAACATATGCAAGTCAATAAATGTGATACACCACATAAACAGAATTAAAAACAAAAATTACATGATCATCTCAATAGATGCAGAAAAAGCATATGACAAAATCCAGCATCCCTTTATGATTAAAACTCAGCAAAATCGGCATACAAGGGACATACTTTAATGTAATAAAAGCCATTTATGACAAACCCACAGCTAACATAATACTGTAATATTGAATGGAGAGAAGTTGAAAGCATTCCCTCTGAGACCGGGAACAAGACAAGGACGCCCACTCTCACCACTCCTCTTCAACACAGTACTGGAAGTCCTAGCCAGGACATTCAGACAGCAGAAAGAAATAAAGGGCATCCAAATCAGTAAAGAGGAAGTCAAACTGTCACTGTTTCCTGACGATATGACTGTTTACTTTGAAAACCCTAAAGACTACTCCAGAAAGCTGCTAGAACGGATAAAAAGAATTCAGCAAAGTTTCCAGATACAAGATTAATGTACACAAATTGGTAGCTCTTCTATACACCAACAGCAACCAAGCTGAGAATCAAATCAAGAACTTAACCCCTTTTACAATAGCTGCAAAAAAAAATTAAATACTTAGGAATATACCTAACCAAAGAGTCAAAAAACCCCTACAAGGAAAACTACCCAACACTGCTGAAAGAAATCATAGACGACACAAACAAATGGAAACACATCCCATGCTCATGGATGGGTAGAATCAATATTGTGAAAATGACCATACTGCCAAAAGCAATCTATAAATTCAATGCAATCCCCATCAAAATACCACCATAATTCTTCACAGAATTAGAAAAAACAACTCTAAAATTAATATGGAATCAAAAAAGAGAATGCACAGCCAAAGCAAGACTAAGCAAAAAGAACAAATCTGAAGGCATCACACTACCTGATTTCAAACTACATCATAAGGCCGTAGTCACCAAAACAGCGTGGTACTGGTATAAAATAGGCACATATACCAATGGAACAGAATAGAGAACCCAGAAACCCAAATACAGCCAACTGATCTTTGACAAAGCAGACAAAAACATAAAGTGGGGAAAGGAGACCCTTTTCAACAAATGATGCTGGGATAATTGGCTAGCCACATGTAAGAGAATGAAACTGGATCCTCATCTCTCACCTCATACAAAAATCAACTCAAGATGAATCAAAGACTTAAACCTAAGACCTGAAGCTATAAAAATTCTGAAGATAACATTAGAAAAAGCCTTCTAGACTTTGGCTTAGGCAAGGATTTCATGACCAAGAACCCAAGCGCAAATGCAATAAAAACAAAGATAAATAGCTGGGACCTAATTAAACTAAAGAGCTTTTGCACGGCAAAAGGAACAGTCAGCAGAGTAAACGGACAACCCACAGAGTGGGAGAAAATCTTCACAATCTGTACATCTGACAAAGGACAAATATCCAGAATCTACAATGAACTCAAACAAATCAGTAAGAAAAAAACAATCTCATCAAAAAGTGGGCTAAGGACATGAATAGACAATTCTCAAAAGAAGATATACAAATGGCCAACAAACATATGAAAAAGAAAAAATGCTTAACATCACTAATGGTCAGGGAAACGCAAATCAAAACCACAATGCAATACCACCTTACTCCTGCAAGAATGACCATAATCAAAAAATCAAAAAACAGTAGATGTTGGCATGGATGCGGTTATCAGGGAACGCTTCTACAGTGTTGGTGGGAATGTAAACTAGTATAGCCACTATGGAAAACAGTGTGGAGATTCCTTAAAGAACTAAAGGTAGAACTACCATTTGATCCAGCAATCCCACTACTGGGTATCTACCCAGAGGAAAAGAAGTCATTATTCGAAAAAGAAACTTGCACACACGTTTATAGCAGCACAATTCACAACTGCAAAACCGTGGAACCGACCCAAATGCCCAACAGTCAATGAGTGGATAAAGAAACTGTGACATATATATGTATTTACACAATGGAATACTACTCAGCCATAAAAAGGAATGAATTAACAGCATTTGCAGTGACCTGGATGAGATTGTAGATTATTATTCTAAGTGAGGTAACTCAGGAATGGCAAACCAAATATTGTATGTCTTCACTGATATGTGGGAGCTAAGCTATGAGGACACAAAGGTATGTAAGAATGATACAATGATACAATGGACTCTGGGGACTTGGGGGGAAGAGTGTGAGATGGGTGAGGGATAAAAGACTACAAATACGGTGCAGTGTATACTGCTCAGGTGATGGGTGCACCAAAATATCACAAATTACCATGAAAGAACGAAAGAACTTACTCATGTAACCAAATACCACCTGTACCCCAATAACTTATGGAAGAATAAAAAATAAAAATAAAATTTTGGTTTTGTTTTTGGATAGAGAAAAAAAATTTTATGAGTTTTACTGATGGAGACTTCTTATTCTCTGCTTATTTTAACTGTCATTACCATACTGTATATTAGATTCCCTGAACAGTAGAAAGGTGATTGTTAGGGCTGGGAGTGGGGGAAATGGGGAGATATTAAAGCATAAAAACTTTCAGTGATAAGATGAATAATGCAACATTTTTGTGGGAGAGAGATGAATTAGAGGGCTGCTTCTCATGAACTGGGGGTTGGTGGAGGGCAGAGAAACTGAGACTCTCTGTTCCACAGTGGACATTTTATTTGTTTTGATATTCACAAGATGTCCTTAGGAGTTCCACTGTTTTTTTTTTTTAAAAAAAAAAAAGAAAGAAAATTTGAAACTGCAGCAATAATTAATTATTGGCCCAAGAGGGCTTTTTAATATCATATCCTTCACCAGAAACTTCATAATAGGCCCTTTTCCTTTTTAAAATGCTTATTGTTAAGGGACTTATGTGCTAGTGAGTATTTGAACAAGTTAGCCCTTAATTACTCAAAATAGTTCAAAATTTATTGTGAAATGATTGTCTAAAAATTAATAGTTGTCAGGCACGGTGGCTCATACCTGTAATCCCAGTGCTTTGAGAGGCCAAAGTGGGAGGATCACTTGAGCCCAGGAGTTCAAGACCAGCCTGGGTAACATAGTGAAACACTGTATCTACAAAATAAAATAAAACAAAAATTAGCCAGGCATGATGGTGCATGCCTGTAGTCCTACCTACTGGGGAGGCTGAGGCAGAAGGATCACAAGGAGTTTGAGGTTACAGTGAGTTAATGATTGTTCCACTGCACTCCAGCCTGGATGACAGAGCAAGACCCTGTCTCAAAAAGAATATATATATATTATATATAAAATATACATGTATATATAAAATATACATATATATATAATATATGTATAATATATTATATAATATATATTATATATGTATAATATATTATATAATATATATTATATATGTATAATATATTATATAATATATATTATATAATGTATAATATACATGTATATTATATAATATATATTTTATATAATATATAATATACATGTATATTATATATAATATTTATATAATATATAATATATAATATACATGTATATTATATATTATATATAATATATAATATACATGAATAATATATATAATACACATATATTATATATTATATATAATATACATATATTTTATATATAATACACATATTATATATTATATACATATATAATATATAATATACATATATATTATATGTATATATAAAATATATATAATATACATAATATGTATATAATCTATTATATATATTATATATAATATATATGTGTATTATATATGTATATTATATATAACATATACAATATATGTGTATTATATATTATATATGTATATCATATATAATATATAATATATAATATATGTGTATTATATATAATATGTATATTATATATATACATATATATCAATAGTGAAGTCTAAAACAGTGAATTCAGTTGAGCAGAGCAAAGTGCAACTAAGCAATAAAATTCTGAGCTTAGTTTTCATAGGTAGATAAAATAGCATTTCTTTGTTCATGAACTTGAAATCATTTCATAAACACATGCCATTAAGAAAACATTTCTGGAGAAGTAATTCCAGAAGGGAATGTGAGACGTGCAATGGGAAACAACAGGAGAATGAAAAGTCTTGAGCTTAGTCCTAACTCATGATCCACAAGCCAAGCGACCTTGAGTAAATTATTGAACCTCTCTGGCTTTATTGTTCTCTCCCAAAAAAATATGGGCCACAATCTGTTATAGACTGAACTGTATCCCCCTAAAATTCATATGTTGAAGCCCTGACTTCCAATGTGACTCTATTTGAAACCAGGGCCTTTAAACACATAATTGAGATAAATCCCATATAATTGGCATCCTTACAAGAAGAGACACCCACAGACCATGTGAAGACAGAGTAAGAAGGTGGCCATCTGCAAGCCAAGAAGAGACCTCAGAAGAAACCACACTTAATGACACCTTGGTCTTGGTCTTCCCGCCTCCAGATCTGCAACAGAATAAATTTCTGTTGTTTAAGCCACTCAGTCTATGGAATTTTGTTTGGCAACCCTAGCAAACTAATACATAAACCCTGTCCTGAAAATCTGGCAAGGATTCTGGAAAGATTGCATGACAAAATAAATGTGAAAGTCCTTCGTAAACTACAAAATTTACCAAAAAGAGAAGGTACCATTCTCTCTCATGGGATCATCATTTGCCTTCATGCATAAGGGACAATCCACTTAAGGAAAACATAAGACCAAAGAAAAAACAAAAATATTGGTTTATGTTTATTAGCTGATTTGTATTAGGTCAACTTTTCCCAGTTTATGTGGTCTTAGGAGATGAAGTCCACTTTATGGTCAGAACAACAGGAAGACTAATGTTATTGTAAGGACAAAGACCCTGATAAAATTGCCCATTTATTGATGTCAGCAGTGCCATGGGTTGTAATTTATTTCTCTCTAGGAAGATGACTTATTTCTACAGAAAATAATAACATCTAACATTTGTTGAGCACTTACATGTACTTTTTTCCACCTATTAGCTCAATTAATCCTTACAACAACATTTTGGGTAGTACTGTTATTCACAATATGAAGATCTTGAGGCTAAAACTTGTAAGTAGAGAAACTGGGATCCAGACTGTAGTCGGTCCCTTAGCGCCTCAGCCAAATCGCTGCTATTAGTTATTAGAAGTTCTTCTATAAGGCCAGGAATTACAGAAAATTTCATACAAAAATCTGCACCAATGTGATTTGGCACTATTACCCCTTCCAAGTATTTTCGCACCCACACATACTGTGTTTATCATTACATGATGGAAATATATATTTCCATTAAAAATAGAAACATTCATAAGGTACCTAAAAATTTTATTCTATTTGACCTAAATCTATGCATGGGTGACTTCCAACAAAAGCTAGATATTTTAAGGGGGCTTGAACAAACTGATGTGCTGTTCCATCATATTTTCACTACATAAGGGTACATAAAATTCATGTTTTTACTTATCAGTCTTACTTCAATACTGATGTAAAGCTCCTAAACTTGACAAGTGAGAATATTTTAAATCAGGGAGAGACCTTTGAATAATTTGAAACTAAAAATCAGGCATAAAAAATCGCTACAGAAAACAAAAACATTTATAAAACATTTTGTGATCATTCTTAACATCTACTCAGAGAATTTTAAGCATGCTAAATACATAGAATTTCTGCTCTTTTGTGTTGTTTGCTTCCATTGTAGTCTGTATTTGAATAGAAGCTTCTATAACAATACAGCTGACTGAGTGTAAATCGACTAGTGTCAATTAAATTGACCAGTGTCATATGAGGCTTCAGATTGTTCCAGCAGTCAGATACATCTTTAACCTGCTGGTTCCTTCCTGACATCATTTAAACAGGCACATAACTAGCTCATCTTTGAAAAGCAAACTCTCTTTCTCATCACCATGTCCACCCTCTGGCCATTGCCTCTACCCCTTATAGTCAAGTTCATTGCAAGAATGGCTTATATACTCATTGGTTTCATATTCTTTCTTTCTTGTTCATACTGTTTTATCCTCTCTGCAGCATCAGATACTGGTGCTCACTCTCTCCTTGAAACACTGTCTCCTCATTCCTGTAACATCCTCTCTCCTTATTTCCCTCTTCTGTCTCTCTCTTCTCCTAGATTCCCTTTGGAGACTCCTTTTCCCTAGATTCTCTCTTCAGATTTATCATCTTCAACTCTCCTGAACTGATCTATTTCCATGACTCAAATCACCCCCTATTTCTGATGAGTCCCAAAGATACCTGCAGCAACAAATGTTTCTCTAGCTGCCTTTTCAACACCTCCACCTGGAAGTCCCTCAGACATCTTGAACTTAAAGTTTTCCTCCAGCAAACCCAGTCTTTTTTCTGTATTCTCTGATAAATACATGAATAGAACCCCAATTCAAACTTTTGCTAAAGTTCAATGCAAACTTCTGTTTTTTCCTAGGTTAAGGCAATGACCTTTAAACTGTTCTTCCTGCCTCCAGTCTTGGCCCATCTCTCCAATCTTCACCCTGATGCCAAGTGGTCATCCCAAATCACATACCCAATTGTGGTGTTCTTTTTAAATTCCATGGTTGGTTCCCCAAAGTCTGCAAAGTCCAACATTTCAAGAATGGTATACATGGTATACATGGCCCCTCAACATGAGCAACTGCTTCTCTCCCCAGTTTCACTGCTAAACCACCTCCCTCCATAGCCTCTGTACTTTAGCCAGAGTAATCTCTATTTCATTTGCAGAAATCAGTTTATTCTCTCTTTCGATTGTGCCTTTGCATATACTGTTGATTTTGTCTGCAATGCCCTTTGCACCAGCCTCTTCACTTGGCTAAATCCCTAAAAAACTCAGATCAGGAGTCACAGTATCTTGGAAGACTTCTACAAAGATCCCTTCCCTTCACTCCTTCCCTGACCCCCCTGATTTTGTTTAAGTCTTCTTGTGTGTTCCCCTGATACCCTATGCATGGCTCTGTCATAGCACTTATTTTTATGGTTATTCATGCATTTCTCTGGAAAGTTTTTTATTTGTTTTGCTTTGTTTTGTTTGATTTGAAGACAAACTGTAATGTGGAATACATTACCCTAACTTGGGTGTTTTTCCTCCACACTCACCCACCAACCCTTGGAATGCCAAGGGAGGGCTCCTCACTGCCCTCTACCAGCCATAGAACCTGAAAGCCACGAAGAGGCTCTGACCCTACCAACAGTACAGGCAGTGAAAAACAACCTTGGGATGTACTAATTATTAGAAAACTGAGGTTTGGGGAGAGAAAAGAGAAAAGGGTTGGCAAAATCAGAGAGGGGGATAAAAGAGTTAAAAGGCTAGAAAGATAAGGAAGGTAGTAACGTGAAACAAGGAAGGCCTTAAGTCCAATTCTCAACTCCGCCAAAACGTTTTGTGTACATGGGGTGTGTGTGTGTGTGTGTGTGTGTGTGTGTGTGTTTGGGTGTGTGTGTGTGTTTGCTTTTGGGGGAGGAAGGTTAGCAACCTAGGCAGAAACCTGGATAAGAAAGGAAATTGTTCTTGCCTTCCCATTCCTTCTCCTTCCAAAGCAGGAGACAACAGAGACACCTGCAGTGTTGGCTTCTGACTGGAGGACAATGACCCAGCTGATCCTTCTGACGTCTTACGTTCACAGAGAACAGCAGCCAACACATCCTGTGGCTCAAAAGCTGTAGCAGCATTTTTTATCTGGGATTACAAAATACAATGGTCTGGCACTTACAAAGTTCTCAAGAAATACTTGTTGATAGACAAACAAAGTAAACAGTCAACATGGGCAAAATGTTGATTATTGAAGCTGGGTAATGAGACTTAAATGTTCTGAAATAGAAACTTTTTAAAAAACTGCAGAAAAATCCAAATTCAAGTTTTGTGTGAAGTATATTTAGTAAATAGTAAACAGTTACTAAACATGAGATATATAAAATATCCCACATTTCTGAAGAGAATAAAAATATCAGAGTTGTCAAAGGCAGGTGTGTTTAAGTTCAGCACGATGACCTGGCACATGGGAAACATATAATAAATGCAAACCCTATATAGTACGTTTTTGGCTGGTCTTGGCTTTAAGCTTTGTACTCAACAGAGTCTAAAGCCATTAGAGAACAGAGGATCCCCCTCTAATGTGACCCAGTGCCTTTATATAGCAGTGGTTACTTGATGAGTCAAAAATTTAGTTTTTCATGAAATATATAGTAAAACCTCAATTAATTGGAAGGGGTTACTTTATCTGAGTATAGAAGTGGTAGCTAGAACCTCTGAGTAGAAGGATATTCATGGAATTGTTAATCTATGTTTTTTATGTATCCTTCTCTGTCTTTCTCCTCCCAACCATACTTAATTTCACTGGTGTCCCATAAACTAATAAAGAATTAAAGGAGCCACTGACAAGCAAGTTAACTTCAAATGAATAAGATAGACTAGATGCACTAGAGAACAGCTAGAGAAGTGGAGGAGGCTGTAATGCACAGTTACAGGAAGGATCAGAAAGCAGAAGGGAACTCAGCTGAGATCTTTTTGACCCTCACTTCCTTGGCCCTTATCATAGTTGGACAAGGCTACACACAAAAGTACCAGACATTTATTAGGGAGCCTGAAAAGAGGGTAAGGTGATTGGACATTGTGTGCAGGAGGGAAGGCACAGACTCCCACATCTCCAAG
This sequence comes from Homo sapiens, assembly GCF_000001405.40. Classification (NCBI taxonomy): domain Eukaryota; kingdom Metazoa; phylum Chordata; class Mammalia; order Primates; family Hominidae; genus Homo; species Homo sapiens. Next base: position 163,434,611 of record NC_000005.10, read on the forward strand.
ATGGAAACAAACAAAGCCAACCGGGAATTTCCCTGTGAGTCAGGGCAGTATTTGACACACCACCACTGTTTTATACCTGCTTGTTATAATCTTTGTTGTTGAAAGGCATGTCTACAGCCTACCATGCGGAGAATATGATTACATCTTCCCGTTACTGCCTGGATTCTTGCCCAGCCTCAAGGCCATTATTCTGACCATTAGTTCTTGTTGTACTTAACTGTTAATGGAGAAGAAGGTATGAGGATAGGAATTGAATACATCATTGAGCCTAGAATATACCCCCAGAAGTCAGTCATTTAACAAATTTTCAATAGGAATTCATGATTAAATCCACACTTCTTTAAAAATAAAATCATAGTTAACGAAGGGCTCATTATCTTTATTTTACAAGAGTGGATAACTGAGTATTACATTTCCACATTTTGCTAATTAGGTCTTTTCAATTATTTAAATGATGGTCTATATTCTAACATTTTGAAATGAAAATGGCAGAGGGGGTTAAGGGAGGAAGAAAAGTAAAGAATTTCAATTTGACTTGATTTATATTTAATTAATGTCTCTCCAGTACTAGTGAAATATTTTTATGTGAGAGATTTTAATAAAAAGTAAAAATATTCTAATGTACGAGAAAATACTGTATTATATAAACAATGATATATTACCTAAAAGCCCTCAAGTGAAAATTTCAAGTATAAAAACGTATAGAAATTAATACATGCAATTTAGATATTTTTATCTGTGTTAAATAAACAGTTCTAATACTCTGATTATCCTTCTAGGCTGAAAACAGAAGACTAGTCTGATAACAGAGAAAACACATCAAAGTGTGTTTAAGCAAGATATTTAAAAAGAAATAGTAATTTAATACTAAGGGCTACCATTTATCAAGAAATCTACTGTGATCTGGGAATAGTGACTACCTCTTTATGCACTTTCTATTATTTAATCCTCTTCATAACCCCATGAATAATGTATTTTTTACTTCTCATTGTTGAGAAAAGAAAATGTGATTAAATAACTTGCTGAAAGTCACATAACAAGTTATGAGCTATTCCTGGATATGAATATAAGTTTATTTTATTCTAAAGTCTATGTGTTTATATTGCCCACAGGTTACATGTTCTACAAGGACGGGTACCAGTCTAATTTGTTCTCCACTGGCCTATGCTATGTGTTCAATAAATATTAGTTAATTTATTCGTGCTTTTGATTGCTATAAAGAATTTTTTTTTTTTTAGACCAAGTCTTGCTCTGTTGCCCAGGCTGGAGTGCAGTGGCACCATCTCGGCTCACTGCAACCTCTACCTCCCAGGTTCAAGCGATTCTCCTGCCTCAGCCTCCCGAGTAGCTGGGATTACAGGCACGTGCCACCATGCCCAGCTAATTTTTGTATTTTCAGTAGAGACGGGGTTTCACCATGTTGGCCAGGTTGGTCTCAAACTCCTGACCTCAGGTAATCCACCCGCCTCTGCCTCCCAAAGTGCTGGGATTATAGGTGTGGGCCACCGCGCCCAGCCTGCCATAAAGATTTTATGATTTTTTAGCCATTTTTTTTAAAAATTGTGCATATACATTCCTAATTTTAGGAATTAGGAATAATAGGAACTAAAAGCCAAAAGGAGAAACTACATTTATAAACTCACACATTACAGCAAAAAGTATTTTTAAATAAAATCACTTGTTAAAGGTTATAAATTGCCAATTTATATTCACTAGGTAAGCTTTTATTTTCAAAAGGAACAAAGGCCTCTTCCCCATTTGAGCCCCAGTTTCTTAAACTGACCTGATTATGTGGCTAAGGTATTATTGTGAGGTATTGATGTTTTCTCCTGTTTTTCCTTCCCCTTCCTCCCCACCCCTTTTCCCCCTTTCCAGAGTTTTGTTCTGTGGCATTGCCTTGGGTAAGTACACGGCAGGGCAAATAGCAGAGTGACGGCAAATCTTTCAGATTTTCACTTTTTCAAAGTAAGAGAGACCGAACTGGGGCCATGAGAACAGAGACATCCAACTACTGTGTAATTCATAAGAGTTTAGAAATGACTCCTTGTGCACCCTTTTTCAGGCCCTTTTACAAATGGACTTTTCTCACTTGTGATGATCTGGGAGAGTGAGAGTGAGGAGAGTCTAAGAAGAGTTCAGGCTAATTATTTTCCCACTAATCTGGCATAGGAGAGGCTCACAGAGATTAAATTCATTATGGTAAATACAAAGAGTAATACTGCTTTACACTCGGGTCTGTAGACTGAGATTCACACTCACCACAATTATTCCTGTTAACAGTCTGCCACATACCTTTCATTTTAAGCAACTGAAAAATTGTACCAACTTTTCTCTTTAAATTTGCTTTAAAAGCAAATTCAGAAAATTGGTAGAGGGTCAAGAAATTACACAGTCCAACTCCATTATTTGATAAATTGTATAAAAAGCAAACTAAGGCAAGAATCAACTGACTTCCAAAGTTCACGAAGAGAGCACTCTGGAAGTTGATAAACCACCAAACCATATAAATTCCACCACCTCTTTATCTGTAATTAAAAATCAAAGGTTGACTTTTTTTTTTTTAACTACTCACTGTATTTTTAGAAAGATGGGGCAGAACCACTGTAGAACTCCTAAACCCCACAGAACAAACAGTACATTCTGGAATGATACGCCGGCCAATCCGGCTGGCAGCCGATTGACCTGACCCAGGCGAGGGTTGCTGCACCGAGTATTTAGTTTGGCCCCCTACTGAATGAAGACACTTTGTTAAATTCTCCAATGAGAGACGCTTAGAGGTAGGGGCGTGGAAGGGGGCCGGGGAATTTGAGGCCAGATAACGGGAAGTGTGAGCCGATTGGCCGGACTTCTCACTCCACGGCCCAGCCGTTTACGGATCGCGGAGGCCATCCATCAAAAGAATTACACCAATCAGCGGCGAAAATGCCCCCTTCTCGCGAGAAAGCCCCGCCCTCCAATATATTCCTCGTTAGGGCAGGCGCGGCCCCTTCGGCTCCGAGCTGACCCTGATCAGGGCCGAGTTGTCTCGGCGGCGCTGCCGAGGCCTCCACCCAGGACAGTCCCCCTCCCCGGGCCTCTCTCCTCTTGCCTACGAGTCCCCTCTCCTCGTAGGCCTCTCGGATCTGATATCGTGGGGTGAGGTGAGCAGGCCCGGGGAGGGTGGTTACCGCTGAGGAGCTGCAGTCTCTGTCAAGGTGAGTGGGACTGCGCGGGAGTTGACCGCCAGGTGCGGGTGGGGAGCTGGGTTGGGGGCGCGGGGCGAGGAGTAGGTCTGGCCCGCGCCCTTTTCCACACTAAACTCTACCGCTGTTGTGAGCACAAGCCCAGGCTAGTCCGAGGCTGGAGGGGCGGAGCCGGATCCGGCCTCCTGAGGTGCCTTTCGTGTCTGCCGACCCAGTCCCAGGGACTAGCCTGGGGAGGAAGAATGGAACCCCTGCAGTTAGAGGTTCCTCACATGACTAGCTCTGAAGACCTCCTGCCTTCCTGTCTTTAGTTGGTGTGGGAGGGACCTTCCATGTATCCAGGGCTTAGCTTGTGCCCGGGACATGGTTGTGTTATGCACACTTAAATCAATGGAATTCCCAGGTTCATCTTTCAGACTAGGTTAGCAACAACCCACCGCACCCCCCCGCCCCAATACGTGCTCCTAATGTCACCTTTTAAGTTTCCTTTCCTAACAACAATAAAAGTTAAGTAATATTGAGTATTGTGTGCCAAGCACTGTGCTATACTCTTTAAGTGGTGAATCATCTTGTTCAGTCTTCACATTCAGCGACAGATATTGTTACCCTCATTTTATAAATCTAGAAAGAAGCTCAAGCTCATTATTATTGTTCAGTGTTTTTTAAGCGTCTACTGTATGTGCTAAGCTCTTTACGTGATTTCATTTTAACTCACAAATCTGTGAGGTAGGTCATAAACCTTATCCCTACTTTATCAATGTGGAACTAAGTACAATTAAGTAACTTGAACAGTTCATTTTGTTAATATGTGGCAGAATACTTAACTACCATCTGCTTTTCACTTTCGGTATCCTGTCTTACGGTGTTTATTCGTGGTTATCTATTGACAGTGAATAACTTGAACAAGTATTTCTTGAAGATTTGCATTTTATTTTTCTAAAAAGCATGGTTCCGACCGGGCGCGGTGGCTCACGCCTGTAATCCCGGCACTTTGGAAGGCCGAGGCGGGCAGATCACAAGGCCAGGAGACCGAGACCATCCTGGCCAACATGGTGAAACCCCGTCTCTACTAAAAATATAAAAATTAGCTGGGCGCGGTGGCGCATGCCTGTAATCCCAGCTCCTCGGGAGGCTGAGGCAGGAGAATCGCTTGAACCAGGGAGTCGGAGGTTGCAGTGAGCCAAGATCGTGCCACTGTACTCCAGCCTGGCAACAGAGCGAGACTCCTTCTCAAAAAAAAAAAAAAAAAGCATGGTTCCTTCCCTCTAGGAACTCAATTTAGGATGTGACCAACTTGTAGAAGGGAAATAAATAACAGATGGCACTTTGCAATGACTTAGATGCACTAGCCGCATTGGGGGATGGGAGGCTTATAAATCATTTCTTGGCCCAGTGCAAAGATGGCCAAGGAAAGCAGGAAGGACTACTCTTACACTCCTTGCTGGTCTTTTTTTCTATATATAGATGATAGAGGTACTGACAACAACTGACTCTCAGAAACTGCTACACCAGCTGAATGCCCTGTTGGAACAGGAGTCTAGATGTCAGCCAAAGGTCTGTGGTTTGAGACTAATTGAGTCTGCACACGATAATGGCCTCAGAATGACTGCAAGACTAAGGGACTTTGAAGTAAAAGATCTTCTTAGTCTAACTCAGTTCTTTGGCTTTGACACAGAGACATTTTCTCTAGCTGTGAATTTACTGGACAGATTCCTGTCTAAAATGAAGGTATGTTTGAAGCTACATTTTTGTAATTTTGCTCAGTGTGTTTTGGAGATGGAATTGTTACCTTTTGGCTGGTATTCATAAACTTGACCTTTTTTTTTTCAGCACGTAGCCAAAACATTAATTTTGTCTACTACAGCATTAATATTTCTTATCATAATCAAGAGTAGTACATCAGGTATTAGACTTAAATTCTGAAATGAAAAATAGTCTAATATCAAGTAACAAATTGCAGTTTCCTAGTAAGAAAATTGGCTGTTTTTAAAAAACCCTTCTTGATAGGTTGGATTTGTCCATTTATTTACTATTTTTAGATATAAACAAATTTATTAGTGGCAGAAATTTATTAGAGGCTACATTGTGGCTAAGAATTAAGATATATTTGTTAATCACTACCCATATATAAAATTGTAAATGTTTTAGCCTTAGACCTAGTCAAGACTTGCTTATGCTTGGCATTTCCAGCTTCAGTGTACATGCAGTAGGGAGGAGAGTGTGTCTGAAGGAGGAGCAACTATTTTCCTATACTAGATAAACAAGACTGTCACTTTCAGAGCTTAACTGTTACAAATGCATCTGCCTTTCCTGTACACCCATGGTCACTGGAGGAAAATAAGATGATGTGACAATTGGAAGGAAACTCATATTTTAGTCCTCGGTATCTAACACAGTGCATCATAAAAAAGGACTTCAATATTTGTTGAAGATTCAAGAAATTTGCTTCAACAGACTAATTAAGCTCTTTAGACATTTCACATGTAGTCATTACCTTTGAATCTGTAAATGTTGCACAAATGAATAATATACAGCTATTCCTCAGGTATAATTCAGTCTTATGTGAGAATAAGATCGTTGCTCTTATGTACAAGTCATAATAAGAAAAATAACTACATTATGCCTTTAAAGAGGCATAAGTGTACTGCTGAAGAGTTTACAAGAAGAGAGAGAGCACAGAGATATTAATACTGGTAAAAGCTTAGTTTCATGTGAGCTGGAAGTAAACTGGATAAAGTTTTGACTGTGTCTCATACGGCAGACATTCAGAAAATTAAATGATAAAGATTAGTAGTGGATAGAACTCTTAGAGGCAGAGTAAACAGTATATGCCATAGTATTTTAAAACTGTTTTATATGTGTTCCCACAAAGACAAGAGCCTGGAAAAAATACAACATCCTGCAAAGAAATGGCTTATTTTGTAAATAAGCCATAAAGTATTTCAGTCCTCATATATCTTTGACTAGTTAACTTATTTGATCAAACTAGAACAATGTTTACTTATAGTTCTACAGTGATTAATAAAAACACACTTTTTCTATGCTGAGCCAAACATTATACTGAAACTCAGTCCAGTTACTCAAAAATTGGTTCTAAGTGGGGTCCATAGTGTTGACAGGCTATAGTTTAGGTATGAGTGGATTGTGTTAAGTCCATCACAGCTGAGAAATAAACCTCAAATATACATTTTCAAAATGTTGGGTCGGAGTTCTAGATTATCCTTTATGTTTTAATTGAAATAAGGTAGAGTCATGGGCTTACTGGTTTTGTTTTTGATTTTTTAGGTACAGCCCAAGCACCTTGGGTGTGTTGGACTGAGCTGCTTTTATTTGGCTGTAAAATCAATAGAAGAGGAAAGGAATGTCCCATTGGCAACTGACTTGATCCGAATAAGTCAATATAGGTTTACGGTTTCAGACTTGATGAGAATGGAAAAGATTGTATTGGAGAAGGTGTGTTGGAAAGTCAAAGCTACTACTGCCTTTCAATTTCTGCAACTGTATTATTCACTCCTTCAAGAGAACTTGCCACTTGAAAGGTAAGTGACCTTTGTTTTGAACAAGAGACATTTGGAAATCAGAATGGTATTGTATGGATATTGCATAAAATCAGTATCCTCATAGAATTCTAATAAAAATAAGTAAAATGACAGCTGTGGCTCCTTGAACTTTAATGTCCATCATAAGTGAGAAAATGTTCCATTGTCAATAGCTTCGTTAAAGCTAATTCTTGGGATTAAAGTACATTTTGACTTTATAGAACCTAGTAGGAAAGCATCTAACACAAATTTATGGAAAAAAAGGACCTTCAGTGGATGTTGAAATATTTATTAAAACTAAAAGAAAATAAATCTTGTATTTGTGGCATAGTACTATTCATTTTAATTTTTTGGCCCAAATCATCTAAAACTCCCATATGGTGCCTTTAGAAGTTAGTATCTCTGATGGAAGGGGAATTCCTTTCAATAGTTCATTTGCTATGTTAAGTGTGCATAAGCTTTACTTTAAAAATTGACTTCAATGTTTTTCTAAAAACATCTTTTGACTAGATGTAGTATTACCTAATAAAAGTAATACCATTTTCTTTTTAAAGGAGAAATAGCATTAATTTTGAAAGACTAGAAGCTCAACTGAAGGCATGTCATTGCAGGATCATATTTTCTAAAGCAAAGGTAAATATTTTATAAAGATTATGCCTATTGATATGATCTGTTTTTATATTTGGCATTTACTTTAAATTTATCTCTTTTAGCCTTCTGTGTTGGCATTGTCTATCATTGCATTAGAGATCCAAGCACAGAAGTGTGTAGAGTTAACAGAAGGAATAGAATGTCTTCAGAAACATTCCAAGGTATGTGAAGGACATAGCCTAAATCCTATTAACAGCTGTAAAAGAAACTAAACCCCTTCTATCTCCTGAAGTAAAATGAGATGTCATATGTTTATTTGAAACTTAAGTAGCTATCCTCAAATGTTTTTAATGAGCAAAGACACATGTTCATAGGATTGCATTTATTAATGTAGTTAAATAAGGTGGGACTTACTTGGAGTAATAATTTTTTAAAATTTATGTATGTACAGATAAATGGCAGAGATCTGACCTTCTGGCAAGAGCTTGTATCCAAATGTTTAACTGAATATTCATCAAATAAGTGTTCCAAACCAAATGTTCAGAAGTTGAAATGGATTGTTTCTGGGCGTACTGCACGGCAATTGAAGCATAGCTACTACAGAATAACTCACCTTCCAACAATTCCTGAAATGGTCCCTTAACTGGTAAATTTGGTCCGTTATTATTCTCCAGATAGAGAACATTTTCCAATGCCATAATTTTCAACTAAAGAAGAGTAATTATCTTCAAAATAAACAAAATGGAGTTGGAATAGTAAAGGGGGAGATGACATCACTGATCTAGTCAGCTAATATTTGAAGGCCTTTACTATATACAAGGTACAACATCTTAGGAGTAAGGAATTATCCAACCTCTGATACATACGTTAGCCATTTCATTAAATTTTCAGCTTAGAGAACAGCATCCTCCTTGTAGCACTAAAATCATGCTTTTTTTTAATTGCACATGATCTTGCTGTATGTATCTGACTGATTTAAAATTACATAAGCTGAGCAGGACAACAGCACCAAAAGTCTGAACCAAGTATGAACTAATTTGAGACTGTTAGCTTATAAGCAAAATCAATATGAACTTGGATATTGTACTTAAAAGAAAAAAAAGTAGGCCGGATGCAGTGGCTCACGCCTGTAATCCCAGCACTTTGGGAGGCCAAGGCGGGCGGATCACGAGGTCAGGAGATCGAGACCATCCTGGCCAACATGGTGAAACCCCGTCTCTGCTAAAAAATACAAAAAAATTTAGCCAGTCGCGGTGGCGGGCGCCTGTAGTCCCAGCTACTCGGGAGGCTGAGGCAGGAGAATGGCGGGAACCCGGGAGGCGGAGTTTGCAGTGAGCTGAGATCGCGCCACTACACTCCAGCCTGGGCGACAGAGCAAGACTCCGCCACAAAAAAAAAAAAAAAAAGAAAAAAAGTAGGATATGATAGATGGTCTCTACATTGGGTATCTGGAAACTGCCAGAGTGTGTCAACACTATACTAACCTATCATTGCTATAGCAGCTGGACTACTGCAAAGTAGTTATATGCATAAAAAATGTAAACTTGCTTTCTGCATATGTGATATACATTCTTGCCATATAAATTTCCTAACTCAGTGATGATTTATTCTACTCAAAACTAAATGTTAACATTTAATACATCTACATGTGATTATGAATATTAGATATGAACATTTCAATTTTCTTAGTAGTATTTAGGCAGACTGGCTTCTGTTAAGTTGGATTTTGTTTGTTTTCTTTATTTAAATAGGATTATTACAGCACCAAAAAACTTCTCTGAAGCCTTTCTCCACAACCTTGTTCTATGGATTCCATAATGTTACAATGGATTTAAGCTATGAAGCCTCAAAACATCACGAGATAAGCATGATGGTCTCAGACTTGGGAAAACTGCCTAATATTATGCTGTAGTGGAATTATGTTTAGATTTGAATTCATCTGTGAAGCATTCAAATCAAAGCTAAAAGCCTAAATGTGAAATGCTAATGACAAGCCTGAGAAGGTAAACTGTGAATCTTCATTTCTATCATTGATCTAACTTTAGATATTGGATCAATATATTTAGGTGGTATTGAAAATGCTATTGGAGGAGTCACACTAATACTATCAACTATCAGTCTTCCCACAGCTTCAATCACTGTCATTATTCTAATCCTACTCCTACTTAAATTTTAAGTTATGAGGTTTATGTCAAAAGCAACATTTCACAAATGTACTTTTAAGGCATAATAAGGGTTAACATTCTAGGCAGTATAAACACACCCCATAATGCAAGTAATAGGTAATCTAGAGATGTGGACTTTATTGCTATATGGGAATTACATTTAAATTTGAGGGCATTTTATATAAAGAAAAATACAGACCTATAAAGTTTGGCATATTCATTAAGTTATCTTTTAATATTTTTTTCTAGAAAACAGGTGACATTTGTATCTACGATAAAAATTTTTATACAGAACCTACTGCCTCAAACTGAATCCCATCAAGAAAACTAGTTTCTATTGTATTAGTAACTCAAAATAAATTATCACTTCGAAAACTTGCTTTCCCACACTAAGGTAAGTTCAGACTAGATTGAACACTCCAGAATTTTTTACTACAGACTGTTTTTAAGTTAGAAGTGATGGCAATTTTATAAATAGAGAATATACTTCCACTGATGCCCTTACTGTGCCAAAACAAAAATCTTAAGAAAAGCAAGTAGACACCTTCATAACTATGAATGAAGCTGCTGAAGTAGTGTTTAGGATCCTCCATGGCAGTTAGTGAATGTAAGAAGTACAGTGTTAAAGTGTTGTAAACAGTTACTCAGTGCAATGTATAGCCTGAGTCTATCCATGATGGCTATATCCAATTTGACATCACGTTATGGATCAGTACACAATGAAAAACCAAAGAACCACAGTATATCTTATTCTTAACTTTTGTAAACCATGTTTTATGGGTAACTTTTTAGTTTTCCCAAAAGGCTGATAAATTTCAATATTTTGAATACATCATTGTTAATTTTGAGTTGGCAGAGGTAAACTAACCAACTACCATTATGTTTTAGTACTAAGGGATATACCTTTCAATAAAGTTAATGAAATTCAATCCTTTGCTGGGTGGCTTTTTTCTCCTCTGATTTAATTAACTCTTTTAGCAATGTGTTAACAGAACATTATAAAAAGCTATCTCTACTCAGTATATTTAAATTTAGTACTAAAGTTAGATGCATAGTACCAGAAACAATAAAATCCCTATTAATAATATGACTATTAGATGACACTTTACTTTGTTTTTTCTGAAACATTATAAAAAGCTCTCTCTACTCAGTATATTTAAATTTAGTACTAAAGTTAGATGCATAGTACCAGAAACAATAAAATCCCCATTAATAATATGACTATTAGCTGACACTTTGTTTTGTTTTTTCTGAAACATTATAAAAAGCTCTCTCTACCCAGTATATTTAAATTTAGTACTAAAGTTAGATGCATAGTACCAGAAACAATAAAATCCCTATTAATAGTATGACTATTAGCTGACACTTTACTTTTTGTTTTTTCTGAGACAGGGTCACTCTTGTCACCCAGGCTGGAGTGCAGTGGCGCGATCTTGGCTCATTGCAGCCTTGGCAGCCCAGGCTCAAGAGATCCTCCCACCTTAGCTTCCGAAATAGCTAGGATTATAGGCACATGCCACCGCACCCAGCTAATTTTTTTTTTTTTTTTTGTAGAGGCAGTGTTGTCACTGTGTTGCCCAGGCGGATCTCAAACTCTTGGGCTCAAGTGATCTGCCCACCTCGTTCTCCCAAAGTGCTGAGATTACAGGCATAAGCCACCGTGCCTAGCCTCTAATGTTTTTTTAATAGACATAGAATGATGACAAATAATTGTTTAATGTGTATTAAAAGTTGGTGTTTATGCATTATTAATCCCTTTTATCACTTAGATTCATCACTGCTATGGATGCTATCCTTAATATATATTTACTTTTAGTTTCAGCCCACTTGAAGTTTTGTGCCAGCCTTCTTACCTAATTAAACAACACTTCAGCAGCGTGGTTGCTAATGCCAGGTAACCACCATGTGTTATGTTAGCCTGCTTGGATCAATTGTAATTATTACTGGAATTGAATTAATTAATATGATTTTGAACAGTTCATGTTCAAACTAACATCCTGTAAAGTAGACACTGCAAGGAGTTACTGATGAAAGAAAAGTTGTTCATAAAAGAAGCCTCCTTTTATAATTGACTTGCCTTAGACTTATTTAATAATGTTTCATAGTATTTTTTAAAAAGTATCTGAACCTTGTACATATTTACAATTATGAGACATCCTATCTAAAAATTTATATTTTCGATTTAACATTTGTGGCTGGCAGTGATAATTTTTACTCTCTGGTACTATGAATCATCTCATTAAAATCCTCTCAACTGAATGACATTATCCCAATTTGCAAATGAAAGAGAGACAGAGAACCTAATGATTTGCCCCTGGTCTATACCTGGTACTTGGAGGTAGGATTCAAAGCCAGGCAGTTCTGACTCCAGAGGCTGTGCTCTTAACCACTCTATACATTACCTCTCAAAATAAAAGATTAATTGGACTCAAGTGAAATTGCTTGTATAATTTTTAATCAAAACTATATGCTGGCCACATTAACTTCTGTGCTGTCATCATGATCATAGAATAATAACAACACTCAATTTATTTCTCTATACTAATAACTTTGATAAAATGTTATTATTTATTAAATCTATTTTTCAGAAACCAAAAAACAGTAAACATGAGTCAAGATGAATTAAAAGATAAGCCAATTTTTAAGGCCGAGCGCAGTGGCTCACACCTGTAATCCCAGCACTTTGGGAGGCCAAGGTGGACGGATCACTTGAGGCCAGGAGTTCGAGACCAGCATGGCCAACATGGTGAAACCCCATCTCTACTAAAAATACAAAAATCAGCTGGGTGTGGTGGCGCATGCCTGTAGTACCAGTTACTCCAGAGACTGAGGCAGGAGAATTGCTTGAACCTGTGAGGCAGTGAGACAAGATCACACCACTGCTCTCCAACCTGGGCAACAGAGTGAGGCTCTTGTCTCAAAAAATAAATTAAAAAGCCATTTTTATATTCATCAAAGTAGAGTTAGGAACAACCAAAATTGCCAAGGATAATTAGGGACATTATATAATGATAAAATTCACCAAGACAGTGCTAAAAGTGTAAGCACTTATTATCAGATCTTAAAAATACATGAAGAGACCAGGTACAGAGACTCATTCATTCCTGTAATTCCAATGCTTTGGGAAGCCAAGGTGGGAGGATTGCTTGAGGCCAAGAGTTCAAGACCAGCCTACTCAACATAGGGAGACCCTATCTCTACAAAAAATCAAAAATTAGCTAGGCATAGTGATATACATCTGTAGTCCTAGGTACTGAGGAGCCTGAGGTGGGAAGACTGTCTGAGCCCAGGAGTTTGAGGCTGCAGTGAAGCATGACAGAGTTGCTATGCTCCAGCCTGAGTGACAGGGTAAGACTCAAAAAAAAAAAAAAAAACATGAAGCAAAAAGTGGTAGCATTAAAAGGAGGACTGGACAAATCTTCATTTACAGTTGGAAACTTAAACATTCCTCTCTCAGTAGTCCATAGAATTAATAGAAAATTAGCAAAGATGTAGGAAAATGGAATAATACTAATAACCAGCTAGATTTAATTGACATAAAACCCTTCTACCTAAAACAGCAGAATAAGCATTCTTTTCAAGTACACATGGAACACTCACCAAGATAAACCACATCATGGGTCTTAAACCTTAACAAATTTAAAAGAGATGAAATCATATAAAATATGTTTTTTGACCATAATCTAGAAATCAGTAACAGCAAGAAAATCTCCAAACACTTGGAAATTAAACAACACATTTCTAAATAACTCATGATACTACAGGGAAGTCTTAAAAAATATTTTAAAATAAATGAAAATATCACCGTGCTTGGAATGCAGCCATGCTGGTGCTGCAATTTATAACAATCGACTGCTTTTTACTAAACAAGAAAAAGTTCTCAAATTAACACTCTAAGCTCCCACTTTAAGAAAGTAGGAAAATCTAACTGGGTGTGGTGGCACACCACTATAGTCCCAGCCACTCAGAAGGCTGAGGTAGGAGGATCATGACCCCACGAGTTTGAGGCTGCAGTGAGCTATGATCATAACACTACTCCAGTCTGGGTGATGAAGTGAGACCTGTCTACAAAAAAAAGAAGCCCAAACTAAACCTAAAGCAAGCAGAAAGAAGAAAAAAAAAAAAGAGGCAGAAAATAAATGCAATTGTAAACAAATTAATAGAAAACAATCAAAAAACTAATTTTTGAAAAGAGCAGTAAAATTGATAAACCTCTGGCAAAATTGACAAAAAAAGAGAAGGAATTCCAATCTTTGATTCCAATCTTAGGAATCAAAGAAAAGATAACAGTATAGATCCTCATTAGAACGACACAAAGAAAATACCATGAACAACTCTATGCACATAGGATTAGATGAACCAATTCCTTGAAAGGCATACAGTACCCAAACTTAAATAAACCTCAATAAATTCTCTATTTTTAAAAATTGAACCATTGTTTAAAACCTTACTAGCAAATTCATAAAACATTTAAAGATATAACAAATTCTACAAATCTCTTCCAGAAAGAATAATCACTTTGCAATTCATTTTACAAGACCAGAATTAACATGATACCATACCAAGATAAAGATAACACAAGGAAAAAACAAACAAAAACAATTGCACAATATCCAAAATGAACACAGACATAAAAATCCTCAAAAAATAAAAATCTAGATACATAAGCTGAATAATGTACCATGACCAAGTTTGGGGTTGGGAGGAAATATAAGCTGTTTCAAAATTCTGGAATCAGTAAAATCCATGATTTTAACAGTCTAAACAAAAAGAATGACCAAACTGATACAGAAAGAGCATAGAAAATTCAGCATCCACTCATGAAACTCTGCTAACAACAAATTAATAGATGGGAACTTGCTCAACATGACAAAGGGAATTTAAGAAAAGCCTACAGCTTGCATACATAATGGTCAAAAACAATGCTTTCAAAATCCTAAGATCCAGAACAAGACTGAGATGGCCACTTTCTCCATGTTATTGTTCTGGCCACTGCAATCAGGCAAGAAAAATCATAGACTAAAAAGAATAAAATAAAACTGTTCCTATTCGTAGTTTATGTAGAAAACTTAATGAGTTAACAACAAAATCAGGCAAGAAAAATCATAGACTAAAAAGAATAAAATAAAACTGTTTCTATTCGTAGTTTATGTAGAAAACTTAATGAGTTAACAACAAAATAACTCCCAAAACTAATGAAGTTTAGCAAGGTCACAGGATACAAGGTCAACAAACAAAAATCAAACACATTTGTACATACTAGCGATGTGCAATTGGAAACCCATGTTTCAAAAATAATACAACTTAACAATAGTTCCTCCAAAATGAACACTGTGGAATATATGCTGAAAAATGACATAAAATGCTGATAACTGAAATGAAAGAGGTCCTAAATAGATACCTCATGTTCATGGATTGGAAGACACAAAATTGCATTCAAAACCCCAGTAGGATTTTTTGTAGATACAGAGTAGCTAATTCTAAAATTCATATGGAAGGCAAAGAAACTAAATTAGCCAAAACAATTTTGAAAAAGATTTCAAAAAAATTTTGAAGGAATCATGCTGCCCAGTTTTAAGACTTACTATAAAGCTGTGATAATCAAGGCAATCTGGTATTTATGAAAGGATAAACACATAGATCGATGGAATAAAGTCCAAAACCAGACTCACATAAATAGCAATTGATTTCTGACAAAGGTGAAAAGACAACTCAATGGGGAATGGAGAGTTTTTCAACAGACGATTTTAAAACAACTGAACATCCATATGCAAAAAAATAAACCTACCTAAATTTCACAGCTTATACAAAAATTAACCTAAAATGGATCACGGATCTAAATGTAGAACTAAATTTATAAAATTTTTAGAAGAAAAAAATCCATAGGCCGGGCACGGTGGCTCATGCCTGTAATCCCAGCACTTCAGAGGCTGAGGCGGGCAGATCCGTTGAGGTCAGTTCAAGACCAGCCTAGCCTATATGGTGAAATCCCAACTCTACTAAAAATAAAAAATAAAAAAAAAATGGGCTGGGAGTGGTGGTGCACACCTGTAGTCCCAGCTACTTGGGAGACTGAAGCACAAGAATCACTTGAACCCAGCAGGCAGAGGTTGCAGTGAGTGGAGATTGTGCCACTGCACCCCAGCCTGGGTGACAGAGTGAGAATGTGAGTCAAAAAAAGAAAAAAGAAAAATTCCTCATGACCTGGGGTTAAGGTTCCTAGACATGACACCAAAAACATGATCCACCAATGGCATGATGGATAAGACTTCATCAAAATTAAGTCTGTGCTTCAAAAGACACTATCAACAAAGTAAAGAGAGAATAGGAGAAATTACAAATCATATACCTGGTAAGAGACTTGTACCCAGAATATATAAAGACTCTTACTACCCAATAAGACAACTAAAAAAATGGGTAAATAATTTGAATAAACACTGCTTTAAGGAAGATACACAAATAGCCAATAAGCACAAGAAAGAATGCTCAACATAGTATCAGAGAATAGCAAACCAAAACTAGATAGAGATCCCATTTCATATCCACTAGAGTGACTAAAATCAAAATGTCAGGTAAACAAGTATTGGCAAGGATGCAGAGAAAATGGAACCTGCATACACTGCTGGTGGGAAAGTAAAAAGATGTAGCTGCTTTGGGAAACAATGACAGCTCCTCAAATGATTAACATAGTTATCATATAACCTAAAAATTCTACTCCTAGGTAAGAAATGAAAACACATATGCACATAAAGACTTGTACACGTTTATAGCAGCTTTAGTCAGGACAGCCAAAGGGTGGAAATACCCAAAATGTCCAACTTACAAATGTATAAACAAAGTGCTACAGCCATACAATGAAGTATTTTCAGACATACTAATGAATGTGCTGATACATGCTCGAATATAGATGAACCTCTTAAGACATGTAAAGTGAAGGAAGCCAGTAACCAAAGACCACGTATTATGATTCCATGTACATGAAATGTCCAGAATAAGGAAATCTATGAGATGAAAAGAGGTAGTATGGATGGCGGGGGATGACAGGAGAAGGATAAAAGCTAAACTATACAAGGTTTCTATCTGAGGTGATGAAAACATTCTAAAATTGATTATTGGAATGGTTGCATTTATCTGTGTATATACTAAAAGCTACTGAATTACACACCTTAAATGGGTGAAATGTATGTTGTTACAATAAAGCGTTTTTCTTAATTATATATGATCCCATTTATAACATGCTTGAAGACAAAAATATGGAGATGGGGATTAGATCAGTGGTTTCCAAGGTTTAGGGGCTGGGAGTAGGGTGTGTAGAGTACAAAGAGAGCACGAGAGTTTTTACGGTGATTGAACTCTTCAATACTCTGACTGTGGAGGTGTTTACACATATCTATACTTAAAATTCACCAAACCATACACCAAAAAAGTTAATTTTACTTTACTCAAAAAATTTTGTTAAATGTCAAAGAGAATAAAATTAAAAGAAAAATAGCCTCTTCCCCCGACAATTCATTCCTAAAATGAGCAAGATAGGAATCACAGGGTGAATGGACTGCCATGGCCTGGAGTGAGGTATTAGGGTCCAGGCAGGATGAGGAGGACATTCCTGCTCAGCATAGGATGCGAAGCCTAAGCAGGGTGAGGAAGACATTCATGTGGGGAGATGACCTACAATAGAGAATCAGGCCAGGCGCAGTGGCTCACACCTGTAATCCCAGCAATTTGGGAGGCCCAGGCGGGCGGATCACCTGATGTCCGGAGTTCGAGACCAGCCTGACCAACATGGAGAAACCCCGTCTCTACCAAAAATTAAAAATTAGCCAGGTGTGGCAGCGCATGCCTGTAATCCCAGCTACTTGGGAGGCTGAGGCAGGAGAATCGCTTGAACCCAGGAGGCGGAGGTTGCAGTAAGCCGAGATCGCGCGACTGCACTCCAGTCTGGGCAACAAGAGTGAAACTCCACCTTAAAAAAAAAAAACCCCACAAATAATCAAATAGGAATCAGGTTTCTCACTGGTACTGAAAACGGTTATAAATGTGGAGAAGGAAAAAATGAAAATGAAGCCCATGGGATCAGAATTTATATGTGAATTCATGGTTTTCAATATACATAGATGCAGAAATATAGATGTAAAGACATGCATTATATATACACACCAACGGCAATTGCACACTAGCACAGATCTTGGCTTTTAAATATTACTCACTAAAGA
The DNA here is from genome assembly GCF_000001405.40 of Homo sapiens. NCBI lineage: Eukaryota > Metazoa > Chordata > Mammalia > Primates > Hominidae > Homo > Homo sapiens. The sequence goes on from NC_000005.10 coordinate 163,452,301, forward strand.
GAACCCAGGCTCTACGGAAAAATGGCTGATTCTTGGGTTAGGTCGAGGACAGCATGAGAAGCCTGGTATATCTTATGCCAGAGAGTAACAAATTCATTGAATAATGATGGGAATGTGTCAGAAGGACACAGAGGCCACCCAGAATGGACTTCTACCAGCCAAATGTACAATAATTTTGAGCACCAATGTAATGATAATAGGTTTTTTAACCTGCTGAATAAAATAGAAAATAATGAGTTTATAGAGATACGATAAATTTAAAGTCTGATCAGAAACAAGGTAGTATTTTGCAACTATCTTCTCAAGAAATAATTATAAAAATAACTACAGTGGAGAAGTCTGGCAGACACTACCTTAATCAGTCATCTAAGAAACACCATCAGAAATGAGACAAACTGAAATTATTAAACAATGACAGGATGCACTTCTATCACATTCCTGCCAAAGATGAATAACCTCAATCTAATCATGAAGTATCAGACAGAACTCAAAATAAGGGGTGTTCTACAAAACTAGCCCATAATTGTCAAAAGTACTAAGTTGTAAAAGGAAACAAATGAGAATTTGTTCCAGAATGAAGTAAACTAAAGACAGCTGACATCTAAATGAAAGGCATGATTCTGACTGGATCCTCTTGCTATATGGACATTATTGGGACAATCAGTTCAATGTGAATGAAGTGAAGATCTGAGGATTAGAGGGTAGTAATGTGTCAACGTAAATTTCCTGATTCTAATGGTTGCATTGTAGTCATGTAAGATAATTTGAAGCAGATAGTAATCAGTAATGAGGAATCATGTCTTCAACTAAATCACAAATGGTTCAGAAAGAAAAAAATTATCTGTAACTTTTCTATGCATGAGATTTAAAATTTTTTCAAGAGTTAAAAAGGGCAAAAAATAAAAAGGACATAAATAGGATATTGAATAAAATGTCTATAGACAATTCCTACCTATATGCCTAAATCACTTACAATCAAAATGATGCCACTGATATACAATTAGTGACCTTACTTTGCTTTCTGCCACAAAGGACTCACCTAATTACCATGATCACACTTCTCTTTTGTGTTAATCCACTTCTATTGTTAGGGTTTTAACTATTTTTAAACTTCTTGACATAAAGTAATCCCTCAAGTAATAATATTCTAATTAAGAAATTTACATTAACTCTTAATTTACTTAAAATACATTTATGGACTTTTTCCTTTATTAAAATTGTTTTCAGCACTATAATTTTGTGTGAATTGTTATACTTAGACAAAGGGGTACACAATTCCTATTTAGAAAATTTTATTGAATATCATACTTATCAAAAGAAAAAGTTAATTTTCCCCAAAGGCACCCTTCATTTCACATGATCTATACTCTAATGTTCTTTTGTATTAAAAATATGGTTAAATATGGAATTAGTAAAATGCAGCATATAAAACTTCATGCTGAGCAAAAACAAGTCCAAAACAACTTTACCATATATCCATAGAATAGTTCCCACAGTACATTTCCTATGTAAATTATGTTTGAATGCAATTTTTAGAACCATTTTAAGATACATTTTGCAATCTGTTAACTGTAGGCATCCGCATTTTTCTTCCATTACATAATCTGTTTATCTGATTAAGTTGGCAATATCTGCTAGGATCCACAGAATGCAGGAAAAAAAGCAGTTATTTCTCAAGGTTTGAGAAATCTGGTCCACCTTTAGTGTAGTTTCCTGAGATTTCTGCTCCACTGAAGTCAAAACCAGGATTCTAAAAGATACAAACATATATATAATGAAATAAAACTTATAAGGAAAAATACAAGTACAAACTGGCAATTGATAAAAAAGGATATATAAATGACCAATAAATACATGAAAATATAACAGACTTCACTGTTACCACCAAAGTAATATTTAAAATTATGAGGCATTTTTCAACTCTCCCAGTTACAAATATTTAGACATCATATGTACACTACAATGTTGGCAAGTGTATGGGGAAACATATACTTCAATAAAAGTCTGTAGTTATATTTAATAGCTAGCATTTTTATTTTATTTATTATTATTTTTTTTGAGACGGAGTTTCGCTCTTGTTGCCCAGGCGGGAGTGCAATGGTGCGACCTCAGCTCACCATAATCTCTGCCTCCCAGGTTCAAGCGATTCTCCTGCCTAAGCCTCCCGAGTAGCTGCGATTACAGGCATGTACCACCATGCCTGGCTAATTTTGTATTTTTAGTAGACACGGGGTTTCTCCATGTTGGTCAGGCTTGTCTTGAACTCCCAACCTCCGGTGATCCGCCTGCCTCAGCCTCCCAAAGTGCTGGGATTACAGGCGTGAGCCATGGCGCCCAGCCTATAGCTAGCATTTTTTGAGAGCTTTCTATATGCCACACAAATTTCTAAGAGCTATACATATATAAGATATTTAACCCTCACAACAGTCCTGTGAAGTACTATGTCAGGCCTTAGTCTTTTTGGTGGGCTATTTCGTTTATCCAACAAACATTTGTTGAGCTCCTACTGTTTGGGAGACCATTAGAGGTATGTAGAATTCAAGAGTGAAAAAAAACAAAAATCCCTGCTCTAGTGGAACTTAACATTCTAGCAGGAGGAGACAAACCATAAATCAACCAGTACAGGGGCTGGCAGACTTTTTAAAAACTAGGTAGTAAATATGTTAGGCTTTGCAGTCCACATAGTCTCTGTCACAAATACTCAACTGTCTGAAAGACAATATACAAACAAATGAGCATATACGTATCCTAGAAAAGCTATAAAACAGGTAGTGGGCCAAATTTGGCCCAAGGGCTGTAGTTTGCCAACCGCTGATGTCGTGTTAAAAGTTGGTAAGTGACACAGAAAAAAAAAAAAAACAGGATAAGGGAAATAAAATTATATTTAAATGGGATGATCAAAGTATGCTTCATTGAGCAATGATATGAAAACATAAAAGTTAGCCAAACTGTGGGAGAAGAGCATTGCAGTCAGGATAGCAAAGGGATGGGCTGACATGTTCTTTAAGGAACAGCAAACAGGCCAGTATGGCAAAAGCAGAATCACTAAGAGGGATAGCTGTAAGGGAGGAGGTAATCAGGGAGATGATGGAATAACTGATCAGAAAGGGCCGAGAAATGACTTGCAGAGTTCTGAGAAGTGGCATGATGTGACTTGGATTTTAAAAGAACTGCTCTAACTGGCTGGGCGCGGTGGTTCACGCCTGTAATCCCGGCACTTTGGGAGGCCAAGGCGGGCGGATCACGAGGTCAAGAGATTGAGACCATCCTGGCCAACACGGTGAAACCCCACCTCTACTAAAAATACAAAAAAATTAGCCGTGCGTGGTGGCGGGAGCCTACAGTCCCAGCTACTCGGGAGGCTGAGGCAGGAGACTGGCGGGAATCCGGGAGGCGGAGCTTGCAGTCAGCAGAGATCGCACCACTCCATCTCAGAAAAAAAAAAAAAAAAAGAACTGCTCTAACTGCTATTTTGAGAAGACTATGGCAAGAGTAAAAGTGAGAAGACCAATTAGAACGTTATTAGAGTAATCAGGCAAGACATTAGAGGTGGTCCAGATCAGAATGGTGGTAGAGTTGGTGGTGAAAAGTGGCCAAATTCTAAATATATTTCGAAGGTAGCATCAGTAAGATTTCCTAATACATTGGATAGGGTATGAGAAAGATGTAAGAATCAAAGATGAGTCCCAATTTTTTTTGACCTGAACTACTAGTTTTCATCAACTGAGATGAAAAGGCTACAGGTAAAAACAAATATGGAAGGATGTTAGGGTGTTCAACTTGGACATGTTGAGCTTAATATACATTAGATAGCCAGGTGGAGATGTTGAATAGGCAACCGGGTATGCAGGTCCTAAATTCAGAAAAAAAGTCTAGGCTAGAGATATACATCTGGAAATCATTATCATAAAGACGTACATTATCAAGTGCTGCAATCTAGCAATTCCTCTCCTAGATATTTATCTTAAAGATATCTTAGAACACTTGAGTAGTTTCACAGAGATGAAAGCACAGCTTTCTTTAAAATAGAGAAAAATGAAGAAATCTAAATCATATCAAAGGCAAACAGCCAAATAATGATGACACATCCAAACTACAGAATCCTCTGAAGCAGTTAAAAAGAATGAGTTTTATACCTATGTATTAGTAGGGAAAGAGACCCACAGCATATTATTAAATAAAAAAGCAACAAGAAGAACAATACACACAGTGTGATCCTCCATTTATGCTAAAAAACAAAACAAAACAAGCAATAGCCAACATATGAGATGAAAATGAGATAGATGCATGGAATGGGGAGAATGGTGGTGAAGGGGCCTTTCACTTTTTACACTAGGTAAGTCTATATTGATTCAACTATAGTAAGAGTTTATTCATGCATTACTGATGTACATAAAAGTAAGCTTAAACTCACAAATCACAGCAATACAAATAAATTCCTCTCAAGAAAATCTTCCGAAAAATCAAATCCATACAAGAAAGGCCATTTTTCTAACAATTCACTTTAAAAATTCTTCTAGAAAATGTTTGTAACTTTTCATAATGACATTTGAGTTTTAATTTCAAATATTTATTTGATGATTTTTATATATTTAATTACACATACTCATACACTTCATCTGACTTACTTCTTTTTGGAATCTCTCTAATGTAAGCTTTCTCTGCATTTGGTCTTGCACCCAAGGATCCGCTGCATATTCAGATTCTAGTAGAGAAGTCCAACAATTTGCTGCATCTCTCTTTGTCTTTGTAAGAACAATACGAACCATTTTTCTGTCCTCTAAAAAAAAAACACACACACACACACGCACAAATAAATTAGAGTTCTTCATCAAGTTGTTTTTTTTTTTTTTGAGACAGTATCACTCTCACCCAGGCTGGAGTGCAGCGGCTTGATCTCGGCTCACTGAAACCTCCGCCCCCCGGGTTCAAGTGATTCTCCTGCCTCAGCCTCCCGACTAGCTGGGAATACAGGCATGCGCCACCATGCCCGGCTAACTTTTGTATTTTTAGTATAAACGGGGTTTTGCCATGTTGGCCAGGGTGGTCTCAAGAAGTTCTTCATTAAATTTTATATTTCCAAAAACAACTAACTAATTTTTTCTCCCCCCACTAGGTAACTTTGACATACAACGGTTTTCAACACATTTCTATTGCTTTATCTTTCAAAGCTGCAAAGACAAAAAAGACCTAATACAAAAGAGGAAAAGATATCAAGACAAAATTATTTTAATTTGATGAATTATAGTAATTACCCTTACCCAAAGTCCATGTTCCCTCATCAGCTATTGTAGAATCAAAGAGTTTGCCCTGAAAAATAAACATATAAGGTGCTAAAAATACAGAATTTAATTTTTATAAAGTTTTCATGATTAAGATTTACCTACTTTCCTACCTAATCCACATCTTATACCACCACTTCACCATGACATTTATAGGTGCACAACCCTAAATTTTCTCCCAGCAGGTAAAATGGAAACTAGTTTACACTGCAAGGGATATTTACTATGGCAAAGAACACAGAGCTCTCTAAAGAAAGATCAGGGCTCCTTAATTTTTAGAAGATACAGTAATACTGACCACTGGCCAAATGTGAAATTAATATCTGAAATGCTTTAATTCTACCAATTTAAATTAACCACAAGAAGGGATCTCCTGCTAAAACTAAAAAATGTTGTCTTTTTTTTTTTTTTTTTTTTTTTTTTTGAGACAGAGTTTCGCTCTGTCGCCCAGGCTGCAGTGGCACGATCTGGCTCACTGCAACCTCCACCTCCAGGGTTCAAGCGATTCTCCTGCCTCAACCTCCCAAGTAGCTAGGACTACAGGCGCCCGCCACCACGCCCGGCTAATTTTTGTATTTTTAGTAGAGATGGGGTTTCCCCGTGTTAGCCAGGCTGGTCTCGAACTCCTGACCTTGTGATCCGCCCGCCTAGGCCTTCCAAAGTGCCAGGATTACAGGCATGAGCTACCGCACCCGGCAAAATGTTGTTTTTAAAGTAAACTTTTAAAAACGTTTTAATCTTTTTGTTGGGCAATCGGCATTAAAAAAACTTTACGTATTCCAGATTTGATAGATTAGTTGTGACTAACTGTTCACAAACTCATGTTTTTTAAAAAAATAAACAAAATATAAATTTAAAAGAGACTGCACCAGGCCCAGTAGCTCAGGCCTGTAATCCCAGGACTTTGGAGGCCAACGTGGATTGCTTGACCCCATGGGTTTGAGGCTGCTGTGAGCTACAATCTCACCCCTGCACCCCAGCATGGGAGACAGGGACCCTGTCTCAATAAATATATATTTTTTTTTAAAGAGAGAATGCCTAAACTCAAATCCATTTTAATTTGTTGCCAAATTTAAGTTATAGAAAGTGAAATTAAATGTCACTAGGAAAAGCCCACATTTTAAAATATGTCAAAATTAGTGAGAAAAAAATCCCACTGGTCTATACGTACATCAGAAATCCCAAATTCAGCAGCTACTGCTAAATTCCGAAAGTTACTGGATTTACTAATTTATAATCGTAATCTAAAACCATTGTTGAGGAAACTATGAATTGTACAATTCAGAAAAGTAACTGAGATCCAAGCTGACATAATGTCTTTCACACGAATCTTGAGGCACTCAAAGCACCTCCATATACTGTAATATATATAATAGCTAATAGCTAACATATAGTATGAACTTATTACATACCAGTGAATACTCCAAGCTCTTCATACACGTGAATACCATGTTAAGCTCAAAACAATCCCATGAGAAGGGTACTATAACTACCTTATCTTGTGGATAAGGAAGATATAGAGACACTGAACAATCTCTCGCCCAAGTTTACAAAACTAGGAAACAAGTAGTCTCCCTTCACCATATTACACTGCCATCAAACATCTTGGGCATCTAACCTGAGAACTAAATCTAATTTCAACCTGTTAGTTTAATTATACACTTAACAAAGAAAAAGCGGGTCCAGATCCAAAGAGCATTGGTGAAAAGAAATAAAAGGAGTACTACTTATTTTATGCACACACCTCTTCACCACCTGCTTGACCACTCCACAAACATGCAGGATTTTCAAGCTTTTAGATGAGAAAACTAATCACCTGACATCATCTCTAAATTCTCTGCCCGTTATTCTATCCCTATTTTCTTTGTTGTCCTTTCCTATATTTATCTATTTATGAATTACGCTTCCGTACAGGAGCTTAACCTCTCCACTGCAGGTACGTTATCTGTTGTCTTCCTGCCTGTCTTCAGTGCACGGAAGAAATATTTGTTCCTTTAGCAACCTAGTTAATCTGTTCCCAGCTGAAGCCCGTCAGAGAAGCAGAAGCAGCAGTCTTAGTTTGAAAACTAAACACGAAAATAGGCTCCTCAAATTTCCACAACTCAGCACCTGCCCTGAAGAGGCGGGGGCTCTGACCAGACCCAAACCTGGTCAGTGTTATCCTCTTTCTCTTTCTGCCAGCCACAGGAGCCGTCGGGACACCCAACAGTCGTTCAGGGAAACGGGGCTGGGGGCGTCTGGGAAGAGGAAACTGAACACAAGCCCCGAGCTGCCGCTACCTTGAGGATCTCGCGGCCGCCCACCGACAGCGCCACATGCCGGCTCTGGAGGCCGCACTGGATATCCTGGGCGCGCGTGCCTGGCGGCACCTGAACTTCAATGAACACCTCCTCCAAGGTCTGGTACCACTGGCCCCACGGGGTCCCGCACGGTACCACCCCACTCCGCTCCTCAAACGGGGCCGACATAATCCAGTCCCTCCCGGCCGCGGCCGCACCAGGCGGAGCCGAGCGCACGCGCGGAATCCCACGCTTAGGCTACGCCTCGGCCTCTCCGCTCGGGTCACTGCGCATGCGCAGGAACGCAAGCTAGCGCTTTGGTGTGCGTGTTCGTTTTTCCCTTTGAATGGCCGTTTACGGCACCGGCAGGCCCCGGATGAAAGAACTGAAATCCAGAAAAGTTCACATGCAACGAACAATGGGACAGAATTGGAACCAGTGAAGCCGGAACTCACTACACCGTCCCCTAAGTGACGCCAAAATGCACTTTCTAACGTCTCCGGAGGGAAGTGCGCTTGCGCAAATGCTAGGTTACACTTGAGTAACTCCGGGAATGACTGGGTGGGTGGGGCGGGGAACAGTAACGGTCTCCTATTGGATGGCAGCCTAAACTCGCAGGCCAGCTAATTGGACGCAATCAGAACCCAGCATTCTTTCTTCGTGTTCCTGTGCGGGATTGGTGTGCCCAGGGGTTTGGCTTTCCAATTGGCTAACGCCGGGGTGGGTGGGGAATGTGGGGAGATTTGAATTTGAAACCGGTAGGGAGTGATAATCCGCATTCAGTTGTCGAGGAGTGCCAGTCACCTTCAGTTTCTGGAGCTGGCCGTCAACATGTCCTTTCCTAAGGCGCCCTTGAAACGATTCAATGACCCTTCTGGTGCGTAAGGGGGAAAGAGCTGGGGGACGGGAGACGCCCTAACGCCCTTTGCCTCTTTCAGCTCCCTTCTTGGGAGGCAAGCAGGAGGCGATTTTAGGGTCGGGCTGGGGCTCATTCAGTTGATTGATTTTTCTCAAATATGCTCTAAGCATCTGTTACATGCCAAGCACTAATCAGGATGCTAAGGATACCGCAGTGAAACAGTCTCCGCCCCGTGGGGCTTACATTCAGGCGGGGAATACTGTCAATAAACAGCGGTAATGGAGAAACTACAGCAGGGCGAAGGGAATGGACCCGAGACGTTGGTAGCTACTTGATTTTCAAGTCCGAGAGGGCCTCACTGATAAGAACACTGGAGTATTACTTGTAGTCTGAACTTGTGCATTTCTTTTGTGTATTCCATTTGGGCATAAAAGAAGGAAGATTAGTAAAGGCAGTTTATGGGTGTAAAATTAGAGCAGCAGCACTTATTGAAAACATAAACAATGAAGTTATGGCTGATATTGACCACTTATACCTCAAGCACCGTACTAAGGCTTTACATCGATTATTAGTTATGTTAATTTCCCACCAACTCTAAGGGGTAATCCTATTATTATTTTATTGATAAAAAGACTGAGACTTAAATTTGCTCAGTGCTACATTACCAAAGTGACCGGACTGGAATATGAACCCAGCCCCCATCGTGTGCTCTTAACACCGCAATGCACAGCACAGTAACCAGGAAGCCTTAGCTGTGTTTGGTAGGCACTCATCATTTAAGATGCTGTATGCGGCCGGGCGCGGCGGCTCACGCCTGTAATCCCAGCACTTTGGGAGGCCGAGGCAGGTGGATCACGAGGTCAGGAGATCGAGACCACCGTGAAACCCCGTCTGTACTAAAAATACAAAAAAAATTAGCCAGGCGCGGTGGCGGGCGCCTGTAGTCCCAGCTGACTACAGGCTGAGGCAGGAGAATGGCGTGAACCCGGGAGGCGGAGCTTGCGATGAGCCGAGATCGCGCCACTGCACTCCAGCCTGGGCGACAGAGCAAGACTCTGTCTTACAGAAAAAAAAAAAATGCTGTATGCTGGGACTGTGCTACTAGATCTTGTTTATTCCTTCCAAAAGCCAAGTGAGGAAGGTACTGATATTGACCTCATTTTACAGATGAGAAAACAGAGGTTTTGTATCTTGCACAATCAGTAAGTGGTAGAGCTAAATATTAAAGCTCATGATTTATTCACTATCATACACTATTTCGTGGTTACTCATTACGTCTCTAAGTTTTGTCAGCCAACGTGTGAATGAAAATACAACTACTCACAAAGGAAGGCCAAATGAGCAAGTGAATCAGCACAAACTTATTTTCTTAGTTAAAAGACTCAAGGACCATATGATTTCCCGAGTAATCAAAGGACCTACTCTTAAGTTTTGTCAGCAGTGTGGCTTTAAGGTTTTTTTGGTTTTTTTGTTGTTTGCATTATAGTAGGTTAAACTGGCTTTATCAAAGATATAGTATTTCAGGCTCACAGTTACAGAAATAATACTAATTATTAATTTGATGCTTAATGTGTATGAGGCACTGTGGTGATTTTTCATATTCCAGTACTCCAGCCTGGGTGACAGTGCGAGACTCTGTTTCAAAAAAAAAAAAGCAAAAAAACCCCCAAAATTTATATTTCAACCTAAGATGTATTTTTATATCTCTACACATACATACGAAAGAAAAGTTTCACAAAACAATGCCTAACTTTGCAGCATATGAGTCATGCTTTTTCTATTGTTTTTACTTTTTAAAAAATGCTAATCAAGATCTACTCATGGGGCTGGGCCTGGTGGTTCACACGTGTAATCCTAGCACTTTGGGAGGCCGAGGCAGAGAGATCAGCTGAGGTCAGGAGTTCAAGACCAGCCTGGCCAACATGGTGAAACCCTGTCTCTAGTAAAAATACAAAAAACTAGCTGGGCGTGGTGGTGGGAGCCTGTAATCCCAGCTACTCGGGAGGCTGAGGCAGGAGAATCGCTTGAACCCAGGAGGCAAAGGTTTCAGTGAGCCAAGATGGCGCCACTACACTCCAGCCTAGACAACAGAGCAAGACTCCGTCTCAAAAAAAAAAAAAAAAAAAAAAAAATCATGAGTTCCTGTCTACTGTTTGACAAACATTTAGGGGACAGCAGTAGTTGCCTGGGAATGGTCCAAGCTCCTTGCTCTTCCTATTTATTTGCATGAGACTCTAGACTGAAGTAAATAGCTTTTCAGAGAATAGTATTAATCTATTTGTTCCCAATCAGCTAAAGCTTTAGGCTAGTAGTATTTTAATTACTTTAAGTCCTAAAGGCCCCATCTCAGGTCTGCTATGTGTATTTACTCAGAAATGCCTTCAAATCTGGGACTTTAGTTAAGTGAAATTATGCAGTATAAACTTCTGGAACATACAAATATAGTCTAGTACAATTTGTACTTTGTGTAACATTGGCTTTTTGAATTTCCTAAGCCTCACATTCTTTGTCTATAAATTATCACACAGGATTCTTGTGAGGATTAAATAAAATAACATCTGTGAAATGCTTAGCATAATGCCTGGCATTTAGTAAGTGCTCAAAAAATTCTAGTTGCTCTAGTGTGGTTGCTTTTCTTCCATGTGTTTGAATTGCAGTTGACATCTTTAATAGGTCTGATGTATTGATATTAGCCAGAGATGGATTATCACTATAAATTTTTATTCTAGGCTAAACATTGAGGGATAGACAATTTTAATTACTTTATTTCTAGAAACTGATAGTAGTTATCTTTGTGACTCTCTTCGAGTAGAGTTGACACCAAGTATTTTATTTGCTATATTCAATCCTTAGTAAGAAAGCCATATATTGCCTGTAATATATGATGTTCATCTCAAAACTGTCGTTTGCTCAGTTGCCTGTGTTCCTTTGACCCGGTTGATATAAAGGGCAAGATGATATTGTTCTTCATAGAGAGGCCTTCTTTGTAATATCAAATGGATGCAATTTTTTACATTTAAAAAAAGCAGTTTGTTAATGACATTTTTACATTTATATTCACTTTATTATGACATGTTTTAACTTAAGATCATAAGTAACATTAGATAATATATTAATGTTTTCTATTTCCTCTAGGTTGTGCACCATCTCCAGGTGCTTATGATGTTAAAACTTTAGAAGTATTGAAAGGACCAGTATCCTTTCAGAAATCACAAAGATTTAAACAACAAAAAGGTAATATAGATCACCAAAGAACAATGGTTATGTGATCTTATAAGTTTTAAAGTTATGAATAACAATATTTAAAGATGTTATAGCATTTTTTAAAATGTGAAGCTAGAACTATATTTAAATTTTATTTGATGGATTTATGAAAGGGTCAAGTACAGAATAATGCTGTCATCATTACATTGTTATATAACCAGGAAAATTAAGCAAGATACTTATATTGATATGTAGCTTCCCTTTTGGTAATTACCTTGACTTGTCAGGGAATATTAGGAAAATCAGAAAGGTGTTAGATGTGTAAAAAAATTGTATGAGTAATTATTTGAAAATGTACAACTAAGGAAAGAATATATTGTTTCATCAAAAGTTGTAATTAGAAATTTGGGGCCGGGCAAGGTGGCTCGTGCTCGTAATCCTGGCACTCTGTGAGGCCAAGGTGGGTGGATCACATGAGTTCAGGATTTCGAGACAAGCCTGGCCAACATGGTGAAACCCCATCTCTACTAAAAATACAGAAATTAGCCAGGTGTGGTGGGGTGCGCCTGTGGTTCCAGCTACTAGGGAGGAAAGTGGGAGAGTTGCTTGAAACTGGGAGGCAGAGGTTGCAGTGGGCTGAGATGACACCACTGCAGTCCAGGCTGGGTGACAGTGAGACTGTCTCAAAAAACAAAAACAAACAAAAAGAGAAAGACAAAAAAATTTGGAAATTGTGTTTTGTGTGTAGTTAAAACACATTGACATCAACCATGATCTGTACAATTCATTTTTCCGCAGAATCTAAACAAAATCTTAATGTTGACAAAGATACTACCTTGCCTGCTTCAGCTAGAAAAGTTAAGTCTTCGGAATCAAAGGTGAGGAGCTTTTATATGCCAGCTGGTTTATCAAGTGTATCATCAAAAACATCTGAAAGTATTGTATTTGATTAGAATGGGTTAAGTGTATGAATCAAGGTTATAAGTAAATCTGTAAATTAATGAAATGAGTTATCATTAGAACTCTAGCAAGTTTTACATTTCTGCCTAGGTCATTATGTTTAAATGTGCCCTTAGTTCACAATTATAATGGTCTTCAATTCTCAATCACTTCTATGTTTAAATTGTTCATTACCTAGTAAACATTTCAAAATTATGTGATGCTTTGATTTATTAAGTACCACCATTTGAGTTGTTTTGTTTTTGTGTATTTGTTTGTGGGGAAGGGTAAGTGTTTTTGAAGAAAAGTGGGAAAAAATGCCAATATCTAAGAGAGGTTTGCTACTGAGAAACTGTTAAGGAGTGGTGAGAGATTAAATTCTTAATAGTCTTGTGGCTTGTGCAAGAGCTACTATTACTCTTTTCATAAGTTTATAAACAGGCAAGCTGCATAGTACTTTTTAAATTTTATTTATGTATTTTTTTTTTGAGATGGAGTATCACTCTGTCACCCAGGCTAAAGTGCAGTGGCGCCATCTCAGCTTACTGCAGCCTCTGTCCCCACAGGCTCAAGCGATTCTCCTGCCTCAGCCTCCCCAGTAGCTGGGATTACAGGCACGCCCCACCACGCCCAGTTACTTTTTGTGTTTTTGCTAAAGACGAGGTTTAAACATATTAGCCAGTTGGGCAGGCTAGGCTGGTCTTGAATTCCTGACTTCAGGTGATCAGCCCACTTTGGCCTCCCAAAGTGCTGGGATTACAGGTGTTGTCCACCACACCCAGCCGCCATATAATACTTTTTAAAAGACAGCTGGGGGGCGCACAGTGGTTCACGCCTATAATCCCAGCACTTTGGGAGGCAAGGCAGGTGGATCACTTGAGGTCAGGAGTTTGAGACCAGCCTGGCCAACATGTAGTCAAACCCCATCTCTACTAAAAAATACAAAAATGTGCTGGACGTGGTGGCACGTGCCTGTAGTCCCAGCTACTTGGGAAGCTGAGGCAGGAGAATTGCTTGAACCTGGGAGGCAGAGGTTGCAGTCAGCCAAGGTGGTGCCACTGTACTCCAGCCTGGGCAACAGAGCGAGACTCAGTCTCTCCAAAAAAAAAAAAAAAGACAGCCGGGCACAGTAGCTCACGCCTGTAATCCCAGCACTTTGGGAGGCTGAAGCAGGTGGATTGCTTGAGGTCAAGAGTTCGAGACCAGCCTGACCCACATGGTGAAACCCCGTCTCTACTAAAAATACAAGAAAATTAGCCGTGTGTGGTGGCACGTACCTGTAATCCCAGCTACTCGGGAGGCTGAGGCAGGAGAACTGCTTGAACCTAGGGAGGCAGAGGTTGCAGTGAGCCGAGAGATTGCACCACTGCACTCCAGCCTGGGCAGCAGAGCGAGACCTATCTCAAAGATAAAAATAAAGTAAAAAAGTTGTACAAATTAATAGGTTTTTTGATGTGAAAAATATTCAGAGTTGGAAAAAGGCTTAGGTTGTTCATTCATTTGGCAGTTGCCTAAGCCTCATATTCTGTAATATAGAGCTATGTTGTTCTGTATGGAAGCATAGCCACATGTGTCTATTGAGCAACTGAAATGTGGCTAGTGCTATTAAAGAACTAAATTTTTAATATTTAATTTTAATTAATACATATTTAAAGACATACTCGATTTTGTTAGTGGAACGCTTTTAAATATTTTTGGAACAACTTGAGTATGTGAATTTACTTTCTCCTTTCTATGTTTTATGAAATTAAATATACATAAACATTTCTGATGAAAATTTAGCATTGAATTAAGACGTGCTATAAGTGTAGAATACAAAGAAAACTTTAAAGACTTAGTACAAAAATATAAAACATCTCATTGATAATTTTATACCAATGACATGCTGAAAAAATATATTTGATATGTTGGGTTAAATAAAATATATTAAGATTTTTACTTTTTAAACACACTACTAGAAAAATTTAAATGCATAGGTGGCTTGCATTATTTTTATTGGGCAGGACTATTATAGACACTCTTTTCTTAGAAATTGATGTAAGTGGTTTGACTTAAATTTCTTGAAGAAACTGTTCTGTAATTTTGTAATTTATAAAGCCCCTTAGAAAACTAAATTACATACAAGTTTGTATGGAGCCCCAAAATAATAGTCCTTCCCCATAAAAAATTTCATGGAGTGTGAAATTAATAAACATGACACTGATGTCACCCCCACCTCCTGCCCCACTTAGAAACATCTGAAACAGATTTCATTCAAGATGTTGATGCCTTTCTTCCATTTTTAGATGGAAAAGATATTCTTTTTCTAGCCATTGTGTCAGAAAGTCTGTTGGATATAAAAAGATATAGTGTGAAAATTATATGTCTTATTTAGAATAAAGCCAATGAGAAAATTAGAATCAGAGCTTATGCTGTTTCAGTTTTTATTTCTTTGCATCTGTATATTTTCCTCTTCGGGTATCAAAGTTTAAGTCGATTTCTCTTTGTAAGATTCTTTCTGAGATAGCATAATTAAATATTCAAGATGTGTTGCTATTTAACATTAGAGGGAGGCAGTCAGTAGCTTTATTCATAAAGTTCCACCTGTTCTTTTCACTGGGCTGATTAGGAAAATCCTGATTTATTGGGTTGAAAATTTCTAAACCTAAAATGTCTTGAGATTTTTAGAATATTTTATTTATCAGATGAGTGGCCTACACAATGTTTAACAGTGTAATGTTTAAAATAGAAACTAACTGATTGGATCCCTTCATCTTTTCTGATAACTGAAAAACAAATTTGGCTGTCATATCTGTGACATCTAAATTTGCTTATAAGTTTTTTTGGCTTTTAAACAGAAGGAATCTCAAAAGAATGATAAAGATTTGAAGATATTAGAGAAAGAGGTAAGCAGTGCTTTAAACTTAGTGAAAAGTACACATGATAGAAAGAGAGTTACACAGATTTAAGAGATAAGGATTCTGTTGCAGTGTGAGGAGTCCTGCAGTGAGGCAAACATGCCATCCAGAACAGTGCCTACAGGAAAACAGTTCTTACAGTATTTCACAGATCTATCCGGGCTATGTTAATGTGGTATGCTGGCAACGCCGAGATTAAAGATAGCCCACTTAATGAAAAACTGATAACTGAAAAATCATTATGTCAGTTGATTACAATTATATATGTGGATCAAATATTTATATCTATCCATCGTTCACAGTCTTCCTGTATGCTAACTTATGTTAACACAACATAGCTAGAGGATTTCTTAGTGAGCATGCAATCCTAGCTGGTTAGACTGTGATGAAGTTAGGCTAACTCGATGCATTGCTCTGCACAATAGGTATAGGCCTTCCTCATGGGTGAAATAACATAGAGCTGTGCTGTTTGATATGGTAGCTACTCACCACATGTGATGATCTAAATTAAATAAGAACTCAATTCCTCAGTTGCAATAATCACATTTCAAGTGCTCAGTAGCCACATGTGATTGGCAGCTACCATACTGGACAGGGCATTTCCACCATGACAGAAATTTCTATTGAACAGTACTAACCTAAAGAACCCATTTACTTTCCTAGCAATGCTAAGCAGCTCACTGTGAACTTTGCTTCTCTGCAGTCTTTTTTTTCTGTTTCCATTGCTGACCAACTCTTTTCCTCATGGATATATTCTTTCAATATATTAAAATCTTTCATTTGATTACAGTCGAATGTTGGCTTTCAACCAAGAGTATGTCAGAGTAACTGTAAATGTCTGCTCAGTTGCTCTGATTCTTTTTTATGTATTCTAATAATGTTAGCTATCATTTTACTGAGGGTACATGTAGGGGTTGATACTTACAGGAATAATCACTGAGTCTCAGTGAGATAGCTGGTAAGTGAGTGGTAGAGCCAGGATTAGAACTAATAATTTACACCAGTGACTTCATTGGGTATAGAATTTTAGGGTGGCAGGTTCCCCCCCATTATATTAAAAATATCATTTCATTGTCTTTTGGCTTCCACATTTTCTGTTGACAAATATTGGTTTGGGTTTTTTTTTGTTTTTTGTTTTTTTAATCTGGTAATAGCAGCAAGAATGATGGCTTGCCAATGCCTAGTACATTCTCCTCAGAAGCCCAGCTCTGCCTTCTTGAAATAAAAAACATTTAGCATTTTAAGCTAATTTGAATTTGTGTAATTGAAGCTAGAGAAAATAACTATTATAGGTGGAAATACCTTAAAAGTGAATAAATAGCGGCCGGGTGTGGTGGCTTACACCTGTAATCCTAGCACTTTGGGAGGCTGAGGCGGGTGGATCACGAGGTCAGGAGATCGAGACCATCCTGGCTAATATGGTGAAACCCCGTCTCTATTAAAAATACAAAAAATTAGCCGGGTGTGGTGGCCCGTGCTGGTAGTCCCAGCTATTCGGGAGGCTGAGGCAGGAGAATCGCTTGAACCCAGGAGGCGGAGCTTGCAGTGAGCCGAGATCGTGCCACTGCACTCCAGCCTGGGCAACAGAGCACAGAGCAAGACTCCATCTCAAAAAAAAAAAAAAAAAAGTGAATAGATAGCTTAATTGTACTTGGAACTTATGGCAACTAAAGTTCTTATGTTCTTAAAATGCATTAAGACTTTTAAGATGTATCATAGGTAAATATGATTATTCAAATAGCTAGTAACATTAGAATATCTACAAGCATAATGTCAAAATCAGAGATTTTTCCAGAAACTTTAGGGGTGATTATTGGTAGCATCTCCTTATGTTGGCATTCTATCAGTGAATCATTTATTATCACCTTGTTTTTGTCCAGATTCGTGTTCTTCTACAGGAACGTGGTGCCCAGGACAGGCGGATCCAGGATCTGGAAACTGAGTTGGAAAAGATGGAAGCAAGGCTAAATGCTGCACTAAGGGAAAAAACATCTCTCTCTGCAAATAATGCTACACTGGAAAAACAACTTATTGAATTGACCAGGACTAATGAACTACTAAAATCTAAGGTATCTGAGCCTCATGATAATATTTACAATTGAATAAATATAAACACGTTTTTTAGGGCCGGGCACGGTGGCTCACGCCTGTGTTCCCAGCATTTTGGGAGGCCAAGGCAGGCGGATCACCTGAGGTCGGGAGTTCGAGACCAGCCTGACCAACATGGAGAAACCCTGTCTCTACTAAAAATACAAAAATTAGCTAGGCCTATTGGCGGGCGCCTGTAATCTCAGCTACTCGGGAGGCTGAGGCAGAAGAATCACTTGAACCCAGGAGGTGGAGGTTGCAGTGAGCTGACATGGCGCCATTGCACTTCAGCCTAGGCAAGAGAGTGCGACTCCATCTCAAAAAACAAAACAAAACAAAACAACATACACCAGGCGATTCAGATTCATTTTGTTAAGCAAACATGTTTCAAGAAATCCTTTCTCAGGGACTTGCTTTAGAGTCTTGCAATGGACTTTCCAGCATATAGAGGTAAGTGACCACCCAAACAACCTTTCAAAAATGAACCAACAGGCCAGCCACAGTGGCTCACACCTGTAATTCCAGCGCTTTGGGAAGCTGAGACGGATGGATCACTTGAGGTCAGGATTTTGAGACTAGCCTAGCCTAACATGGCGAAACCCCATCTTTACTAAAAATACAAAAATTAGTCAGGTATGGTGGCGTACACCCGTAATTCCAGCTACTCAGGAGGCTGAGGCATGAGAATAGCTTGAACTCGGGAGGCTGAGGCATGAGAATAGCTTGAACTCGGGAGGTGGAAGTTGCAGTGAGCAACACGGCACTCCAGCCTGGGTGACAGAGTGAGACTCTGTCTTACAAAAATAAAATAAAAATAAACCAGCAAGTCACATTAAGGAAAAGAGGGATAAGAACAGTAGACTGGTACAGTGGCTCATGCCTGTATTTCCAGCATTTTGGAAGGCTGAGGGCTGGAGAATTGCTTGAGGCCAGGAGTTTGAGACCAGCCTGGGCAACATATCAAGACCCCATCTCTATAAACAAATTGAAAAATTAGCTAGGCATGGTGGTGGTGCACACCGGTAATCCCAGCTACTCAGGAAGATGAGGCAGGAGGATTGATTGAGCCCAGGAGTTTGAGATTATAGCGAGCTATGATCATGCCACTCCACTCTAGCCTGGACAGCGGAGCGAGACTTGATCTCTTAAAAAGAAAAGAAAAAAAAATTAAATCAATCAGTAATTATGGTGTAGGTCAAAGACTGTTCTCTCTACCAAAGTATATTAAAGTCAAAAACATAACCCCAGTGATAGGTAGAAAAATCAATATTTGTGTATTTTAAATATGTCTTAGCAGAAAATATTTCTGAATTTTTTACGTGTTTGTTGTATTTAGTTTTCTGAAAATGGTAACCAGAAGAATTTGAGAATTCTAAGCTTGGAGTTGATGAAACTTAGAAACAAAAGAGAAACAAAGATGAGGGTGAGTGCTGCCCTTGGCAGGTTTGCTGTGTCTGGATCTGGGGATCAGTACAACTTTCTCATTTCCTAAAACAGGTATCTTTGTTGTGTAGGGTATGATGGCTAAGCAAGAAGGCATGGAGATGAAGCTGCAGGTCACCCAAAGGAGTCTCGAAGAGTCTCAAGGGAAAATAGCCCAACTGGAGGGAAAACTGTAAGTGAGTGAATGTGAAGAGAAATTGTTAAGTGGAAGCAATTCTTGATTTGAGTCTCTTCACAAATTATTGTTTACTGAGACTTCAACCTTCTGTTAGTACTTATCTCATTGCCTCCCTCCAGTTGCCCTATTTCTCTTTTTAAACTAGAATGAGCCCTAATCATTCTCAAACATGTTGTGCTACAAAGTTGTATGAGTGCATTACTTTTGTACATCTTCTGTATTATTAATGATGAGGAAAGATTTCATGATCTTATGAAAGTGGTCATTAGATTGAAATTGAGAAACACTGGTATAGGAAATTGTGATTTATGCACAATCCTAGCCTTTGATTTTGAGCTTTAATATACATATAATAAAATGTGTGGATAGTAAGTATTCAGTTTGGTGACTTTAGCAATTGTATACACCTACGTAACCACTACCAAACAAGATAGAGAACATTTTCATCCCTTCAGAAAGTTCCTTCATACCCCTTCTTGTCCCCCTGCTACTGCCTATGTCATGTCCCCATCCCCATAACTACTTTCTCACTTACATCATCATAAATTAGCTTTGCCTTTTTTTATTTATTATTATTATTATTTATTTTTTTTTTTAGAGATGGGGCATTGCTTTGTTACTCAGGCTGGTCTCATACTCCTGGACTCAAGTGATACCACCCTGGCCTTCAGAGTGCTGGAGTTATAGACATGGGCCACTATACCTGGCCAGTTTTGCCTTTTTTTAGGACATGCAAAAGAGAAAGAGCATGTGTGTGTGTTGCTTCTTTTGTTTGATGTAATTTTTCAAGATTCATCCAAACCGTTCTGTATACTGTAATTTTTCCTATTTTATTTCTGAGTAGTGGTTCACCTTATGAATATACCTCCATCTCTTTACTCTTCTCCTTTTGATCATTATTTGGGCTGTTGCCAGTGTCTGCCATTAAAAAGACTGCTGTGAACATGTTTTATGTTTTTTTATGGACACGTTTTTATTTCTCAGAGAAATTTCTAGGAGTAGAATTCTTGGGTAATAGGGTAGTGTATATATAATGTTTTTTAAAACTCAGAAGTGTTTTTGCCATTTTTATACACCCCCTGGCAATGTATGATAGTTTCAGTTGTTCCAGATTCTCACCAACATTTAATGTTGTCAGTCTGTTTGATTTTAGCCTTTCTACTAGGTAGGAAGTGGTATCTCCTTTGTGATTTTAATTTGTTACCATGAATGTTGACCTTATTTTTATGTGCTTATTGACCATTTTATGTGCATATCACCTTTTGCAAGGTGTCTATTGAAGTCTTTTGTCCATTTCTTGCATTGGACAGTTTGGTGGAGGTAAACAGATAAGTAATTGAAGACCAGGTAGTCTGGGACAAAAGCTTTATGGGCACACAAAATGCTATTTAGTATGTTGGATGGGTGGGGAAACCAGGAAGACCACAAAAAGAATATTATTTCTAACACTTGGGATACTGTAATGATGGTTCTTGTCATCATAGGTTTTTTTGTCAGTATATATTCAGAAAACTTTCTCACTTAAATAAAAATTTTAGTCTTCTATTTTGATGTAAATTGTGAATTTGAGAAATTACATAAAATAATAGTTAAGAGTTAGGGCTCTGTAGTCAGCCTGCCTGATACAGGAGTATCTGGTACATAAGCATTATGTAAGATTATTAAATAACGAAACTAGAATGTATTAACATATGCAATTTTTGTTTTAGTGTTTCAATAGAGAAAGAAAAGATTGATGAAAAATCTGAAACAGAAAAACTCTTGGAATACATCGAAGAAATTAGGTAATATGAGCAGTAGCTTTAAATTGAACCTTATTTTTTTAATACTCAGTCATTTTCATCATTTTTCTGTTATTTTCCCTGTGCCTAAATAGATGTGCTTTTTAAGATAATTTGTTTTAATGCAGTTGTGCTTCAGATCAAGTGGAAAAATACAAGCTAGATATTGCCCAGTTAGAAGAAAATTTGAAAGAGAAGAATGATGAAATTTTAAGCCTTAAGCAGTCTCTTGAGGAGAATATTGTTATATTATCTAAACAAGTAGAAGATCTAAATGTGAAATGTCAGCTGCTTGAAAAAGAAAAAGGTATTACAGTGTTTTATAGTTACTTTGTTTAGATAAGTGTTACATACAACATTTAGGAAAAATACTACTATGCTAAAACAACCTTTTAAATATAATTAGCTATACTAACATTTTAAATATAATTAGCTATATAGCTATACAACAGCAAAAACCTGTACTGCATTTTAGAATATTTTACTCTTATAATGTTTGTTTTCTGTTTATTTCAATACAGCATATTACCTGTCTTGATTGAAATATATACAGTCATATAATTCTTGACTTTTCCACTAGGTGGCTGTGTAACAATCAGTAGATAACACAGAACAAGATTTGTGGGTTTTATTATTTAGCACATAGTATATATTACATGGAGTAATGATACAAAGTTCACAGTTTTGTTTTCTTCTTTGGAAATACCATGCTAAAAGCAGTGTAATGGAATATTATGGGAGTCCAGGTTTCTCAGTCTTAATGTTCTTATCTAATTCCAGTATTCTTGATGTTTTGCGTTTTCTAGAAGACCATGTCAACAGGAATAGAGAACACAACGAAAATCTAAATGCAGAGATGCAAAACTTAAAACAGAAGTTTATTCTTGAACAACAGGAACGTGAAAAGCTTCAACAAAAAGAATTACAAATTGATTCACTTCTGCAACAAGAGAAAGTAATTTACCACCATATTTTTTTAAACTGTTCATTTTGTGTCATACATTTCCCTATGTCTCTGAACACCTTTAAATTGTGTATATCCTTTGATCTACCAATTCTATCTTTAGAGTCTTATCCTGAGGACATAATCATGGATATGCTGAGGATTTAGCTACGTATTTTCACTACATGTTCACCCTAGGGTTATGAATAATGTGGGAAAATGACAACAGATACAGCAAAATAGGGAATTTTTAAAAAATTTTCTGGCTCATTCTTGTGTTATTTAGGCTATATAAACATTTACACTTACCTTGTAAAAGACTGTCTAATTACAGAAGAAACAAAGCAATTTTTAAAATCCAGATTATTTATAGAACATTTTACATATCAGTGAGAAGAAAGAAAGTCCACTGAAAAATTATGGGCATAGGATGGAAACAGAGAAGGAGAAGTTCTGGCCTGTAAATATAGAAAGATACTCCACCTTAGTAGTAACCAAGGAAGTAGAAATAATATTTTTTTCACTTACAAAATTGGCACAAATTAAAACATTTGATAACACAAAATACTGGTGAGAGTTAAGCCAACAGGTACTTACATGCACTGATGTGAAATATTATAGTGTTGGACAACCTACAACAGCTAAAGGAATTGAGTAGATCTATATACACTGACCTGGAAAGATTTCAGCAACAGAGTATATATCATTTATATCCCTCCCCAAATGTATATGTATATATAAGTGTAAAGAAAAATACCAGAAGGCATATATATTCCAAACTAGTAGCTATCTCTGCAATGGGAAAACTAAAATTAGGGGGGGAAGTCGTCAAAGATAATATTAACATCATTTGTAATGTTAGAATTATTTCACAATGGTGATGTATTTGTATATTGTATAGCTTAAAAAATAATTTTATGTAATATGGAAATCACCACACACTTTTTACATAATATGTGAAAAATAATGTTAATATCAAAGCCAGTTGTAAAACAGATATATATATATAAAATATAATTTTAGATTAAGAAGTTTCTGCATGTGCGTTGCATAGAAAAAAGCCTAAGATGATATTTGCCACAATGTTAACAAGGTATAGGAAATAATCTATGAAAACAAATATGCTATTTCTATATTGTTTTAAGTTTCCTTGAATCTGTTGAATTTAGGTTTCATCCTTCTTTATCTGTACTTTTTTTTGTCTCCTAGTACAACCTCACAATGCCATTCCAAATTATTTTGGTGGTTTTCTGTTTGGATATAGGAATTATCTTCGAGTCTTCATCAGAAGCTCTGTTCTTTTCAAGAGGAAATGGTTAAAGAGAAGAATCTGTTTGAGGAAGAATTAAAGCAAACACTGGATGAGCTTGATAAATTACAGCAAAAGGAGGAACAAGCTGAAAGGCTGGTCAAGCAATTGGAAGAGGAAGCAAAATCTAGAGCTGAAGAATTAAAACTCCTAGAAGAAAAGCTGAAAGGGTTTGTATTAATAGGATCTCATGTTTATGTATGACTTCAGATGTATTTATTTTGAGTACTTTTTTTAGTATTCTCTTATCAATCATGTGAGCGTGTTAGGTTGGAATTATTTTATAATTAAGTAGTAATTATTAATTATTTTACAATTAAGTAGTAGACACAGAATGTGAACACAAAATGTACATGCAAACAAGTAAGACAGCCCCCTCTTTTAAGTTAAAAGTTAAAGGTTTTGCCCCCTTTTTTTAAGGCCAAAGAGAGTTTAAATAAACAAATGACAAAAGTTTTACACTTCTTTACTACTCTGCTAATTTCTGAAATTTATTGAACATCAGCATTAGAACAATAATCAACTCAGGGCTGGATGTGGTGGCTGATGCCTGCAATTCCCATACTTTGGGATGCCAAGGTGAGAGGACTGCTTGAGCTCAGGAGTTTGAGACCAGCCTGTGCAATATAGTGAGACCTCGTCTCTACTAAAAATTAAAAAAAAAACTAGCTGGGCACGGTGGTGTGTGCCTGTAGTCCCAGCTACTTAGAAAGTTGTGGGAGGAGAATCACTTAAGCCCACGAGATTAAGGCTGCAGTTAGCCGTGATCACGTCACTGCACTCTAGCCTGAGCAACAGAGTGAGACTCTGTCTCAAAAACAAACAAAACACAATAATGAACTTGGGGGAAAAAAATAAAGAATCCCTCCCATTAATAAATAGCATTCCCATTTTTGTCTATGCACTTACATAGTGTAAGTTATACCTTTAATTACATTTTTCCGGGAGCACAAACACTTCAGAAATAGCAATCAAAATGCAAAGCAGGCTGGCACAATGGCACATGCCTAAAGTCCCAGCTACTCAGGAGGCTGAGATGGGAGGATCTTTAGAGCCCAGGAGTTTGAGGCTGTAATGCTCAACGATTATACCTGTTAATAGCCATGGCACTCTAGCCTGGGCAACGTAGCACAAGATGCCACCTCAATCAATAACTGATAAAAAGCAAATGAGAAAAAATAATTATAACTGGGAAACATTCAGAAGTAAGAAATCTCTTATTTACAGTAGAAAGACTGAAATCTTGGCTGGGTGCGGTGGCTCACACCTGTAATCCCACCACTTTGGGAAGCCAAGGCAGCGAGATCACAAGGTCAGGAGTTCGAGACCAGCCTGGCCAACATGGTGAAACCCCATCTCTACTAAAAATACATAGTAAATTAGCCTGGCATCGTGGCGCACGCCTGTAATCCCAGCTATTCAGGAGGCTGAGGCAGGAGAATTGCTTGAACCCAGGAGGCGGAGGTTGTGGTGAGCTGACATCGCACCACTGCACTCCAGCCTGGGCGACAGAGGGAGACTGTGTCCCAAAAACAAAAGAAAAACTGAAATCTCACTTTTTTCCCGAACTCTAGTTCCTTATAATTTCTGCCACATTATGTTTCCTTCTCCCATACACTTATTTATTTCATTTTGTTTTGTTTTGTCCATAGTAATTGCTAATTTTTTATTTATTAAGAGAAACTATTCCTTAGCCTACATATTCATATTTCATAGTTCAGGAACACAGGTTAGTGACAAACACTACTACATTTATTTAAATTAAAAAGTCTGATTTGATTCTTGAGTTCAAATTGCAAATATTTAAATCCTTGGGATCTGATCATTAAAACACTTGTTGTCAAAGGACTGTGGGCTAGATATGAGTTTGTATTATTGTAATATATCTCACACCTGTGTATCTGTCTCAGTGGATACTTTTGTTATTAATCTTTTCTGTTTTCTTATGATTAGTGATGCAAATGAACAGCAAGGTTTTTCATATCCCTGCTTTTGGGGGAACAATACAAAATTGTAATTAGGGGTGTTGTTCTATACTACAGCCAATCTCAGGGAACAGGAATCTTGGGAAAATAAGATAATGTCATTTTAAGAGAGGAAAGAAAATTGAGATAATTTTTTATTCCAACTCAAAAAACTGTGGTCCAATGGTCAAGAGATAAGGATTTTTATTACTAATTCTGTTAGCTAGCTGGTTGATTCTGAGCAAAACAATCTTAGTTTCTTTGATCTTCTACTTCATTAGATATAAAAGAGTTTTATTAGATGGTCTCTAAGATCCCTTCTAGCCTGGAAATTTCAAGCTTAAGAGAAAAACAAACTAAGAATTGAAAATAATTCCTCTAGGGGACAGGGAAGAAAATATTTTTATTATAAACTCTTTAGTCATATTTGATTGCTCTTGCTGTGGTGTGTATATTTTTGAAATCCGGCACTTGTTACAGAATGAATTTGATCAGCTATTTTTCTTATCTCAGTGTCCAACTTAGTCTATAAGTACACAATGCTTATTTACAATTTTTAGTTCTGTATATTCTTTAAAAGATCTCTCATAAGCTCATATGCATATCTAAAAATTTTATCACCACTTTGGAAATATATTATTTCCAAAATATCCCTGAGATTTAATAGCATATGTATATAAAAATGACTTAAAACCCATTCTGTCTATGCAAAATAATCCATTAAAGAAGTTATTAAGTCTTTCAGTAATAGAGTATTATGTGGGTTATTCATATAATCAGAATAAATCCACAAAGTCTTGTAACTCTGTAGTTTAAAATGAAGTGGCTTTAATTGTTCATGGTATTTCTCAAGTGTCTAAATGGAGAGAATGAAACTTTATTCAATCCAGATGTTTTTTGACTGGTAATCTTTTGCAGTCTTTAGTCCTGGCTAGTATCTTAAGATTTGGTTTTATAGTCTTTTATATCCTACTACCTTCTTCACCCAAATTTTTAAAGTAAAATAAGCAGGAAAGATAAGTTGAAGCTAGTAGAAAAATGCATAAAAAACATGCTTTCGAGGTAAGTCATAAATTAGGATCTGAGCTATTTAGCAGGTAATGCAGTGGTGAAGATATGAGCTATATGATTCACAGTTTCAAAGGTAA
Organism: Homo sapiens; assembly: GCF_000001405.40. Lineage (NCBI taxonomy): Eukaryota > Metazoa > Chordata > Mammalia > Primates > Hominidae > Homo > Homo sapiens. The sequence continues at coordinate 163,478,615 of NC_000005.10, forward strand.
ATACTATTTTCTTTCTTAGGGTAGTAATTGTAGGTGGCATTTTATCTTTCAATTATTTCTTTTTCTTAGGAAGGAGGCTGAACTGGAGAAAAGTAGTGCTGCTCATACCCAGGCCACCCTGCTTTTGCAGGAAAAGTATGACAGTATGGTGCAAAGCCTTGAAGATGTTACTGCTCAATTTGAAAGGTATTTTTCTTGGGAGCCTGCACTCTTAAATATGATGTGTGCAGAAAGGGGTGTTTACCCCAGGAAATATGTGAGCAAAGCAGTCACACAAAGGATGATTCATACTAGTTTAAATTCCATAATCACCAACCGTAAGTGGGCATTTAGCATTATCTGGTAATCTTATTGTATTTATATAATTCCCCTTTATAATTTATAGAAATTCCCCTTTCTCACCATCCACTTCAACTTTTATGTGCTGAGCCAGGTGCGGCAGCATATGCCTGTAGTCCTAGCCACTGCATAAGCTGAGGTGGGAGGATCAAGTCATGTACTTAGAAGCATTTGGTGCTTCTGCCCTACTCTCTTGATGTTATCATTTTCATAAAGAATTCAGAAGTTTTTATCTCTTGCTAAACCTATAAAGAGACCCACATTTATACTCATCCTATCTTCCCACCTATTACAGATGAAATGTCCTAGTCTTTTAATCTTCAGTGACCTCATTCTATCATTTTGTTTTCTCATAATTTGAAACCTTTTTACTGGAATTTTTCCAATCAATATTAAAACATGTTAATGTACATCTGTCTGTAAAATATATTAATTAGCTGGCCACTGTGGCTCATACCAGTAATCCCAGTGCTTTGGGAGACCAAGGCAGGAGGATTGCTTGAGGTCAGGAGTTTGAGACCAGCCTGGGCAATAGAGTAAGACCTTGTTTCTACAAAAAAAAATATTAAGAATTAGCCAGGCATTGTGGCACATGCTACTTGGGAGGCTGAGGGCAGGAGGATCACCTGAGCCCAGGAGTTCCAGGCTGCACTGAGCTAAGATCACACCACTGCGCTCCAGCCTGGGTGACAGAGCAAGACTGTCTCAAAAACAAACGAAAAATAAATAAAATACATAAGTTGTTTTAAATACTTCTCTGACCCTAACTTCCTTTTGTAGCTGTCTCACACCACCAGTCATTCCCTTCTTAACCCCAAATTCTACTCCTTTTCAGTCCTTTTCCTTCTCCTCCTTTTTCTTCTCTTGACAGAGAAGATTGTCTCTATATCCACTTCCTCACCTCCCATGCCTTCTACTTATTTTCTCCTTAAATAAAAAGTTTATTTTGGGTGGAACTACAAATTACAAAGGCCAATATAATGAATACCTATATATTAATGTTAACATTTTTATTTATCACATTTACTTTAGCTCATTTTGGGGGAGAGTTTCCTTTCTTTTATTTAATAAATACAAAAGAATGCATAACATGTACATAAACTGTAGAGCTTGAAGATAAAACTGACATGCATGAACCTATAAAAGACAACCAGTAAGCCAAAAGATTTTCAACAACTTAGTATCCATATGTAAGTTCCTCTGCCATCCCATGAAAATGGGACAGATAACACTGTCCTGAAGTCTACACTAATTATTTCCTTGCTTTTTCCCCCCTGTGTATTATAATTTTATGACACGTATATCCATACAAATAATGCATTATGTAATTTTCCTTCTCCTTGAACTTTACCAAAAAATGTCATCATAGTATATGCCGTTTCCTGGGACTTATTTTTTCATTCTGCATTATGTGTGTTTTCAGGATTGAATTGTGTTGTCTGAGGCTATGGTTTGTTGATAGTCACTGCTATGAGTATTTTATTGTATGAATATACCACAACTTATTTATTCATTCTTTGGACTTTGAGTTGTTTCCCATTTGGTTAGTTATTATTAGTTATTTTGTGACTATAAGAATACATGTATGTAAGAATTTCTCTAAAGCCAAAGGTATATGAATGTTCAACTCTAAAACTTAATATCAAATCACTTTCCAATGTGGGAGTAAGAATCTACACTCCCACTAGTGTTGTATAAGTTTCCATTTATCTTCTTTGCCAAAGCTTGTTAGACTTCTTAAACTTTGCCAGTGTACTTAGTGTAAAATGGCTTCTTATTGTGGATAATTCATCTTTCCTTTTCCATAAAATGCTTGTTTATGACTTTTGTTTATTTGTCTATAGGGTTATCATCTTTTCCTCATTGATTTGTAGAGGTTTTCTTTATCAGCCATATGGGTTACAGGTATCTTCTGCCAGTTTAGCTTATTTTTTTATTTTCTTTTTGGTTTCTTCTGATGAGTGGAAATTCTTGATTTCAATATGGTTAAAATATTTATCTGTATGTGGGTACTTTTGCTTCTCATTTAAGAACTTCTTTCTATCTCAAGGTGTAAAGATATTCAACCAGTTTTCTTCTAAAAGTCTTAAAATTTCACTTTCCATTTTTCCACCTAGAACTGATTTCTGTGTGTGTAGCAATATAGGGATCAAATTCATTTTTTGTTTTCCCTATGGACAACCAACTGCCTAGTTTAATTTAATTCATTAAATTGTACCTTGTTTCCCCAGTGATCTGTTCCCACATGTGATACATTATGACAGACACATAGATAAATAATTTATAAGTGTATATGTTTTATTTATAATTTTTATTGTATCAGAACATATAAATCATATAAATATATGTAAATTTTATATATATATATTTATTGCTAATATCAATCCTGTAAAGGAATTTCCCTTCTCGTTAGTTTGAAGAATAGTGCTTCAGGGGGTTTTTATCTATTCTGTGATTTTAGTCACTATCCATATACTCGTGGCATTAAAATTTATTTCATCAAACCAGACCTTTCTTTACAGCTCCATATTCACATATCCAGTTACCCACTTGACATCTTCAAGTAGATATCACACTGTCTTTTAATATTAACCTGTCCAAACCAACTCTTGATCCTTCCATTGCTTTCTACCCCTAGTCTCTCATTGTTTTTATTGTAATCAGTGACATCATCTTCCCAGCTTTTCATTCTGTAAATCTTAGAGTCATCCTTCATCATTCTCTCTTCCTTACCCCCAATATTCAGTCTATCTCTTGAATTTTCCTACTCTGCTTCCAAAAGAGATCTTGTGTCTTTCCATTGCCAGCTCCTTAGTCTAAGCCTCCTTTATCACTCACCTGGGCTGATAAATAATTGTTTTGGAGTTGATCCTTCAATTTTCCATTCTTTTCCCCTGCCCTAATCCATCTTCCTCATAGCTCTAGAGTGAGCTACACATTTAATTAAACACCTTTTTATTTTATTTATTTGTTTATTTTGAGTCGGAGTTTCGCTCTTGTTGCCCAGGCTGGAGTGCAATGGCACTATCTCAGGTCACTGCAACCTCCCCCTCCCAGGTTCAAGTGATTCTCCTGCCTCAGCCTCCCGAGTAGCTGAGATTACAGGTGTCCACCACCACGCTTGGCTAATTTTTTGTGTTTTTAGTAGTGATGGGGTTTCACCATGTTGGTCATGCTGGTCTCGAACTCCTGACCTCAGGTGATCCACCCGTCTCGGCCTCCCAGAGTGCTGGGATTACAGGCATGAGCCACCACGCCCAGCCTACTTGGACACCTTTAATGGTTCCCGTCTGTCCGCCAGGTAAGCCCACTGTGCCCTGCGGTGATGACCCTCATGCCACCAGCTTCTGCTCCAGCCTTTCTTACTCATTAGGCTCTAGTCTCACTTCTTATTTTTTAAATTGTGAGTAATTTTCATGCTTGGTAGTTGATTTCTTTTCCATCTCTGTATGCATACTTCCTGCACCTAGTAGGCACTTGATTTTTTTTTCTTTGAATACACAGCAGATGCCATGTAAACTCATTAGTACTTGCCTCAGAACACTGAATTCTTACCTGTGTTAAATGCATGAATACATTAAAAACTTTTTAGTTTTACTTAGAAGTATATAAAGTGTAAACTAATCAGTTATGATTGTCATACGCAATAGTTAGAAAACTACTTTGACTTTTTTTTCTTTTTAATAAGCTATAAAGCGTTAACAGCCAGTGAGATAGAAGATCTTAAGCTGGAGAACTCATCATTACAGGAAAAAGCGGCCAAGGCTGGGAAAAATGCAGAGGATGTTCAGCATCAGATTTTGGCAACTGAGAGCTCAAATCAAGAATATGTAAGGTATATAGAGCAAATAATGGCCTTAGAACCATTAAGACAATTTAATGTTGAAAGCCAGCTAGTAACTGTCCCTTGGCTTGCTTTTGGCCATCTTATACTGCAAATTAAGAATTTACTCAGTTAAAAAATGACACTTCTTGAAGAGTTCCTTGAGGTTTAAAGAAAAAAAAAGGAAAAATTAATGAAAGTGGCTATAAAATGTTTAGTGACCTCTTCTCTCTCAAACCAAAGGATGCTTCTAGATCTGCAGACCAAGTCAGCACTAAAGGAAACAGAAATTAAAGAAATCACAGTTTCTTTTCTTCAAAAAATAACTGATTTGCAGAACCAACTCAAGCAACAGGAGGAAGACTTTAGAAAACAGCTGGAAGATGAAGAAGGAAGGTAATCTATGATTAGAACCTGAGTGCCTTGTTAACTCAGTTACGATGTGATTTTTTAAATAACTATGTTTTTCTCAATTTAATTCTTCCATGCAGAAAAGCTGAAAAAGAAAATACAACAGCAGAATTAACTGAAGAAATTAACAAGTGGCGTCTCCTCTATGAAGAACTATATAATAAAACAAAACCTTTTCAGGTTTGTCAGTTAGGAGTAAACTTACTTGTGTTTATTTTAGGGACTCACTTTGTTCCCTATTATAGTGAGGACAGTGACTCGGGTTTTCTGCAAGATCATTTTGCTCTGCACTTACAGTGCCAATTTAGCTCACTATTAAAGGTTTATACATTTTATTAAATTATGCATAATTTTTTCCCACATTATTGAAGTATAATTGACAAATTTAATTGACATAATTTTTTCAATGGACCCTTTGTGGTTTAAAAAAAAACTTTGTAATGTGGAACTTAAAAGTTTGGCTCAGAGGGCTTGCCTGGTATGAGCTTTTGATAATTAACCTATTTTAATTTGTGGTATGACTTATTGCAAATACTCATTGTTTCTCAATATACTGATCTTTTAAAAGAAAAAAGAATAAATGCTGATTTTGGAACTTAGAAGTACAGTATTGGTTATAATGTGGTAATCTAACTGATACAGATAAAACTGGCCAGCTGGCTTTTTTACCTTGTTTCTTTTCCTCTGTTTTAATGATCTTTAAAATGAAAAATACAAAGTTTAAAAGATTCTCATAGAGAATCTATGGAGAGCCCTGAGAATATGTGAACATACCTTGTTTTCATTTGTGTTTTTAATTTTCTTTAGTGTTTATGGTTTATATGAAACTAGTAAGATCAAACTGTTTTAAGTCTTAACTTTATTTAAAAAATCTTTTTCAGCTACAACTAGATGCTTTTGAAGTAGAAAAACAGGCATTGTTGAATGAACATGGTGCAGCTCAGGAACAGCTAAATAAAATAAGAGATTCATATGCTAAATTATTGGGTCATCAGAATTTGAAACAAAAAATCAAGCATGTTGTGAAGTTGAAAGATGAAAATAGCCAACTCAAATCGGTTTGTAAAATGACTTTTCATTTTATTAAAGATATTGGAGTGGGGGTTATTCTAACTATAATACTTAAATAAAATGAATATCTTTGGTATCAGAAAAAAATAACTGTTTATAGAGGAAAATTGAGCTGTGATTTAGTGGATTTATTTTAGAGTGTTGACCAGATGGGCATTCAATGTTCTAAAGTTTTCTAGCTACCTTCTTAATATATTGAAAATTACTTGAGTAATTGGATGAATTCATTAAGCTTTACATATCTATTTCCATTTGCAAAACTGCAAACTCCTTGATGTAAAACCATAAAGAGAAGCAGTGTTCAAAAATATTTGGGCATTTAAATTTTTTAACATATGTATTGAGATATAATTGACAACCCATACAATCCACCCATTGAAAGTGGACAATTCAGTGTTTTTTAGTATACTCACAGATTTGTGCAACCATCACCATAGTCAATTTTAGGACATTTTCATCACCTCAAAATGAAACCTTGTTATCCTTTTCCTAACACTCTCCTATCTCCTCACCCCACCCCACCCTTCAGCCCTAAGAAACCACTAATCTACTTTCTGTCTCTGTTGATTTCCCTATTGTGGACCTGGCATATTCATGGATTCAAATAATATGTGGCCTTTTGTTACTGGCTTCTTTCAGTCAATTAGCATAATATTTTCAAGATTCACCTGTGTTGTAGCATGGAGAGTACTTTATTTTTTTTATAGCCTAATAATTCATTATGTGGGTATACCACATTTTATTTATTCGTTTGTCAGTTGATAAACACTTGTTTGCACATTTTTGGCTATTATGAATAATGCTACCATAAACATTCATGTACAAGTTTTTGTATGGACATTTGTTTTTTCCTGGGACATATTATTTCCCTGGGAAATAATAGGAGGGAAATTGCCAGATCATTTGATAACTCTACATTTAATCATTTCAGGAAGTATCAGACTACATTCAGATGAGATCGGGTGCGTTCAGGGTGGTATGGCCATAGAAAGGTCAGGCTGTATTCAAAAGTGGCTCATACCAATCTATATTCTACAGGCGGTGTACGAGGGTTCCAATTTCTCCACATTCTTACCAACATTTGTTATTATCTGACTTCTTTATCCTAGCCATTGTAGTGGGTATGAAGTGGTATCTCATTAACTTAACTTGCATTTTCTTAATTGGTAATGATGTTGGTCATCTTTTCATGTGCTTACTGGCCATTTGTATATCTTCATGAAAGAAATGTCTGTTTATACTCTGCTCATTTTTAAATTGGATTATTAGTCTTTTTATTATTGTGAGAATTCTTCATCAATTCTGGACACAAGTCTCTTATGTATTATTTGCGAATATCTTCTCCCATTCTGTGCATTGTCTTTTCACTTTCTTGATGATGTCCTTTGACCCAAAAAACTTTTATGACGTCCAGTGTGTCTATTTTTTTGTTTGTTCGTTCCTTGGTATCTATCTCCTCTGCCAAATTCAAGGTCAGGAAGATTTACCCCTGTGTTTTCTTCTAAGAGATTTATAGTTTTAGCTCTTACATTTAGATTATTGATTGATTTTGAGTTAATTTTTGTATGTGGTGTGAGGTAAGGGTCCAGCTTCATTCTTTAGCATGTGGACATGCAATAGTCCCCACACTATTTTTTAAAGAGAATATTCTTGCCTCCAGTTAATGGAGTTAGCATCCAATTAAAAAATCATTTAGACTGTACATGTATGGATTTATTTCTAGACTCTCAACTGTCTTCCATTGATCTATACATCTATCCTTGTGCCACCACACTGTCTTGATTACTGTTGTTTTGTAGTAAGTTTTGAAATCAGGAAGCGTGAGTCCTCTTTGTATTTTTCAATATGGTTTTGTCTATTCTGGACCTCTTGCAATTCTATATTAATTTTGGAATCAGTTTTTCTACAAAGAAACCAGCTGGGATTCTGATGGGAATTGCATTGAATCTGTAGATCAGTTTGGGACATATTATTATCTTCACTAGGTTAAGTCTTCTAATACATGAATATGGGATATTTTTCCAATTATTTAGATCTCATTTAATTTCTTTCAACAATGTTTTATAGTTTTCAGAGTATAAGTTTTCCACTTCTCTTGTTAAATTTATTACTATTTTATTCTTTTTGATGTTTTGTAAATGAAATTGTTAATTTCATTTTTGGATTGTTGATTGCCAGTGTATAGAAATACAATTGATTTTAATATATTTATCTTGTATCCTGCACCCTTGCTAAACTCATTTTAGTTCTAATAGTTTTTTAGTGGATTCCTTAGGATGTTCTTATAGATCATGTCTTTTGCAAATAGAGATAGTGTTACTTATTTTCCAATCTGGATGCCTTTTATTTCTTTTTCTTGTCTAATATCTCTGGCTAAAACCTGTAGTATAATACAGTGTTGAATTTAGAAGTAATGAAAATGGATGGACAGCCTTGCTTTGTTCCTGATCTAGGGGGAAAGCATTCAGTCTTTCTCCATGATATATGATGTTACCTGTATGATGTATATAGCGTGACATTATTAGATGTTGATTTGTTGGCCAGCCGAGGTGGCTTACGCCTATAATCCCAGCACTCTGGGAGGCCAAGGCAGGTGGATCACCTGAGGTCAGGAGTTTGAGACCAGCCTGGCCAACATGGTGAAACCTCGTCTCTACTAAAAATACAAAAGTTAGCTAGGTGTGGCGGCGGGCGCCTGTAATCCCAGCTACTTGGGTAGGAGAATGGCTTGAACCCAGAAGACAGAGGTTGCAGTGAACCGAGATGGAGCCATTGAGCCTGGGAGACAACAGCGAAACAATCTAAAAAAAACAAAGATGTCGATTTGTCATAGATGCTCTTTATCAAGTTGAGGAAGTTCCCTTCTGTTTCCTAGTTTGTTGAGCATTTTTATATGAAAGGGTAATGAATTCTATCAAGTGCTTCTTCTATTTCTATTGAGATTATCATGTAATTTTTTTATTCTGTTGATATGATGTATTTTATTAATTGATTTTTAGATATTAATCTAACCTTCTGAGATAAATCTCACTTGGTTATGGCATATAATTATTTTTATATGTTGCTGAGGGGTTTTTTTCAGCCATATTCCTAAGATATACTGGTCTGTAGGTTTTCTTTGCTTTGTTTTTGTTTTTTTAATGTCTGTCTCATTTTGGTATCAGGGTAATGGTGACATCACAAAATGAGTGAGAAATGTTCCCTCTTTTCTATGTGGAATGGTTTTTGAATAATTGGTATTAATTCTTCATTGAATGTGTGGTAGAATTTATTGGTGAAGCCATCTGGACCTTGGTTTTTCTTGTGAATATTTTTTGGTTACTAATTCAATATCTTTACTTGATATAGGCTTATTCAGATTATCTCTTTCTTCTTGATTCGGTTTTCTTCTTGAGTAGTTTATGTCTTTCTATAAATGTGCCTAATTTGTTGGTATATAATTGTTCATAGTATTCCTTTATAATCTTTTTTTTATTTCTGTAAGGTCAGTAGTAATGGCTTCTCTTTATTTCTGATTCTAGTAATTTGAGTCTTTTTTTTTTAAGTTTCTTTCTTTTTTTAAATTTTTAGTGGAGAAAGAACTTTATTTTTTTGTTTGGTTTTTGGGTTTTTTTAGAGACAGGATCTCACTCTGTCACCAGGCTAGAGTGCAGTGATGCAATCACGGCTCACTGCAGCCTCAACCTCCCTGGGCTCAGGTGATCCTCCCACCTCAGCCTCCCAAGTAGCTGGGACTACAGGCGTGCGCCACCACATCCGGCTAATTTTTCTACTTTTTGTAGAGACAGAGTTTTGCCATGTTGCCCAGGCTGGTCTGGAGCTCCTGGGCTCAAGGAATCTACCAGCTTTGGCCTCAAAATGCTGGGATTATAGGCTTGAGCCACTGCACCTGGCCAAGAACTTTTCTTTTTTATAATTTCATCTTTTATTTTAGATGTGGGGGTACATATGCAGATTTGTTACATGGGTGCATTGCATGATACTGAGGTTTAGGGTATGACAGGTCCCGTCAGCCAGGCAGTAAGGATAGTACTCAATAGGTGGTTTTTCAGCCCTTGTTTAATGGCTGAAAAATCCAACATCCGATTACTCTCAGACATTTTTTCTCCTTGTGTCCAAATGTATAGGTTATACTTTTCTGTTTATTGGCATGCCTTGTAATTTTTCATTGGAAAGTAAATTTTTAGATCATATATTGTAGCATTTCTGGGTACAGCTCCCCCTCCTTTTGGGGGCTTTTTATTTGCTTGTTTGCTTAATGAGTGGCTCAATTATTTTAGGGAAACATATCCCACTACCTCCCCAGACCCCAACAGTATTGTGCCTCTGATGTTGCTGTTCAGGGAGGTACAGTTTTAGGTGTGCCCACAATTACCCTGGGATGACACTTGCTTTGGTAGGGCTGCCTTCCTCTCTTTCCGTGAACATAGTGACTGTAAACTCCAGTAGATGCTGGCTCCTTGCTTGATTATTTGCAACAGTGCCTTAGGGCATAAATTGCTCTATAAACTAATCCAATCAAATTCTGGCTCCTTTGTAGGGATTGCATACGAGAGCAGTGCTGGATATTTATTCTGACTACAGAAGGGCTCGTCCCAGCTGTCATATTCCCTAGTTTTCTCCTGCAAACTAACTAGCCTACTGTTCAGCCTGTATCTTAAATCTCCTCCCATTTCTCTCTCACTATAACCACCACTGTTCTTTAATGGTTCCCCAACCTTTTTGGCACCAGGGACCAGTTTTGTGGAAGGCAGTTTTTCCACAGACCGGATCACCCAGCTTGTGATGGGTTTATGTGGATGGTTTCAGGATTAAAGTGTTCCACCTCAGATCATGAGGCATTAGATTCTCATAAGGAGCATGCAGCCTAGATCCCTCACATGTGCATTTCACAATAGGGTTCACACTGCTGTGAGAATCTAATGCCGCAGCTGATCTGCCAGGAGGGGGAGCTCAGGGGGTAATGCTTATGCTTCCTGGCTCACCACTTACCTCCTGCTCTGCAGCCGGGTTCCTAACAGGCCTTGGATGGGTATTGGTCTGTAGCCCGGAGGTTGGGGACCCCTGCTTTAGAGCACCCTTAGGCTTCAGCTTCTCCAAGCTCTGTTGCAGGTGAAGTCAGTTCCTTTGAAAAGAAATGAGGAGCTCCCTGTTTTATGGCCTACTTGTCTTTTCCGCCCTCCTTTCCCCCTCCCCCGACAATATCCCTGAGCCAGGACTAGAGCTGAAATTGGGGACAATGGCAGTTTTCTCTCTGAGTGACATCCTCTGCCCTAGGAGCTGAGTTTTCAGTGGACTTGTGGGGAAGAGATGAGGAATAGCCTCAGGCCCTCTTGAGTAACCTCCTGGTGTAGAACCATCCCCCTCATGAGCCAGAGAAAGAGTCATCGGGGCCCAGCATTTTCAACACACTGTGCCCAAGGTGAGCCCCTGTTCCATGAATGGGGCTGACTGGAGGAAGGGATCCCCCACCTCACAATTGCATTTGTCCAGGATATAACTGCAGCCACAGGGAGCTGGGGACAAAATGAGAAACTCTGATGTCCTGGTCCTCCTGGGAGGGAAGCTTCTGACTCGGAGTTGGGGGAAAAGAGGGCCCTGTGCTTTTGGCTGTAGCCGTCTGGCGTGGACTTTGCCTTGCTAAGCTGGGAGTGGGAAGAGGGGAAGGAGTTTTGGCTTAAACACTGCAGACTCTCTTTTTCACCAAATTTTTGCAGATTTTCTTGAATAGATGTTTCTTCATTTGCTATTTTTCCCTTAGGTCAATTTTCAGAGGCTTTAACTGGTTAATATTTTATAACTTTTAGTTTCACTAGGGAGCAGGTCAGCAGAACTTTCATGCTGTCATGCCAGAAGTCCATCTCAGCAATTACTTTTGAGTTGAACTTTTATCAGAAAAATAGCTTTGTAGCTGAGGAGGGGCAAGGAGATTTAAAAGACTGTATCTCCTTTGTCACAGCTGTTTCATGTCATTTTGTAATTCAGTCTTAAAGCCTGTGTCTAGTAGTGATTTTTGCTGTTGAGTGTGATAATACATAAACAACTTTGGAATTTGCCCGCAACATTGGTAACACATTTCACTGACATACTCTTTAATAATTGTTTATTACCTATTATTTCTTTTTACCTAGGAAGTATCAAAACTCCGCTGTCAGCTTGCTAAAAAAAAACAAAGTGAGACAAAACTTCAAGAGGAATTGAATAAAGTTCTAGGTATCAAACACTTTGATCCTTCAAAGGCTTTTCATCATGAAAGTAAAGAAAATTTTGCCCTGAAGACCCCATTAAAAGAAGGTAAGACATGAATAAATGTATAAAAGTGTCCTCTTCCTTTGGATTTGCTTTTATAGCATTTAGCAAGTCATCCATTTTATGAACTGTGAAAATTTGTTGACACCTTCTGATAAAAGCAGTTCTTACTGAGATTGTTGTGTACAATGACTGTTTTCTTCCTCCTTCTACGCTTTCTTTTCTGTATACCTGGATTCTGCCTGTTCTTCAAGGCAAATCTCAAATCTTCCTTGAAGCTTTGCATGACTATTTTGTCCCTGTCCACACACCCCAAATTACTCCCTCTATAATACCCTTAGCATTTTAACCTAAATGTCTCTTAGGTCCTTAATCATTTTCTGATTTGTAGTTTTAGAGAAGTAAATTTCTTATTTCTTGACTGTGAATGTTTGTCTTTCACGATAAATTAAAGTTGGTTGAAATGATAAATCTAAAAATTATCTTACAGAATATATTGCTTCATCTGCCTTAAAGAAGATACAAGGCCTGTTTTTAGTTTATAATGATGGATAAATTCGTTTTAATCTAGATTACTAATCCTTCTTTTCAATAATTCTTCTAGGCAATACAAACTGTTACCGAGCTCCTATGGAGTGTCAAGAATCATGGAAGTAAACATCTGAGAAACCTGTTGAAGATTATTTCATTCGTCTTGTTGTTATTGATGTTGCTGTTATTATATTTGACATGGGTATTTTATAATGTTGTATTTAATTTTAACTGCCAATCCTTAAATATGTGAAAGGAACATTTTTTACCAAAGTGTCTTTTGACATTTTATTTTTTCTTGCAAATACCTCCTCCCTAATGCTCACCTTTATCACCTCATTCTGAACCCTTTCGCTGGCTTTCCAGCTTAGAATGCATCTCATCAACTTAAAAGTCAGTATCATATTATTATCCTCCTGTTCTGAAACCTTAGTTTCAAGAGTCTAAACCCCAGATTCTTCAGCTTGATCCTGGAGGTCTTTTCTAGTCTGAGCTTCTTTAGCTAGGCTAAAACACCTTGGCTTGTTATTGCCTCTACTTTGATTCTGATAATGCTCACTTGGTCCTACCTATTATCCTTCTACTTGTCCAGTTCAAATAAGAAATAAGGACAAGCCTAACTTCATAGAAACCTCTCTATTTTTAATCAGTTGTTTAATAATTTACAGGTTCTTAGGCTCCATCCTGTTTGTATGAAATTATAATCTGTGGATTGGCCTTTAAGCCTGCATTCTTAACAAACTCTTCAGTTAATTCTTAGATACACTAAAAATCTGAGAAACTCTACATGTAACTATTTCTTCAGAGTTTGTCATATACTGCTTGTCATCTGCATGTCTACTCAGCATTTGATTAACATTTGTGTAATATGAAATAAAATTACACAGTAAGTCATTTAACCAATTAATTTTTCAGCTTGTATTTTATGAAGTTACATTCATGCTTCTATGTAAGATGTATTTATCATCTCTACCCTACCCACACCACCTTGTCCCCAGAATCACAAAAGATACTGTTTGGAAAGTGGTAAATCTCTCTCTAAAATGCCTGTTTTGCACATATCATTGGTATGATATTTATAAGCTACCTTTTTTATAATGTGTTCTCACTGATGGCTCAACAGGGACTATCAGTCAGAATTGCTTTTCATTATTATTTTATTAGATCTTAATACATGGTTGAATTTTAAAATACAGTTTTTTAAATTAAGTTCAGAAGAAACGTAGAAATTAGAAAAATTGTCTAATAAAATAAAATGGTTTAATGGGCTGGGCCCAGTGGCTCACGCCTATAATCCCAACACTTTGGGAGGCTGAGGCAGGTGGAATTCAAGACCAGCCTGAGCAACATAGTGATACCTCATCTCTAAAAAATATATAAATAAATAATAAAATGCTTCAGGACCTCTACTTTTAGCCAACATGGGGTAACAAGATGAACAACCAGGTGCACTGCCCAAAGTTCTGCCCACTGGGAGGATTTCTCTTTACCACTATCCTTCAGGGATGTCCCAGAGAAGGGCTGGTGTACTATGGCTATCCACTTTCAGGTGATGCCTACATATCACACAGAACCATCTATAAACTAGGCCCATGTTGTTTCTTCCTGTCAACTCATCATAGGGAACTCTCCATGAGCTTGGGAGAAAAAAGGCAAGGTAGCAGGAACAGGGACCATGGGCATTTGGGTCACTTCTTCATGTAACTTGCTTTTGCCTTCAGGTCCTGCCTGGGCCCAGTCACATACATAACACGTTCTTTGATGATGTACTCCTGCTGTCCACACCCAGCATTATGGCTTGTGGGTCAGATAACACCCAGCTCATGATGGGCAGCTCAGGTCGCATGGTAACTTAATTGACCACGGTAAGCATTCAGTCCCTACTGAAGCCCAGCAGTAGGCCCAGAGCTGTTTCTCAAAAGAGTAGTTATCTGCATAGGATAACAGGTCTTTCTTCAAAATACTAAGGGTCTGCACTGAGATTCATCTATGTGGGCCTGCCAAAGGTTCCAACAGCATCTCTATCTGCCACTGACACTTCAAATACCACTGGATCTGCAAGTTCATATGTCCCAAGCAACAAAGCCGCTTACACAATAGCCTGGACCTATTGCAGAACCTTTCCTATTCTGAGTCCTACTCCAAACTAGCAGCTTTTCAAGTCACTCAGTAAATGGGCCAGAGTAACAAACTCAAATGAGGAAACGTCTTCAAAATCCAAAGAGGCCTGCCGCATGTCATGCCTCTTCTGGTTGTAGGAGGGGGCAGATGCAAAAACTTACCTTAGAAGGGGTATCTCAACATGCCTCATACCACTGGACCCCTAGAAATTTTACTGAGACATGAAAAAGCCTTTGAATTTTTGTTGGATTTACTTCCCACTTCTGACATGCAAATGTCTTACCAATAGGTCTGGAGTAGTTGCTATGTCTCACTCATTAGGTCCAGTGAGCATAATGTCGTCAATGTAATGGACCAATGTGATGTGGAAAGAAAAGGCAATCAAGATTCCTGTGAACAAAATTAGGACAGGGCTGGTGAGTTGATATGCCCTGAGGTAGGACATGAAGGTGCATTTCTAGCCTTGCTAGCTAAAAGCAAACTGCTTCTGGTCGGCCTTATAGACAGGGATGGAGAGAAAGGCATTTGCCAGATCATACCAGGTAGCTGCATACCAGGAACCAGGAGTTGTGTTAATTTGCTCAAGCAATACATCTGGTACTGTAGCTGCAATTGGAGTCACCACCTAGTTAAGTTTGTGATAATCCATCTGTCTTCTGCCCAGGCTAAATAGGCGAGTTGAATGGACATATGGTAGGAATCACCACCCCGCCTTCCTTCAAGTACTTATGGTGGCACTAATCTCTTCAGTCCCTATAGGAATTGAGCATTGCTTTTGGTTTACTATTTTCCTAAGTACAGATAGTTCTAGTGGCTTCTACTTGGCCTTTTCCACCATAATAGCCCTCACTCCATAGGTAAGGAAACCAATGTGTGGATTATTCTGTCAGCTGCTGACTGTATTCTAATTATACATTCTAGAACTAGGGGATAACCACAGGATAGGTTCAGGAATTCACTGGGCCCATTGTGAGATGGAACTAAGCTAAAACTCTGCTGATCACCTGACCTCCATAAGCTGCTACCCTGACAGTAGCACTTTGGATCTCCTGAAATTAGTGTCACTTCAGAGAGCCAGTGTCCACTAGTTCACAAAAGATCTGATTATTCCCTTTTTCTAATGCACAGTTACGTTGGTAAAGGTTGTACATCCCTTTGCGGAGGACTAGGAGAAAGACTAACAGTATAAACATTTGGTTATGGACCAGGGTCCCTTTGAGGTCCTCCCCTTCAATCAAAGGGTTTTGGGCTCTATAAAGTGGCTCAAGTTTGGGAATTAAGGGACCACGATTCTGTTTTTATGATTCGAGTTCAACTTTCGTCACTTGACTTAGAAGTTTTCTGCTTATACAGATCAAGTTAAGACTTCAGTAGGCTTCCTATCTATTTCACGTCTAGGAAAACCATGATCAACTAGCCAAAGCATAGGTCTACAAGTGAGATTATTCTAATTGTTCCTTTGGCTCTGTCATTATGATAACCACTTCACCTTGCCTTTGGTGGTTGAGTCCCATTACTTGACCCTTGCCACCCTGGGATCCTTTACTTCCATTATATTTAGGTTTTCCAGTTCAGTGACTGCAGTGAGCTCTGGCCTACAGAGAAGAGCCATCACAGAGTTCTGAAAAAGATGCTGGAGCTCTCCTCGCAAATTTCTTTCTCATAGTATTGGTGAAAGGTATGCTTTCTTGACCTTCCCAGTGTGGATGAGTAGTTCTTTTTTTTTTTTTTTTTTTGAGACGGAGTCTCGCTCTGTCGCCCAGGCCGGACTGCGGACTGCAGTGGCGCAATCTCTGCTCACTGCAAGCTCCGCTTCCCGGGTTCACGCCATTCTCCTGCCTCAGCCTCCCGAGTAGCTGGGACTACAGGCGCCCGCCACCGCGCCCGGCTAATTTTTTGTATTTTTAGTAGAGACGGGGTTTCACCTTGTTAGCCAGGATGGTCTCGATCTCCTGACCTCATGATCCACCCGAGATGAGTAGTTCTTAAGTGAAAAATCTAATTTCCCAATATTCCTAAACCTTTTAATCCCATCCTCTAGATTAAACCAAGGCATGTCCAGCACTTCCAATTCATCTTTTCCATGTTTTAGTAAGCCAATCAAACTGTGAGCACCCTTTCTAACTCCCCAAGCTGCAATGTTAAATGCAGAATCTTGGCTTAGTGAGCCCATGTCAATAAATTTGACCTGATCCAACTTTATGTTCCTTCCATCATTTTCCAACACCTTTATTATCCATTCCGACATATGTTCCCAGATTTTTGTCTGTATAAATTAGAGACTTTGAGTAACTCTTTGGAGTATAGCACATCTCTTCATAGGTAACACTTTGTTCCTGTCTAGTTTCAGGTCTAGAAGCAAAGAAGGGTGGTGGAGTTGGGTCTGGAGGAGAACCAACATTGTCTTGCATATCAACTGCCTCAAAGGAGGCCATTACAATTTCCTCAGGCAATGCAGTGTTAATCATCACAGACAGGTTGGAGGGTACTATCACTGGAAATGGAGAAGCTGCTTCCAATGGGGTTGAGAAGCCTCTCCACTAGCAAAGAAGACTCATCAGAATTTAGGGGCTTAATGTCCCCAGCTTCATCAAGGTCTTCCCATATGTCCCAATCCTAATTTACAGAATCCCATTTTTTTTTCAGTAAGTGCCCTCCTTTTGACAATAGTCACTCTGCAAGGCTGGAATTCTAATTTGTGTTGTAATTCAGCCAGTCACAGGATGAGATGCTGTGTTTGATTTTCAACAGTCTCAGCTCTGGGGCTACAGGAGATAGGGTTTTCTTCAGGGTGCACATAGAAGCTTTCAGATTATTTATGGAGCACTTGAGCTGGGAATAAAAATCCCTACACTCACTTTTGCACCACTTTATCCAGTGACATTAGAAACAACCAACTGTCCTCATTATACTCATTATGAGGCAGAATAGGTAGTCAAGGAAGTAAACATGCCCTTGGTATGCAGCAACTGTGGCTTACTGCACCACATACTTTAACAAAATAAGCCCCAGCATTCACATTGTAGTCAAGCTAATTCAAGCAAAGCTATCTTCAGTAGGAAATTTCCCTGTATATAGCATATACATTTTGATTTTACCTATCCTCAGCCTGACCCTTTGTTCATTATAATAGTAAAAAACCCACTGCTGGGTGGAGATTTAAGATGCTAATGAGACATGCGATATATGAACAAGCATGTACAGCTACTGCTCTTGTGCACCCAGAGGACCACCCAGAACATGCTTACTAGTAACACCTCTTCCCACCCCCTTATGATTAATCATGTAAGACTCCCAGAAAGGGAGTCTCCCTAGTGCCAGTCTTTATGATCTCATCCTTACCAGCAGCCTGTACTGAATCCTCTCTCTAAGGATGTACTATCTATTGTGCACTTAACTTTCAAAATATTCTTTTTCCTTTGCAATGAATTGTTTAATGCTGCAACTTCTCCACTCTGTGTCTCTTAAGTTCTTTTAGACTAAGAAGACAAGAACAAAGGTTTCATAACAGCCATCAACAATTAGTTTTCCAAAAATCAAAAAAAAATATCATATACACAGTTAGCCAGCTCCTTGCCTCTTATAACTGGCTGATTAGAAGTGGCCAATGCAATTATTTTGTGTATTTCTATTGCCAGATCATGCTATGCACTCAGTGCTCACTTTACTAACTGGAAAGAATCATTAACACGTTTAATAAGATCAGAGTACCAATCCCAAGAACCCTGGAACCATCAGGAAACTCATCCTTAACATTCTGTCCCTCTAGAACAACTCTTGGTACCAAAATCTGTATTAGTCACAGTTCTCCAGAGAAACAGAACCAGTAAGAGATACATAGAAAAGTTGATTTACTATGAGGAATTGGCTGACATGATTATGAAGGCTGAGAAGGCTTGCAACCTGCCATTTGCAGGCTGGAGACCCAGGAAAGCAGGTGTTGTTCAGTACAAGCTTGAAAGCCTGAGAACCATCATAGCAGAAGGTATAAGTCTCAGTCCAAAGTCAGCAAAAGACTGGGGTCAGGAAGAAGGGATTAATTCTCCCTTCCTTTGTTTTTTGTTCTACTCAGCCTTCAATGGACCCTCAATCAGCTTTAGTGCATCCACTAATTCAAATATTAACCTCATTCAGAAATACCCTCACAGACAGCCCCTGAAGTAGTGCCCACGGTCAACCTATGATCTAGTCAAGTTGATGTATAAAATTAAACATAACAATTAAACATCACACTGGGTTTGGGAACTGAACACCCTGTCTAGTCTAACTCATGCCCTATTGATCTACAATAAATTTTAACCTTGAATACTTGTTCGTGTTTCACACTGTTGACAAGAGAGGACAGAGGTCAGGATGCCCTGCCTCCTTCCTCAGTATCATTCTTTCAGATCCTCTTCTTGCTACTGTTCATGACTTCTATGTGAACACCCCCTAAAACAGGGTGAGAAGGATGACAGAGGTGGTGAAAATACGAAACTAGGCCCCAGAACCTATTTGTGGGTGAAGCTGGACCCCAAGACATCTATCCTTATGAAGGTTTTACTTGAGACTCCAACACTAGCTTATTCATTAGTCCTTTAAATTAGGAGTCATCTAAGCTCCCATCACAAAGCAAATTTCAACAAATAGATTTTCCAGAAACTGTTACAACAAAGAGGGTGGGGTCAATACCTTGTCTCTTCATCTCTAGCCACAGTAACATTCATCCATTTTCCAACCTATTGTCTCTTCATCCATTAGGACTTTGTAGTTTTCAAGAAAAACGGTGAAAGCCAAACTAATTATCTTTAACAAGTGAATAATTATATACACATAGCCCACTGATTTGAATTGTTTAAAATCAATTCTCTTTTCTGGGAGAAACAATTTTAAAAAGTATTATCTTCATGTATTTACACACTTAAGAATTTAGTGGTCTGAGGATAAAATAGATTCACTTATAAGTCATGCTTTTGATTTTGATTATACTGCATTTCATTTATTCATTCATTTACATATTCAAAAATATTTATAAAATATTCATCCAGTGCCAGGGACTGAATTTGGTGCTGATACACAGAGGAGAACAAGACTTTGCCCCTTGCGTTTTTAAGTGAAAGGTGATAGATGTGAAGTAAATAATGGTCACACACACTTTTTTAATGGTAAAAAAATAAAGGTATAGGATACTGTGAGAGAGGAAAACATGAGGGTCTAAATAAGATTGGGGTGTATACTATTTGAGGAGAAAGGCAGACAAGGAAGGTAGAGTCAAAGATGCGGCACAGATCCTGCAGGGCCTTGTAGATGGGAAGTTACTGAAAGGTTGTAAGCAAGTAGTAAAATAACCTGAACTGTCTTTAAAGGATTATTCAGTCTGTGGTAGTGCAAGCAGATGTCTGGATATGCCAAAAGTGAAAGCCGAAGTAAGTCTTTCCAGTGGCCCTAATGGTCCTAACAGATCTACAATCTCACACTTCCACTCGCTTCCCTCTCTGGCTTTTTTCCTTCTCCTTCTCCTTCTCCTTTTATTTATTTATTTATTTATTTGAGACAGGGTCTTGCTCTGTCACCCAGACCGAAGTGCAGTGGTACACTTCCTGGCTCACTGCAGCCTCAACCTCCCAAGCTCAAGTGATCCTCCCACTTCAGCCTCCCAAGCAGCTGGGACTACAGCTATGTGCCACTATGCTCGGCTAATTCTTTTGCATTTTTTTTTTTTATGAAGATGGGGTTTCATCATGTTGCCCAGGCTGGTCTCAAACTCCTGGGCTCAAGCAATCTACATGCCTCAGCCTCCCAAAGTGTTGGGATTACAGGTGTGAGCCACCTGGCCCAGCTTTCCCTATTTTATTCTTTTTAGCCACACTGGACTCCTTGCAGATGCTTGAGCACATCAGGCTGAGTAGGCCTATCTTCTGTGCACTTGATTCATCTGCCTGGAATGTTCTCTTATCATATATTTTTGAAACCACTGAAGGGAGGAAGCTCCTTGGACCTGCTCTCTGGGAAACTGTGATGCAGAGATCTGGCTGACTTCTCTGATGTATAGCCTGAGTGGGAAGTAAAAACTTTCCAAGGTTAAGCACGGTGATCTTGGATTTGTTACCTTAGTGTAAAACTAGCCAATCTTGACAAATAAATACCATAGTTAACAAAGCAGACAAAAAATATTAATTTTTAATAAAAAGCTTTAGTCTTTAAATATTTTTCAATCTGTTAATTTAAAATATTGTCAAGTTTAATTTTCATTTTCTTGACTACTGGTAAGTTCCAGCATGTTGTCCTGTGTGTTTTTGCCTTTTGACTTTTATTAACAACGAATTGCTTTTTACATTTGATCTTATTTTCCTTCAGTTTGTCTTTTGGCTTTGTTAATTATCATTATTGTTGTTGTGCAGCTTTTTACAAAAATCTATGCAGTTTAATTTATTGATATTTTCCCTTTTGGTTTCTAAATGCCATAATATGGTTATAAAAGGTTTCCTCACGTCAAGATTATTTTATATATACTCTTCTAATGCTTTTGTTCCACTTTTTTAGTTTAACTTTTGTTTAACCATGATAAATGAAACAATAATAGTTCAACTTTTTAAATTTGTAAAGTACTTATTTTAGTATAAGTGAATTAGAATCCAGCCTTATTTTTTTTCAGTTTCCACACAAAGCATTGACAGCCTTATTTTTTTAATGATCCATTTTAAATTTACTATGTTTATCCCCTAATAAATTTTCATATGCATACTTGAATCTAGCTGAGTTAATTAGTGTAATAGTATCTTTCAGACAAACTTGGGAGGTTAAGAGGAAGATTAGGTTTGGGAGACAAGATGACAATAAATTAATTTAATCTATTTTAGAATTTCACATAAGTAAAATCATACTCTTTTGTATTTAGTTTCTTTTACTCATCATAATGACTTTGAGATTCATTTACATAGTTCATTTCTTTGTATAGCTAAGTAATATTCCACAGTATAGATACACCACTATTTGTTTACCCATTCATCTGCTGATGGATGTTTATGTTGTTTCCAGTTTTAATCTGTTTTGAATTAAGCTGCTATGAATATTCTTGTGTGAGTCTTTATAAATATATGTTTTATTTCTCTTGGGTAAGCACCTAGAAGTAGAATTACTGGGTCATGGAATAGGTGTATGTTTTTTGTTTGTTTCTTTGTTTGTTTGTTTGTTTTTGAGATGGAGTCTCTCTCTGTCACCCAGGCGTGAGTGCAGTGGCACAATCTCGGCTCACTGCAACCTACGCCTCCCGGGTTCAAGCGATTCTCCTGCCTCAGCCTCCTGAGTAGCTGGGATTACAGGCACACGCCACCACACCCACTAATTTTTGTATTTTTTTCAGTAGAGACGGGGTTTCTTCATGTTGGTCAGGCTGGTCTCTCACTCCTGACCTCATGATCCACCTGTCCCGGCCTCCCAAAGTGCTGGGATTACAGGCATGAGCCACTGCGCCTGGCCAGAATAGGTGTTATGTTTAACTTTATTTTATTTTATTTTCTTCCTTTTTTTTTCTTATTGTTCTTATTTCTCTGAGGCATACATGTAACCTTATAAAAACTGCCAGTTTTCTAAAGTGGTTGTATCATTTTATACTCCCTCTAGCAATAAAAGAGCATTCTAGTCATTCAAAATGCTTGTTAGTGAAGGAGTTGAGAATATACTACTCCAAAATATGCCACACTGGCATTTTGACTATTTTAAGTTAAATATGCTTAAAAAACAGCAGGCACAAGAAGATCACCGTGACCTTTCTTCTGTTTCTTAAAAGCAGATGAAATTCTCACATGAATGATGCCCTCCCGTACCAGAAGTAAAGTAACATTCCTATCACCAAAGACAGGAAGTTAATGCCAAGATAATTCTGTACCAACCTTATTAAAATAACTGATCTTCTAGCCTCAAAAATTTACTTTTTCACAATTTAGTATTCTGTCTAATTTGGTATTTAATTGCAACTCTAACTCCATCTTTGGGTCTTCACTTCCTTTGGAAGGGCCCATGCCACATTAAGTTTGTATAAAATAGTCTTGTATGTTGATCTACCTTAATTTAATTCTTAAGTCTAGCCAGAAAACCCTGAAAAGGTGGAAGTAAAATTTGCCTCCCTTATATTATCATTTGATGCTTTCAGTCTTTAACTTTGGCCATTCTGTTAGGTATGTAATGGTATCTTGATGTGGTTTTAATTTGCTTCTCTAATGTTGAGCATCTTTTTATGTACTTATCGGCTATTCTTATATCTTCCTTTTTAAAGTGTTGTCTGAACTGGGCGCTGTGGCTCATGCCTGTAATCCCAGCACCTTGGTAGGCTGAGGCAGGCGGATCACTTGAGGTCAGGAGTTCGAGACCAGCCTGACCAACATGGTGAAACACCGTCTATACTAAAAATACAAAAATTAGCCGGGTGTGGTGGCATACACCTGTAATCCTAGCTACTCAGGAGGCTGAGGAAGGAGAATTGCTTGAACCCGGGAGGCGGAGGTTGCAGTGAGCCGAGATCATGTCACTACATTCCAGCCTGGGCAGCAGAGCGAGAGTCCGTCTTAAAAATAATAAATAAGGGCCGGGCGCGGTGGCTCACGCCTGTAATCCCAGCACTTTGGGAGGCCGAGGCGGGTGGATCATGAGGTCAGGAGATCGAGACCATCCTGGCTAACAAGGTGAAACCCCGTCTCTACTAAAAATACAAAAAATTAGCCGGGCGCGGCGGCGGGCGCCTGTAGTCCCAGCTACTCGGGAAGCTGAGGCAGGAGAATGGCGTGAACCCGGGAAGCGGAGCTTGCAGTGAGCCGAGATTGCGCCACTGCAGTCCGCAGTCCGGCCTGGGCAACAGAGCGAGACTCCGTCTCAAAAAAGAAAAAAAAAAAAAAATAATAATAATAATAATAAATAAATAGCGTTGTATGGCAGATGCACCTGACAGCAATAACTTTAAGCATACCCTGAGAATACCCTGTGGTCTAAGAAGAATGTGTGCTTGGAGCTAAGGAATCCGGGAATGGCCAAGGCGAATATTCACTCCTTATCTGTGGAGCTGCTTGGGAGGCTGAGGCTGTAGAATTACGTGGGGCCCAGGAGTTCGAGGCTGCAGTGAGCTGTGATGGCACCACTGCTCTCCAACGTGGGTGACAGAGGGAGACCCTGTCTTGAAATAATAAAAATAAATAAATTATGCCCAGTTAGCCACTTGGGATCCATCTTGAAGGACTGGCTTTTTCAGGTTCACATTTGTTCACAAATGCAAACACACACACAACAATTCCTCATAATTTATATTAATAGATTTCTCTGAATGCCTCTTAGAGTTTACCATGCGCTGTGTGCTCTAAATGAATGTAACATTAAAAGTCAGATGATTTTTTTAGTTCAATTTGAATGGCAATTTTTGATGTTCTTAAATTGGTACAGAGCCATAATTCAGAATAGCGGTGCAAAGCTCACTGAGCACGTTCATGACCCTTGAAAGTCTTCGAAAACAGATTACTGGGCTTCGCTCCCAGAGAATGATTTCGTTTCTTAGGTTCTGTGGTGCAGGCAGGTTTGGAAATCACTTATCTAGAAGTCCTTAATGCTTTGTGAAACTTAAGGCCGCTCACTCCATCTACCATTTTCTCAGAGGGCAGCATAGTATTAATGGAAATGACCCGTTGCATTTTACTTCTTGCGTGCTGTTACCACCACTGCCTTTTACTCTCCTTTGAAATAATTAAAAGCACTGGGAAGGGAAAGCACTGGAGAATTTTACTAAACATAATCTGTTGCAATAAGGTGTAACTAAATAAAATGATAGAAAACTGTGCCTTTTAGAACAGGAATCAACTGCATGATCTGTGTGCTTTCCAAAAGTGTGGCTCACTCTTCTTTTGCAAAAGAAAACTACAAGGAATCTTGACAGGAAGTTGTTGGGTTTTTGTTTTTGTTTTTGTTAAGTAGTTAGTTCTACCAAATAGTTTTGCAAATAGACCCAGGCTTGACTGGCAATTAAACATGAAACTTCTCATTGGGTATTTTCGAGACTACTACGGGGAATCAGCTACCAGCTTACTGCCATGTGGAGAACTGCACGAGATTCCGGGATTGGAATCAAAATGCTAATTTAAAAGGTCAAGTGAAGCTGCTCCTCACGTTTTGGCGTGCCTGCGCTCTCTGCAGGCAGAAGCGAACAAAGACCCAGCAAGAGAAGGCAGAGGCTAAGACCCATCCCGTATCTGCTCTCCTGAAATAATTCTGGAGTCATGCCTGAAATGCCAGAGGACATGGAGCAGGTAAGAACTAGCAATTCAAGAAATGAAGCATTCTAGAGTAAGAGATGCTTTAAAAGCATTCCAGTGAACGCCTGCTAAAACCAGAATTGTTGTGTAAAGAAAATAGAAACGGGTGTCATTCATTTCCTTAAAACATAACCTCGGGACATGGAAGAATAAGCCAACTTTAGTTACTGACCCGGAGAACCAGGTTATGAAGGGCTCAGCTAAGTCTCACTAGCTGACAATACAGAATTGCACTTTCATTTACCATTTTAAATGCAATTATGTATATAAAGTTTCTACATAAATAAGGATTTTATCTGTAGTGTGTTCCTTTCCAGATGTTCTTTGTCTTTGTATGAATTGAATCTGCTAACATAACTTTTAGTTTCAGGCTGCTCTCTTTAAATGTATAGACTTAGCCACCACACGAAGTTGTATATTGTCTATGTTAAGAATGGCGTTTGATTCGCATAGACCCTACCATCATTAAAGAAAATGATTAAAAACCATATCCAAACATATGCCCCTAGAACTGTACCCAACTTTTACGGGGAAAGTATCAAGTCAGATTTTCAAAAGCAGCCAAGTTAAATTCTTTCTGTTCCTCAAGACTAGGCTGCTCTGAGAATCAGAATGCTAATTGCATATGCTTGCCCTTAAACCTGCTTCACGTTGAAGAATGAAGAATTAATTTTCTTTTCTCCCATAGAAAGGTAAGATTACATCACGTGTTGCGACTAGAAACTTTAAACCGAATTCCCAGTTAAGAGAAAAAGTAGTAAGATGATCTTGGCTGCTCCCCCGGCCCTCTTCCCGCCCTCTTCTTTGTTGTCCCCTGATTATGCTTGTTTAGCGCTGGGGCAGTCCTCAAGGATTCCCTAAATAAAGCCAAACTAATGAACAGTAATAGCCTGTGTTTAAAAAAAAAAAAAATCGGAACATAAGAAACCTCAGGCTGTCTTCGATTACTGTTCTAGAGAAACTTTATGTTTACACGAATAAGGAAATGAGTTTTTGTTGGGGGTTGAGGAGGAAGGAAAGTCATGGTGTTCTGACGTGGAAAACTTCTTTAAAAGGCTGCTTAGTCTTTAGTTTGAAAATAAACCAAAAAGGTTTAGGAGTCGGGGAAAGGCCCTAGGAAAATCCAGACAGTGGTCACGTTTGTGGACGACGTTTAGAGCTTGCTATCCTGGGCACACAAGAACCCTTGGACTGTTCGGTGCAAAGTTGGCAAATCCTACACGGCCTGTGCCAGGGTTTACTTTCTGCATCAATTTCACAGGCGTCCAGCCTGGCTGAGGATTTTTTGCGGTTTTTAACTGGAAGGGAAATAAGTCGGCATCAGCACTTAGGGCTGCTTAACTTTTAAAAGGTGGTAGAACGCCCAGCCTTACACGCTGCTGCTTAAATTCTCGGTGCTCACCAAGGCTGGGCTCGTGTGGCCCAATCCTGCAATCCCCGAGGCGGTGTTTCTTAAAGAGTGGGCTTGATTCTGGTTAAACCCATTAAGAAGTCGGACCCCGGGCTCGTTTCTTGTTCTGTAATTATGGGTAAAGTCCAAGGATCTGCGTTTTGAAGAGGTACCTAAGTAGTTCATCTTCCTTCCCCCTACAACTTTTTATTTTTAATTAGTTAAAAATAGTTTTACATTTTTGATATCTCACACACAGGTTTTTTCTTTTTTTAAGCATCCCAGGAAGACAAATGGCTCAGACGCCAACCCTTTTATTTTTATTCCTTGTCTTTTTCTAAATCTTTCAAAACCCCCACCTAGAGCTCTAGAGATGTGTCCATTATGCTCTACCCACCTCCGCCCCCGCCCCCATGACTTTAAAATGCTTTTTATTCCACTTTTTATATTGCTCAGTCGATCCTCATGCACTGCGCAGTCTGCAAACTTGAAACTCAAGGCGATCCACTTCAATCTTTTCCCGAGTCAAGAAAAAAAGGAAAAAAAGTAGAATAAAAAGCACTCAAATAAAATCTCCGAAACAAAACCTGAATTCACTGCCTAAGGTCAGGGCCTTTCTTTTGTGTGTCGCTTTAAGCATCGGCGCGTGGGCTGGGGGCAGACCGCGCGTACCCGCCCTCTTTCTGGGGCGTCGGCGGAGCGTGGCCAATCAACGGGCGCGGCTATGGCAGCGGAAGCCGGAAGCGGCGAGCGGGGTCGTTCTGGGCCTAGGGGAGGCGGGCCGAGGGCGTCTGAGCTGAGGCCCGCGTCGATCCTGGGTTGGAGGAGGTGGCGGCCGCTGAGGCTGCGGCGTGAAGACGGCGGGCATGGTGGGGCGGGAGAAAGAGCTCTCTATACACTTTGTTCCCGGGAGCTGTCGGCTGGTGGAGGTGAGGGAGTCGGCCTGGGCGTCTCCGGTGGGAGCGGGGGCGCCGAGGGGGACGAGCCACCGGGGCTCGGGCGGCTTTGCAGGCGTATTCCGCCCGGGTCAGAGCCTCCGGCCGGGAGTGGTCTCACCGCCACCCTCCCAGCCCCGGATCCGAGGGGGGCGCCACCGAGTTTGTTTATCTCAGCGCACACGGGTCAGTGTTTTTTTCTTCCAGCCACTGCGGCAGGAAGCAAGTAGGTGGAGGTTTTACTTTCGAGTTCTGTCTCTGCTCCTGAGGACGAAGAGGTTTTTCAGAATTGTTTGTTTTGATTTTGGTTTTCCCCGTTTATTCATCTTTGGTTCGTATTTCTCGATCTTACAAGTTCGTAGGTTTGAGAAAGAACAGGAAAAGGTGACTTCTCACAAATAACAGTGCTGGAGATGACAACTTATTGAACTCTTAAGTTCTCAGCACTATGTTATGCACTTGACGGGCATTACTTTAATCCTCCACTGTGAGATACTTGTTATTGCCTCATTTTGTAGACGAGAAAACGGGCATAGAGGGTGAGACATTGGCCCAGGTTCATTCCGTAAGGTTGGAGCCTGGAATTCAGATACAGGTTTGTGTGACTGTCTTGGGCTTTGAACCACTACGGAGTTTCCCTGAAGGAAGATTATGGTGATGATTGGAAGATCCATCTCTGGTGCCCCCCTCGCCCCCGTCCCATCCTGCTCCATTCCACTTAAGGGCCTCCAGCATTAATCTGTCCACAGAACATATCCAACCCTGGGGATAAGAACACTACTAATGCCCAGACCATGTCTTTTGGAGAGAGTAGAGAATATAGGAGATGGCTGTTTCTGTTATTGCAAAGTTTTCATGCTTCCAAATTTACTTAGGGTTTTCAAATCACTTTGGTTCTTTGAGGGTAAAGTTAGGATAAATGGTCTATTAAACCTCTATGTTCCTAGGTCCTCCAGACCGTGCTGAGTGCATGTTACATACGTTTACATTTATATGTATGCATTTGTATGTGTACGTGTGCATATAAAGCTTAATCTACTTTCACAAAAAGAAGTTCAGTATAAAAATGAAAATAGCTTTTCGTGTTTTCCTTCATTAAAAATGAAACAACGAAGAGCTTGGCACAGACTTACTGCTCTCAAAACCTGTAGAATTAAAGCTTACTGACTCATGAGAACGAGAACTGTCTCATAGTTAACGTTAGAGAAGCATCCTGGAGTGGTTGTTGTTAGTAATACTGTCTGTGGAGCACAGTAGCGTCGCAGTAGAAGTTAGACCAATCCCACCTAAGTAGTCAGAGAATCTTAAAAAGTAAAGCCCAGTAATGTTTACCTTAAGGGTCTGTTTCTGGGGAATTAAAAAATTAAACATGGAACTGTGCCAAGTTTTAAAGTTTCCAAAAACGACAAGGTATTTACCACTGAAATTTGGGAAAACCACATACTAATAGTATTCCATTCTTTACTTTTCTAGAACATTTTTAGTAGACATTAATGCAGGTGTGCTAAAGTAGAAATCACTGTCCCAGAGTACTGTGTTGGACCATTTGGAAGGAGCCATGTATCTCCCATTACCTATACAATTTGGTATCATTCGATTAGATACGATAATAAGAATATTTATTTATATGTACTTAATTTTTCAAGAAATGTTTTTTTGGTGTCCATAAATCTGGTCCCTTGGAGTGATTGAATTCCGTACTTCAGAGTTTAGACAATAAGAGGCAGATACGTTTAGAGTAACTTAAACTGATATTAGATCTACTTTCCCCCATATAATAAAAATTGAGAAAAAGTAGACTTCAGGCAAAGTATTATCAACTCTTTATTGTGCCTTGAGTGAACTAGATAGCATTTTATTCTTTCATTCTGACTTTCTTAAAGTGTTTAGACATTTCTTCCTTGTGCACAACTAAAATAATTTATGGAGTGCAGGTCCAAAGTAGTTTTTAGAGGGATATTTCTTTTTCTAAAGAACGAACCAAAAAGCCTCAACAAAACAGTGTAAAAGGCAGAGTATTGCTTATATAGAAGCTCAAAAACAGAGATATTTGTTTGGCATATTTTAAATTTCGGAGTAATGCATATTCAGAGGAAAAGTTACCTTATTTAAGTAAACGAAACTATTCGGACTCCTCGTGGTAGGGATAATATGGAAAATGTTAGAAATATAGAACTTTAAAGCTGAAAGAGCCTTAGTCATTTTGTCTAAATGCCTTCCCCATTTACCAATGAGGAATTAGATCAATAGAGATAGAATAACTTCTAAACACCAATTTGTGGCAGAACAGATAAAACTTTAATCATTCATGAAACCAAATATTAGTTCACAGGATTGAGACAAAATGCAGTGTATTTGACTTGACCAGAGAAGCAAGACTCAGGTTCTGGTTCCAGCTTTTTCTCTTTTACTATAGACAAAACATTTAACACTGGACTTCTTGTTACTCTCTTTGGAAATAATATCTCTTCTAACAAGCTGCTGGGTTTTTTTGTTTTCTTTTTTTTCCTCTTGCTCTTTCACCCCGTCTGAAGTGCAGTGGCTCAATCTCTGCTCACTGCAACCTCTGCCTCCAGGGTTCAAGCGATTCTCCTGCCTCAGCCTCCCAAGTAGCTGAGATTATAGGCGCCCACCACCATGCCCGACTAGTTTTTCTATTTTTGGTAGAGACAGCGTTTCACCATGTTGGCCAGGCTGGTTTTGAACCCCTGACCTCAAGTGGTTGGTCCACCTTGGCCTCCCAAAGTGCTGGGATTACAGGCGTGAGCCCTGGCACCCGGCCTCAAACTGCTATTAAAAAAACAAAAACAGCTATGATTGTATACTTATATAACACGTTAGTTTTCTTTTTTTTGGTTTTTTTGTTTGTTTGTTTTTTTGAGATGAAGTCTAGCTCGTGTCCCCCAGGCTGGAGTGCAGTTGTGCGATCTCGGCTCACTACGACCTCCGCCTCCTGGGTTCGAGCGATTCTCCTGCCTCAGCCTCCCGAGTAGCTTAGATTACCTAAAATTACCTAGAAAAAAATATGAAACAGTGTACAGTACCCAGCAGTCAGGTGTCAGTGCTCAAGATTTTTATTAAGAGTGACGATCTGAAGTGCAAGCATTTACTGAAATGGAAATGATACTGCACAACATTTTATTTGAAAATTAACATGTTATAGGCCGGGCGTACTGGAGGCCTTACATAGTAACCCAGGGGTATAAGGATATAAAGTTGCATTTTCTCATACAACTCCACTTCCTTTTTTACGTTAAGGTATTATATTCCCTAAAGAGCCTTGTTCTTCTCTATACTTAATACTGCATCAACTCCAAGAAGCTCTTAATTAAAAGAAGATCATCTGGGCTCTTAAGTTGCATTAAGTTAGCAAAAACTACTGCAAAACTGTGACGATTCATAAGATTTTTTTTAAATTCATTTAACAGATGTTAAAATGAAACTGTACTTCACAGAGTCAGTGAAGTACACAGATCTTAATTCATTGTTTAGTAACTTTTGTGGATTGTATAATGCTTTGGCTTCTATTTCAAGTTTTCTTTTTTAAGGGGGAAAGATACTGTTGTCATTTTGAGAAAGGTAGATGGCACTTTTTGTTTTCCTTGTGTAAGAGAAACGGATTGTTATGAAAGCTTTGAACTTTCCTGGAGTTCGAGAGTACACTGGTCCTCTAAGTGCGGTCTCCAAATCACGATGATCAGCATCACTTGTTGGAACTTGTTGGGAATGCAAATTATCAAGCCCCACCCCAGACCTTTGTGATCTAAAAGCCCTCCAGGTGATTCTGATCCACACTGAAGCACGAGAACCACTGACCTTAGGAACTGTTACCTGTTCCTTTGCTTCCGTAGAGTGAAGTAAAAAGTGAGGAACTCAGAAGAAACCAAATTATCTCTCTTTTAGAGTATTTTTTCAGGAATCTTTACCGTATTTATCCTGTGTAAATTGTTTTCTCTGACTGTATCTGTACTAGACTTGGCATGTTTTCTCCTCTTTACAGTTCAATCTTTGTAGAGCTGTTTTCTTGCCAAATTTCAAAGAAAATATTTTGTTGGCTGAAATCCTTGTTTTCATAGATCAGTTGGTTTAGAGCCAAGTTTTGCAACACAGCCTGAATGAAATTGCTTTCAACTTTTAAAATGTCTTGAAATTGGTTGAACTAAGGAAAAATAATCCTAAGAATTTACCTTTATACTATCTTTCCCTGTTAGTCTTTTCATTTTACGTTTTTGATTGCTAGAAATACTTGATTTTGGTGTCTTTTAAAAAAAAATGTATGTATTCGGCTAAGTAATTTAATTGAGCTAAGGGCTTTAAAAGGTCTTTGGTTATTGTATATGTATTTAAAGATTTTGACAGCCCAGAATTAGGTGATTATAACAACTCTTGAGTTAAAATAACTGGTTTGTTTTTAATAGTAAAAGTTGACTTTATTCAAGATCCTGGTTGGAAACTTGGTGTTACCCATCTTGGGAAGAAGGGACATTTTTGGAACTATGCTTGGAAACATAGAATTTAAATTTTTTCCTAAATAGTGGTTCTTTTTCATTTCTGTGTGTAATAATTTATTTGTTTCACAGTAGCAACACAGATGAGCTTAAAATATTTTTTCTTATCCTTTGCGTTTATTAGTTTTAGCTTTTTTTTTTTTTTTTTTGAGATGTAGTCTTGCTCTTGTTACCCAGGCTGGAGTGCAGTGGTGCCATCTTGGCTCATTGCAACCTCCGCCTCCTGGGTTCAAGCAATTCTCCCGCCTCGCCTCCCGAGTAGCTGGGATTACAGGCACCTGCAACCACGCCTGGCTAATTTTTTTGTATTTTTAGAAGAGATGGGGTTTCACCATGTTGGCCAGGCTGGTCTTGAACTCCTGACCTCAGGTGATCTGCCCAGCTTGGCCTCCCAAAGTGCTGCGATTACAGGCATGAACCACTGCACCTGGCCAATTTTAACTCTTCTATGTAGGTAAATTTTGGGTTAACTAAGGAACATTTACCAATTTGGTTAAACTTAGAAAGCATTTAAGTGTTGTAAGGACCAAGTTTTTTTTCCTCCTCGTATATTCCTTTGAAATGTTGATTAATTCTCTACCTTGGGTCCATCAAAATATGATAAATTATTGAGACTTGAAAGAACATTTGGGATTAAAATCTGAAGACCAGAAATGTCAGCTTGTAAATATATTGGCAGATTTGACGCAAATACTAATCAGGCCTTAAAATAGGTAAACTTAAAACACGTTTCTCTCTAGAGACTCAAAGAGCACCTTCAGTCGTATCTATAGAAGCAAGACAAATTGTAAAGTCTTATAAACTGAAGAATGTAATGTTGTTATTTACTATTTAGGTACTTGGAGCAAAAGTATAAAAAAAGTTGCTGTTTACTAACTCATTTGGGTATTATCAATCATAAAAATAGGATTTTCTGTTAACATAGGAAATATAAATCTACATAATTCCTTGCATATCATCTTGTGTTCCTTTCCTTGGGTAAGATTATTATAACTTTTTTAATTAAAAAAATTTTTTTTTTGAAACAGGGTCTCACTCTGTCCCCCAGACTGGAGTGCATGTCATGATCTCTGCTTATTACAGCCTTGGCCTCCCAGGCTCGTGATCCTCCCACCCCAGCCTCCCAAGTAGCTAGGACTACAGGCATGCACCACCTGTAGCTCAGCTAATTTTTGCTTTTTTTTTTTTTTTTTTTTTTTTGGAAGGACGGGTTTTCACCATGTTGCCTAGGCTGGTCTCGAACTCCTGGGCTCAAGTGATCCACCTGCCTTGGCCTCGCAAAGTGCTGGGATTAAAGGCATGGGCCACCATGCCTGGCAAAAGCTTTTTCTTAAGTGATACAGTTTTTTATATGGTTTGATTAATCATTGTTCTAACTTTATTTATTACATTTTTAAGTTGTGTTTTCTGCTTTTTTTATTTTAAAAATTTATTTTTATAAATACAAAGTATATTTTTACTGTTTTTTTGTATTGAGATGGGTCTCATTATGTTACCCAGGCTGGTCTCAAGTTCCTGGGCTCAGCGGAGCTGCCTGCCTCGCATTCCCAAAGTGTTGGAATTACAGGCATGAGCCTGATGCCCGACCCTAACTTAACTTTAGAATTGGCTTGCAGATATGGGACATGAGTCAAAATACGTAGAATTAAGACATTTAGGGAACAACGATGGTGCCTAATATATTTGAGAGAACTGTTTTCAAAGTTAGTAACTCTTTCTATCCGCCTTCACCTTTTAGGAGGAAGTTAACATCCCTAATAGGAGGGTTCTGGTTACTGGTGCCACTGGGCTTCTTGGCAGAGCTGTACACAAAGAATTTCAGCAGAATAATTGGCATGCAGTTGGCTGTGGTTTCAGAAGAGCAAGACCAAAATTTGAACAGGTTAATCTGTTGGATTCTAATGCAGTTCATCACATCATTCATGATTTTCAGGTATGATTTAGGTTATTTTAAGATATACATGAACAATATTAAGAGTTGTCTGGATGATACAGAAACTATCCTTGCTCTCAAGGAAATTACTATGTTTGAAAGCTCTAAAGTTGTATTATGCAGTAGCATTTTTTTCATTTAGCATGACATGGTATATGTAAACCTTAAAGTTAAATTTTGACACGCTGACAAAGACAAATATGAGACATTTTATAAAATGCTTATGTTTATAGAGTGCCTTCTAAGTAATACTTTCTCTGCAAATGGTTTTCAAATGTTACTGTAAACCTCACAACACTGCAAAATAGTTATTTTCATTTTAGGGCTGAGGGAGCAGGCTCAGAGAGGTTTTCGGTATCATTGATACTATTCTCCCTTTGACATGGATTTATTAGATATTTAAATCATGTTAATTGCATAAATGATAGCTCTTTCCTTTTGTCCAAATTGGGGGATAAAACTTGTTTTGATTTAGAAAGACTTCTGTTTTGTTCTTGTTTTTGTGACGTAATCTTGGTTTGTTGCCCAGGCTGGAGTGCAGTGGTGCAGTTGAGCTCACTGCAGCCTCCGCCTCCCAGGGTTCAAGCAATTCTCCTGCCTAAGCTTCCTGAGTACCTGAGACTACAGGCATGCGCAACCACACCTGGCTAATTGTTGTATTTCTAGTAGAGATGGGGTTTCACCATGTTGGCCAGGCTGGTCTTGAACTCCTGACCTCACGTGATCCACCCACCTCAGCCTTCCAAAGTGCTGGGATTACAGATTTGAGCCACCGCGCCCAGCCTAGAAACATGGTTGTTTTATTTTCAGACAGGGTCTCACTCTGTAGCCCAGGGTGAAGTACGGTAGATCGATCACAGCCCACTGTAGCCTTGAATTCCTTGGCTCAAGTGATCCTTCTGCCTCGGCCTCCACAACAGTTAGAACTACAGGCTCATGCCACCACGACTGGCTGATTTTTAAATTTTTTTGTAGAGATTGAGTACCAACCACTATGTTGCCTAGTCTTATCTTGAACTCCTGGCCTCAAGCATTGTCTCACCTCAGCCTCCCAAAGTGTTGGGATTACATGCATGAACCGTCACACCAGAGTAGAAATACAGTTGTTGACAGTTTTTTTCCTGGTTTGTGTCTGCATATTATGAAATACTCTTTTCAGTGCCTATAAATATTTTAAGTTTGAACCTTGCGGGGAAAAGAAGCAGCATGACAAAACTACATTAGAAATTACAATGATTTATTCTTAGTTGAAAGAATGTTGACTTACTGCACATTTTTCTCTGAATTAACTTTAAGAAGGCTGTAATACCTCTTTCATTTTATTTTGAGTTAAAAATACGTCAATGCTTAACTTCTAGCCCCATGTTATAGTACATTGTGCAGCAGAGAGAAGACCAGATGTTG
Source organism: Homo sapiens (assembly GCF_000001405.40). NCBI lineage: Eukaryota > Metazoa > Chordata > Mammalia > Primates > Hominidae > Homo > Homo sapiens. Next base: position 163,513,601 of record NC_000005.10, read on the forward strand.
TAGAAAATCAGCCAGATGCTGCCTCTCAACTTAATGTGGATGCTTCTGGGAATTTAGCAAAGGAAGCAGGTAATGATGACTTTATAAAATTTTCATAAAATATTAAGTGATTGCTGAGTTTTTAGAAATTAAGGTTTTGTAGATGGTTATTTGTTTTTATATATCATGAAAAACCATTCTAAATTCCATGAAAGAGTAATGTCATGTAAACATTTAATAGATTTGTCTTCTTTTTTTGTAGCTGCTGTTGGAGCATTTCTCATCTACATTAGCTCAGATTATGTATTTGATGGAACAAATCCACCTTACAGAGAGGAAGACATACCAGCTCCCCTAAATTTGTATGGCAAAACAAAATTAGATGGAGAAAAGGCTGTCCTGGAGAACAATCTAGGTAAGACCTAATCTATTTAGCCCCTGATTGTTTTTGAAGACTTTAAAAATCATTTATACATACACATATATATGTTTTAAATTTAAAAAGTCAATGAATATGAATCATTAGAGAAAAATTAGAATATAGTTAATAAAGAAAATAAAAAATTCTAAGAGATAACTACTTTGTGAATCCTTCAAGACAGTTTCCACTATCAGTGTTTACATATTCATCTTTACACATAGAAAACAAGTCAGGTAATACAAGCTTTTGTAACTCATTTTCAAAAAACAGGGCAGTATAATTTCTCTTAGAGTGAGATATTCTGTTTATGTATTCTGTTATATGTATGTTACTGTGTTATATGTGTATGTATTTTGTTTTTATGTATTCTGTTATATGTATGTTGTATGTATTAACATTCTATTATGGTGTTTCTTTTTTCCTGTATGTGAGTTTGTGTATAACACACATCTCCATATATAAAAAGTATACACTCCTTAGAAAAAATGTAAAATTACTAAGAACAAAAGTTCTCATAAATGCTGCCTCAGGGAGATAAACACCAAATATGGTTAAGTGTGGAAGCATTTTTATATATTTTCAAAAAATGTATGCATGTTGTTTCACAACCTGTTTTTTTTCCCTCAACATCTTTGCATTTTAGTACACATGGAACCTACTCTGGGATATCTTACTCCTATCAGTGGCTGCGTAGTACTTAATTTAATGGTCCCCTGCACTAAAACTACTGCCTTAGACTGTACTATGGCCTTGAGAAGCAGCCCTAGTGTAGAATACCTTACTAATGGACATTTAGTTTTTTAAAAAGTTTTCTTGTATTATAAATTATTCTGTTGAAATCATCCTTGAATACATTTGTCTTAGTTTATTTCGTGCTGCTATAACAGAATACCAACAACTCAGTAATTTATAAAGAACAGAAATTTATTTCACACAGTTCTAGAGGCTGAGAAGTCCAAGATCAAGGTGAGGGTCTTTCTGGTCCTCTGGAGGGGAGGAATGCTGTGTTCTCACGGCAGAAGAGCAGAAAGGGATGTGCTTCTTCCTTCAAGTCCTTTTATAATGGCATTAATCCATTCATAAGAGCAGAGTGCTGATGACCACCTAAACACCTCCCAAAATGCCCCACCTCCCAGCACTGTTGCTTCGTGGATTAAGTTTCAACATGAATTTTTGGAGAGGACAAAAACATTCAAACCATAGCAGTATCTAAGTTCTCTTGTCATGTAATTTAAAAGAAAATGTTTGATTTGCAGTTAAAGTGTTAACTATTGTATACCATCAGCAGGGACCATTATAAAATCTAAATATTAATGAGTGGTTGTAAAACTAATGTGAACACTCATATACCCTTCACATAGATTCACAAATTGTTGATGTTTTGTCACATTTGTTTTATATGTTTGCTTTTGCCAGACCCATTGATAATTAGTTGAATTTCATCTCCAAATACTTTACCTTTCTTTTATCTTCTAACAAGAAGAATGTTCTTCACATAATTACAGTGCAGTTATCATACATTTGGAAACTTAACATTAATATGGTACTGTAATCAAATACAAATCTATTTAGGAATTTTCTCATTTATGCCAAAAATGTCCTTTATTGCTTTTATTTTTTAATCTAGCATCCAGTCAAAGACTATTCATTGCATTCAGTTGTCATGATAAGTTTTATTTTTAATGATCATATTAATGTAGGATTTATATATATAAAAAAAACTAGTCCAAATGACAGAAGATACTTAACAAATGTGGTTTTGCCTTTTTCTTTTTTTTTTTTTTTTTTTTTTTTTTGAGACAGGGTCTCAGTCGCCTGGGCTGGAGTGCAGTAGGGTGAACACAGCTCACTATAGCCTTGACCTCCTTGGCTTAAGCAATCCTCCCACCACGAACGGCTAATTTTTTTACATTTTGTAGAGACGAGGTCTCACTGTGTTGTCCACGCTGGTCTCGAACTCCTGGGCTCAAGTAGTCCTCCTGCCTTGGACTCCCAAGTGCTGGAATTACAGTCATGAGCCCCACCGCACTCAGCCTTTGACTGTTTTTAATTTTATTTTTGAGGCAGGGTCTCACTCTGTTGCCCAGGCTGGAGTACAGTGGTGCAGTCATAGCTCATTGCAACCTTGAACTTCAGGCTCAAGAGATCCTTTTGCCTTACTCAGCCTCCCAAGTAGCTGGGACTACAGGCATGTGCCACCATGCCCAGCTAATTTTCATTTTAATTTTTTGTAGAGACGGAGTTTTGCTATGATGCCCGGGCTGATCTTGAACTCCTGGCTTCAAGTGATCCTTCTGCCTTGGCCTCCCAAAGTGCTAGCATTATAGGCATGAGTCACTGTGCCTGGCCTTGAATATTTTTACATTGCGTTGTCACAAGTGAGCTGTGTCATTTTGGTATATTTTAATTAAAAGGCAAGGTTTCTACTTTGATATTATTTAAATCCACACCCTTGTATCTTACATCAAAATTTAAGAATCAGTCAGCTTTAAATTATTTGCTTTTATTCTTCTCTAGGAGCTGCTGTTTTGAGGATTCCTATTCTGTATGGGGAAGTTGAAAAGCTCGAAGAAAGTGCTGTGACTGTTATGTTTGATAAAGTGCAGTTCAGCAACAAGTCAGCAAACATGGATCACTGGCAGCAGAGGTTCCCCACACATGTCAAAGATGTGGCCACTGTGTGCCGGCAGCTAGCAGAGAAGAGAATGCTGGTAAGAAGGATTCCTGAGTCCTGTCTTAGCGAAGGTCCGCTTTGTCTTTTCCATGCTTGAACTTTCACAGCTGTACTTGGAGTGTTACTGAGTGAAAGCCAAAAGTGCTTTTTTAAAACTAGGAGACCAAACAAAAGTAGTTTACATATACACTGTATTCATGAAGAATAAAAATATTATGCTCTTCTGTTTGAATTTATTTCTTATGTACTATAGATCCCATCATTTCTTTTATTGCAAAGTGTTAGGAAACTTCAAAATAATCATCTAAGGTCTTTTAAGAAGATACTCTTTGGGGGCTGGGCGTGATGGCTCACACCTGTAATCCCAGCACATTTGAAAAAGTTGGTATTAAATATAATATCCATACAAAGAAAGATGAGACTGATTTAGTTTAGAATATTAATAGGATGACCACAGTTTTTTAATATATGAGAATTATATTTTGTAATATATAACATGACAATATTTAAGAAAGTTTAGCTCAACTTGAAAAATGGTTCTATTAAGTTTTTGTTGTAGCTTGGGATAATTAAAAATACTCATTAAATTGTACTGTTTTCATAAAAATTTGTAATGCTTTTTTATATTCCCACTAATTAAGTAAAATTGGAGCCTTTTTTTGATTTTAAAAATTCTTAAGGTTTAAATTCTAGAAATTGCTCTTTTAAGTGTTTTGCTAAGAGTATTAGTAGGAATTTGATTTTAGATATCTTGTGGAGACCTTTCCAGAAAAAGAGGGTTGCCTTTTAGTTCCTGGACCTTATTTTAAGTAAGCTTTTTGGTCAAACCTATTCTACTCAGCTCAAAAAGTTGAAACTATTGAATTTATTGTGTCATCGTTCTTAGGATCCATCAATTAAGGGAACCTTTCACTGGTCTGGCAATGAACAGATGACTAAGTATGAAATGGCATGTGCAATTGCAGATGCCTTCAACCTCCCCAGCAGTCACTTAAGACCTGTAAGTACATGGCTGTAAAAACCTTTAGATCCATTGCTATGGTATATATTATTGCTGTGTTGGGTAACTTCATTTCTCAGTACTAATCAAAGTGAACTTTGCTTGTATGCTGGCTGTTCATAGTGCTACTTTTCTCTAAATTATCATCTGTAGAGAAGATCATGAGTATTGAAGTTTGTAGAAAATGTATTATTGTCTTGATCATGACAGGCATTTGGTTTATTTTTCCAGGGATGATCAAATCAGATTTCTTACACTAAGAGCAAAAATAAGTAGCAAATATAAAACCTCAAAATGGCCAGGCACAATGGCTCATGCCTGTAATCCCAACACTTTGGGAGGCTGACGCAGGAGGATCCCTTGAGCCCAGGAATTTGAGACTAGCCTGGGCAATGGAGGGAGATCTCATCTCTGTTTAAAAATATATACATATTTAAAAAAAGGTCAGGGGGAACAAAGCCCTCAAAATATAGCCTTTCACTTACTTTTGATTTTTTTGTGTTTATCTTTCTTTAAAGATTACTGACAGCCCTGTCCTAGGAGCACAACGTCCGAGAAATGCTCAGCTTGACTGCTCCAAATTGGAGACCTTGGGCATTGGCCAACGAACACCATTTCGAATTGGAATCAAAGAATCACTTTGGCCTTTCCTCATTGACAAGAGATGGAGACAAACGGTCTTTCATTAGTTTATTTGTGTTGGGTTCTTTTTTTTTTTTAAATGAAAAGTATAGTATGTGGCACTTTTTAAAGAACAAAGGAAATAGTTTTGTATGAGTACTTTAATTGTGACTCTTAGGATCTTTCAGGTAAATGATGCTCTTGCACTAGTGAAATTGTCTAAAGAAACTAAAGGGCAGTCATGCCCTGTTTGCAGTAATTTTTCTTTTTATCATTTTGTTTGTCCTGGCTAAACTTGGAGTTTGAGTATAGTAAATTATGATCCTTAAATATTTGAGAGTCAGGATGAAGCAGATCTGCTGTAGACTTTTCAGATGAAATTGTTCATTCTCGTAACCTCCATATTTTCAGGATTTTTGAAGCTGTTGACCTTTTCATGTTGATTATTTTAAATTGTGTGAAATAGTATAAAAATCATTGGTGTTCATTATTTGCTTTGCCTGAGCTCAGATCAAAATGTTTGAAGAAAGGAACTTTATTTTTGCAAGTTACGTACAGTTTTTATGCTTGAGATATTTCAACATGTTATGTATATTGGAACTTCTACAGCTTGATGCCTCCTGCTTTTATAGCAGTTTATGGGGAGCACTTGAAAGAGCGTGTGTACATGTATTTTTTTTCTAGGCAAACATTGAATGCAAACGTGTATTTTTTTAATATAAATATATAACTGTCCTTTTCATCCCATGTTGCCGCTAAGTGATATTTCATATGTGTGGTTATACTCATAATAATGGGCCTTGTAAGTCTTTTCACCATTCATGAATAATAATAAATATGTACTGCTGGCATGTAATGCTTAGTTTTCTTGTATTTACTTCTTTTTTTAAATGTAAGGACCAAACTTCTAAACTAATTGTTCTTTTGTTGCTTTAATTTTTAAAAATTACATTCTTCTGATGTAACATGTGATACATACAAAAGAATATAGTTTAATATGTATTGAAATAAAACACAATAAAATTAACACTTGATCCAGAATGTTAACTTACCACCCCATCCTAGAATGTTACAGTTACTGTATCTATTTGTGGGAACGGATTTGTTTTTAACTAAAAATTAATAGCTATATAATCTTGTTACATTATACAGTTGACCCTTGAACGGTGTGGGTTTGGGGTATCAACCTTGCACAGTCTAAAATCCACTATAACTCTGGACTCCCCAAATACTTAATTAGTAAAAACCTGCTGTTGACCAGAAGCCTTACTGATAAACATAGTCATTTAACATATTTCTATCTTCTGTGTATTACATACTGTATTCTTAAAGTAGCCTAGAGAAAAGAAAATATTATTAAGAAAATCTCAAGGAAGGGAAAATATATTTACTATTCATTAAGTGGAAGTAGATTATCATAAAGTTTTTTTTTTTTTTTTTTAGACAAGGTCTCGCTCTGTCGCATAGGCTGGGGTACAGTGGTGCATTCTCAGCTCACTGCAACCTCCGCCTCCTGGGTTCAAGCAATTCTCCTCCCTCAGCCACTCGAGTAGCTGGGATTACAGGCACCCGCCACCACGCCCAGCTGAGTTTTGTATTTTTAGTAGAAATGAGGTTTTGTCATGTTGGCTAGGCTGGTCTCAAACTCCTGCCCTCAAGCAGTCCACCCTCCTCGGCCTCCCAAAGTGCTGGCACTACAGGCGTGAGCCACTGCACCTGGCCTGGATCATAATCAAGTTCTTTATTCTTATCTTCATGTTGAGTAGGCTGAGGAAATTAACTGGGGAAATTTTACTGATACCTGAGTCCTACCCTGGGCTTACTGAAATAAATTTTGGGAATTGAGGCCTATTAATTTATTTTTAAATGTTTCCCAGGTGGTTCTAAGGTTGCCAGTCTGGCATTGCATTTGGCAACCACTAAATTAAAGCATTTTGTTTTATATTTTAAGTTACTACATTTCATATAGTGCATAATTAAGTTTCGGAGAGTAAAAAGTGTTGTTATTCTCTAGCCACCCGTTTTTCAACTGTGGAAGAAATGGATGTAGATCAGTTCCTTGCATATGTTTCTAGAGGCACTCTGCATATAGAAGAATATAATCAAAAAACTCACGTGTCCATACTCTCACCATCCGCCCTCACAAAGAATAACATACAATTCTCTGACCTTTTTTTCATTTGGAATTTGTTGTATAATATAAATAATGTCCTTTTTTTTTTTTTTTTTTTTTTTTGAGACGGAGTCTTGCGCTGTTGTCAGGCTGGAGTGCAGCGGTGTGATCTCGGCTCGCTGCAACCTCCGACTCCCTGGTTCAAGCGATTCTCCTGCCTCAGCCTCCCAAGTAGCTAGGATTATAGGCAGCGCCACTACACCCAGCTAATTTTTGTATGTTTAGTAGAGATGGGGTTTCACCATGTTGGCCAGGATGGTCTCGATCTCCTGACCTCGTGAGCTGCGCACCTCAGTCTCCCAAAGTGCTGGGATTACAGGTATGAGCCACCGTGCCTGGCCAAAAATGTCCTTTTTAAAAATCTTCATTTAAAAATTTCATTATTTGCCATGATAGCATAAATAATGCCTGTATTTCCCTTTCCAGATTCCCCAGTTGTCAGCATTTAGCACATTTACCCTATCATTTTCATGCACACTACATATGTATACTATTTTTATTTCCTGAACTATTGAAGAGTAGGTTGAAGATACGATGCTTCATCACCCACTTAGTATATAAACCTCAGTGTATATTTTCTAAAAATAAGGATACATGCCTATATACCCTGTAATATAATCACAATCAAGAAATTACCATTCAATTTCATAAGATCCCATTCAGATTTCATCAGTTGTTCCAGTTTCCTTTATAGGTCTATGCAGTCCAAGATTACTTGTGTGTGTCGCCATGTTGCTTTAGCTTCAATATGGAACAGTTCCTCAGTGTTTGTCTTTCATGAGCTTGATATTTTTGACATTTCTCTGTATAAGAAACCATAAGTTGACATCGATAGCTCCAGTTACAGTCTTGTTCCACAGGGTTTATTTTGGCTCTTCCCATGTTTGTGGCACCTTTCTCTGACAGCAACCGAATTCTCAGTTCTTTTTTTTGAGACAGGGTGTCACTCTCACCCAGGCTGGAGTGCAGTGGCACAATCTCAGCTCACTGCAGCCTCCACCTCCTGGGTTCAAGTGATTCTCCCACCTCAGCCTCCTGAGTAGCTGGGACTACAGGCATGTACCACCATACCCAGCTAATTTTTGTATTTTTAGTTTCACTATGTTGCCTAGGCTGCTCTCAAAGTCTTGAGCTCAAGCGATCCACTCACCTTGGTCTCCCAAAGTGCTGGGACTACAGACATGAGCCACAGTGCTCAGCTCGAATTTTTTTTTTTTTTTTTTTTTGAGATGGAGTCTCTCTCTGTCATCCAGGCTGGAGGTGCAGTGGCATGATCTCAGCTCACTGCAAGCTCTGCCTCCCAGGTTCATGCCATTCTCCTGCCTCAGCCTCCCAAGTGGCTGGGACCACAGGCACCCGCCACCACACCCAGCTAATTTTTTTTTTTTGTATTTTTAGTAGAGATGACGTTTCACCGTGTTAGCCAGGATGATCTCGATCTCCTGACCTCGTGATCAGCCCGCCTTGGCCTCCCAAAGTGCTGGGGTTACAGGCGTGAGCCACTGCGCCCAGCCTCAGCCCTCATTATTCTATTTATTCATTTGCTTCATTCATCCATAAGAATCATTCTGATGACACTAGCCAAGCCTTCCTCTGTTCTCCACTTTACATAGGCCTCCAAGCCAGCTGAGCATTCCCAGACCCATGTGACCTGGCCCTGATGCCAGTGACTGCAGGGACCACTGTACCTGGTCAAGGATCCTCCCGACCCATGGAGCACTGCACCAAGAATCACATGTGCCACTATGTACCAGCAGAGCACCAAAGAGAAGGAACTAGTTCTTTTTTTGGCTGCATTTATTCCATTGTATCAATGAGGGAAATCACAATTTGTTGGTGTATAGATGGTCCCTGACTTACAATGGTTCAGCAGATTTTTTGACTGCAATGGTGTGAAAGTAATCACATTCAATAGAAACCATACTTCAAGTACTCATACAACCATTCCGTTTTTCACTTTCAGTATAGTATTTAATAAATTACAGAAGATATTTAACACTTTGCTATAAGATAGGCTTTGTGTTAGATGTTGCCCAACTGTAGGCTAATGTAAGTGTTCTGAGCATATTTAAGGTAGGCTAGGCTAAGCTGTGATATTCAGTAGGTTTATGTGTATTAAATGCATTTTTGACTCAGGATATTTTAAATTTATGAAGGATTCATCAGGATGTAACCCCATTGTAAGTTAGGTATCTGTACTGGAATATAAGCTAATTATACCCTTTTGGCAGCCAAATCATCTCATCAACATTAAATATAGCAGTAGGCTTTTTTGTAATTTTTTTTGTGCAGTAGGTTTTAATTCAAGGGTAGGCTAGTCAAGATATTTTTTTTACTTGAAGGAAGTATTATGTATAGTGCAAAGAAACAACTCTAGATTCAAACGTGATTTTTCCACTTGCTAGTAGCAAGTTGCTTTTCCTTTCGGAGCTTGAAGTAATTTTTAGGGTTAAATGAAAAGAATACCACCTATTTCACAGGTCTGTCGTGGAAATACTTGGAACAGAGATACTAGCACATGTAGCTGTGGACTTAACAAATGCCTAAGGGTTGGGGTATGGGGGAGAAATGGTGGTCTTGTAATATTACCTTCACTTTCAGCTGTAAGATATTAGGAGTTTTCTCTCATAAATAAGATTACCAGTGGTTTTTCTTTGTGATTTTTAAGTATTTTCTAGACTTAATTTTAGTATTTTGTAAATGCATTTAAAAATATTTCAAAGAAAATTATTTTTGTAACTTGTTTTACCTAAGGACTTCTGAAAGTTCTTTTCTGTATTTTGCTACAGAAATAGCCAGAATACTTGAATTTATATACATATAAATGTATCTCTGGAAATTGAATACATTCACTTCATGTATTTACTTGCAAGTGATTTACATTGAAAGATGGCCATGAAATTTCCCAGCTGTGTCTACAGTTACTTTGCTTTCCATGGTCCCCATTTCAATTCTAATTTTTGACATATATACATGCTACATATTATTGAACAATTTCAATTTCCCCCCAGTTTGTTATAGATTTAAAAAATATTCCCTTTGAAATGAAAAATTGATATATGGCCTTTAAAATGTTTTAATGTGAGATGCTAAAAATTATTCAAGATAAATCAAACACTTTGGCATATAGGAGGGCTGGAAATAATTTTTTATTTTCCTTATACAGCGTCACCCCCAGGCTTTATGTGCTTAGAACACATAAGGTCCTTGGAAAGTTGAAAGAGGGATGATGGTTCTGGCCTTCAGAAGTGTTCGTCTGTAGTTACAATTCACCCCGAAACTAGAGGTCAAGAAAGGAAGAGGAAAAAATAGATGCCATATGATATGACACCAAATAAGATGACACCAATGTCTATGTAGTTGGATAACATTTCTCTAAGCAGCATGAGGGACAGTCATCTTTCATAATGTTAACCCCAAAACATTCTGAATTTTTCTTTTTTTTTTTTTTTTTTTTTTTGAGACGGAGTCTCGCTCTGTCGCCCAGGCTGGAGTGCAGTGGCGCGATCTCGGCTCACTGCAAGCTCCGCCTCCCGGGTTCACGCCATTCACCTGCCTCAGCCTCCCGAGTAGCTGGGACTACAGGCGCCCGCCACCACGCCCGGCTAATTTTTTGTATTTTTAGTAGAGACGGGGTTTCACCGTGTTAGCCAGGATGGTCTCGATCTCCTGACCTCGTGATCCGCCCGCCTCGGCCTCCCAAAGTGCTGGGATTACAGGCGTGAGCCACCGCGCCCGGCCCTGAATTTTTCTTAATGACCCATTACAGATCTATGATCTATGACCCACTTAAGTCTGCCAAACCAATTTAACACACTCTCTGCCTACAGACAGTGTTATCAGACCCAGATTATTTATTTTATTTAAAATCTTGAAGACTTGTGAAAAAGATGTGAACTTTGGTGAATAGACTGGTTGCATCCCAACCTTAGATTTTTAAAAAAATGTTTTTAATTGTGAAAAGAATAGTGCATACAACAAAGTACATTAAATGTATGTGCAGTTTGAAGAATAATGATAAAGTCCTGTGTACCTGCCACTCAGGTTAAGAACATTACAAATACCTTAGAAGCTCTGCAAATGCTTTCCCCCTATTGTTTCTGTATTAGGCGTAATTTTTTCTCTAGAGAAAAGAAACAATAGGATATGTGTGTGCGTGTGTGTCTGTGTTATATTTTTCTTTTTTAAGAGATGGGGGTCTTGGTATGTTGCCCAGGCTCGAGTGCAGTGGCTATTCATGGGTGCAGTCATAGCCACTACATCCTGGAACTCGTAGCCTCAAGCAACCTTCTCATCTCAGCCTCTTAAGTAGATAGTACTAGAGACATCCACCACTGTGCTCAGCTTGTGGCCGGCAGACTGAAGACCCAGGAGAGCCAATGTTCCAGTTAGAGTTGAAAGGCAATCTGCTGCAGAACCAGGAAGAGTTGATGTTGCAGGTGAAGTCTGAAGACTGCTAGAGAATTCTCTGTTGCTTGGGGAAGATCAATCTTTTTATTCTACTCAGACATTCAACTGATTAGATGAGGCCCACTGACATTATGGAAGATGTATTGGTCCATTCTCATGCTGCTAATAAAGACATACCCAAGACTGGGTAATTTATAAAGAAAAGAGGTTTAATTGACTCATAGTTCAGCATGGCTGGGGAGGCCTCAGGAAACTTACAATCATGGCAGAAGGGGAAGCAAATATGTTCTTTTTCACATGGTGGCAGGAAGGAAAAACGGTGAGCAAAGGGGAAAAGCCCCTTATAAAACCATCAGATGTCATGAGAACTCACTATCATGAAAACAGCATGAGGGTGACCACCCCCAAGATTCAATTACTTCCCACTGGGTCACTCCAATGACACATGGGGATTATGGGAACTACAAGATGAGATGTGGGTGGGGACACAAACCATATCAGAAGGCAATATGCTTTACTCAGAATTCACCAATTTAAGTATGAATCATATCCAAAACATCTTCACAGACACCCAGAATAATTGACCAAATATCTGGGCAGCCCATGGCCCAGCCAAGTTAATACATAACATTAACCATAATAGTATCACTTTTTCCCCAGAGGTAACCGTTATCCTGACTTTTTTTTTACTTTAAAAAAATTGTAGTAAAATATACATATCATAAACTTTACCACCTTAACCACTTTGAAGCACACGGTTCAGTAGCATTAAGTACATTCACATTGTTATGCATCCCATTTCCAGAACTCTTCATCTTGCAAAATTAAAACTTTGTAGCCATTAACAACTGCCCCTTTTCTCTCCCCCTGCACCTGCTAACTAGCATTCTTCTCTGTGAATTTGACTACTCTAGATAACTCATTTGAGTGGAATCATACAGTATTTCATATACAGTATTTGACTTGTGACTGGTTTATTTCAATTAGCAGTAACGTTCTTAAGGTTCATCTATGTTGTAGCATATGTCGAATTTTTTTAAGGCTGAACAATATTCCATTGTATGTAGATATCACATTTTGCTTATCCATTCATCTGTTGATGGACATTTGGTTTGCTTTCACCTCTTGGCTATTGTGAATAATGCTGCAATGAACATGGGTGGCAAATCTCTCTTCAAGAGATTCTGCTTTTAGTGCTTTTGGATATATACCCAGAAGTGGAATTGTTGGATCACACGGTAATTCTATTTTTGATCTGTTTTTCTGATAGTGCCATCCTAATGGGTGTGATGTGTTTTTTGTTTGTTTGTTTGTTTTGTTTTGTTTTGTTTTTTTGAGATGGAGGCTCACCCAGGCTGGAGTGCAGTGGCACTACCTTGGCTCACTGCAACCTCCGCCTCATGGGTTCAAGCAATTCTCCTGCCTCAGCCTTCTGAGTAGCCAGGACTACAGGTGTGTACCACCACGCTTGGCTAATTTTTGTATTTTTAGTAGAGAAGGGGTTTCACCATGTTGGCCAGGCTGGTCTTGAACTCCTGACCTCAGGTGATCCACCCATCTCAGCCTCTCAAAGTGCTGGGATTACAGGCGTAAGCCACCGTGCCTGGCTGGTATCCTAACTTTTGTATCAGACTCTTGATTATCCTTATGGTTATTTACAATCTCTGTATGTATCTCCTATACATTATTTAGTTTGAAAAATAGGCACAAGCACACATCTAGCTAGGGGAAAAGCACACTATTTCTACTGCTAAGTAACAGTTCCCGGGAGATGATTAACTGAATGTCTTTGGCTTCAGTTTTCCAGAGAGTTTACAGAGCTCCTTAGGATCCAGTGGGCAAAGGCATGAGTAAGTCTTGGGAAAATTAGATCTACCACAGGATGGTACTTTGAGCCAGGGATGGGGTGGTCAGTAAGAATGTGGTAAGGGGAATGGAGTTACCCAGTATTTTTGGTTTCTGAGCTAATCATCCCCACGTTTGACTCTCAGGCTTATGCTTGGAAGGTAAAATAAGGATGTATTCCTCATATATTCCAGTCATCACAGCATGGAGAGCAGAGAAGGAAAAAATAAGAAGCTGGTCCAGGCTCATCCTGGCATTCTAAGACTTAAGGAAAAAAGGTGGTACAATTGCAGAAACCCTCTTAGTGATAACAGCCCTCAACTTACTCTTGTAAGTCATTTTGCCATTCTGGACCTCTTGCCTTATTTTCCCATCTCTCTTCACTATTGTTCCAGAATTTCCTTTGTCTCTTCTGTGTTGGGTCTCCTGTTACCTGTGTTTCATTTCTTTCACTTTGTTGTGCTTTCTAGTTTTGGCTGCACATCTTTCAGTAGCTTCCTGAGAAAGGTTCCATAACAGATCCAAATGTGAAGGCTCGACTGTGAGTGCCTGGGTATATAATTTTAGCTGAGAAATCATTTTTCCCTGGAATTTTGAATGCATTGTTCCATTGTGTTTGTGCTTCCACTGTTGATTTTGTGAAGTCCAAAGACATTATGATTCCTTGTCCTTCGTATGTTTTCCTCTCTTCTCTGGAAGCTTGTCAGATCTTCTCTGTGTCTCTAGTGTTCTGAAATTTTACAGTGGTGCCCCTTGTTGTAGTTCTCTTTTCATTCATTTTGCCTTGTACTTGGTAGGTTCCTTCAATCTTTAAACTTAAATCCTTCACTATTTCACTGCTATTTTTCTCCTATTTTCTTTTTCATTCTACTTTATAGATATCACATCTCCTATTCTGACTGTAGGAGGCTGAATAATGACCCCCTCCCCTTCCCCAAGATGTCCATGTCCAAATCCCTAGAACCTGTGACTCTTATGACACGTGATTAAATTTAAAAATCTTGAGATGAGGAGGTTATCCTGGTGTGTCCAATGTAACAAGAGTCCTTTTAAGAGGGAGGCAGGAATTCAAAGAAGTAGGAAATGTGATGATGGAAGCAAGAGGTCAGAGTGATGCAAGGAAGCAGTCACAAGCCAAGGAATTCGGGCCTCCTCTAGAAGCTAGAAAGGCAAGAAAACGGATTCACCCCTAGATCCTCTGGAGAGAGCATGACCCCGGCAACACCTTGGATTTGGCCCAGTGAAACCCATTTCAGGCTAATGACTTCCAGAACAGTAAGACAGTAAACTCATGTTATTTATGCAATATGAGATAGCATCAATAAGAAACTAATACATGGATTCTTTGATTTTCATATTTTCTTCACAATTTTTCAGCTCTTTGTCTTTTTACATTCTGAGAGGTTGCTTTGACTTTTTTTTTTTTTGAGATGGAGTCTCGCTTGGTCGCCCAGGATGGAGTGCGGTGGCGCGATCTCAGCTCACTGCAACCTCCGCCTCCCTGATTCAAGCAATTCTCCTGCCTCAGCCTCCCGAGCAGCTGGGACTATAGGCATGCGCCACCACGCCCAGCTAACTTTTGTATTTTTAGTAGAGACGGGGTTTCATCATATTGGCCAGGCTGGTCTTGAAGTCCTGACATCGTGATCCACCTGCCTTGGCCTCCCAAAGTACTGGGATTACAAGAGTGAGCCACCCCGCCCGGCTGCTTTGACTTTTTAATACCCCTACAAATTCTTCTACTAAATTCTTTTTTGCTACCATCTTCTTAATTCCTAATAGCTTTTCTTTGTTCTCTGTATGCTTCCTTTTTTTAAAAAAAAAATTGCATCATTATCATGTTTCATGGATGTATGGGTTCTCATATATCTCAGAAATATCAATGGTAATTTTGTTTTTGTTACGTGGAGTTTTTTGTTGTTTTTTATTTTTGTCTTCAGGATATCTGTTTCCCCCATACTCCTTTGTTTTTGGTCTGTTTTTTCACCCCAGTGGAAAACCACTATTCTGGTACCAATGTAAGTGGTTTCCTTTAGTTGGGAAACCCCTATTGTCATTATTTTTAGGTTTTTCCTCCTGGGAGATTAGACTTCTCGGGCTTCTTCCAGTCTCCTGAGTGGAGGGCAAAGGTCTGACTGCCCATGGCCTGGTAAGCGCATGGAAGAAGCAGCCTGAGATCCCTACTGTTAAGCTATTAAATGAGAGTGCATCAAGGTGAACTTTTTTTTTTTTTTGAGACGGAGTTTCACTCGGTCACTCAGGCTGGAGTGCAATGGCACGATCTCAGCTCACCGCAACCTCCGCCTCCTGGGTTCAAGTAATTCTCCTGCCTCAGCCTCCCAAGCAGCTGAGATTACAGGTGCCTGCCACCATGCCCAGCTAATTTTTGTATTTTTAGTAGAGATGAGGTTTCACCATATTGGCCAGGCTGGTCTGGAACTCCTGACCTCAGGTGATCCACCTGCCTCGGCCTCCCAAAGTGCTGGGATTACAAGCGTGAACCACTGCACCCGAACATGTGAAAGTTTTATCACAGAGAAGTGATGCTAGGGGAAACAGAGAGCTCACCACATCACTATCATGTCTTTAAGCCATCTGAGCTAGCACTCAGGGCTCCTCTCATACCATCCACTTCCTACTTAGGGTGATCACATAATTAGTAATGTAGAGGCTCATTGTTAGAATCAAGTTTACCTGTTATAAAATAGGCTTTCTTAAGAGTGTGATATTCATCCAGTAGAGGCCTAGTCCCATGATAATAGGGCAAACAATTCTGAACTCCTTGCTAGATTATATTAGAGTTCCCACACAGTTTGAAGTTGCTGCAATTAGCATTCAGCCTTCATATGTTCACTTAATCCTCCTATTTTCAGCATAGTACCTGCCCATTTACTCCCCAACACACACACCTCAGTCTAGAACCCACCTCTGTCCAGGCTCAGTGGCTCACATCTGTAATCTGAGCACATTCGGAGGCTGAGGCAAGAGGATCACTTGAGCCCAGGAGTTTGAAACTAACCTAGGCAACATAGTGAGACGCTGTCTCTACAAAAAAATTAAAAATTACCCAAGTGCGGTGGTGCTGTGTAGTCCCAGCTACTCAGGAAGCTGAAGTGGGGAGGATCGCTTGAGCCTGGGAGGTCAAGGTCGAGGCTGCAGTGAGCAAAGATGGCGCCACTGCATTCCAGCCTGGGCAACAGACCAAGACCCTGTCTGGGAAAAAAAAGGAGGGGGAGGGAGGGGAGAAAATAGAACCTATCTGTGTTGGTCTCTCCAGGGAACAGATGTCCAGTCATCAGGAGCTGTTGGGGAGGGTGTCTGGGAATCTAACTTCACTTTTTCTTCTTTACTCTGTCCCTTCCCCTTTACCCAAGATTTCAGAGGTATCTGATCCCAAGCCTTTTGAGGATTTTTCAGAGTAAGTTAGTTTAGTTCTCAATCCACTTCTAGCCAAAATTCAGCTCTTTTGGGTAGGTTAAATCTCTTACCATTAGTTCCCTTGCTTTTCAGCTTCCAAAATTTTGTTCTGTTGTCACCTTTCTTGTTCTCTCTGTCCTTGTTGTGTTAGGCCTTTTTTTAAAAAAAATTTTTCCTTGGGATTTTGAGAGGAAAACAAAATTTGATACATGTATTCAATGCACTATCTTATTATAGAACACCATACCATTATTGACTTTACAGGCTTGGATCTTGAACCTCCTAACCCACTTTATGAGCTGAAACTCTCAGTTTTCTTTAGTTTGACACCTTACATAGCAGTGTATGATCTTCTGGCTTACTTGAGTTGCTGCTCTTTGCCATTATGTCTTTGGGAAAGTTAATTAACTACAACTGGAACACAAGTATCTTAGATATGGTCATCATTTAATACAAATGAAGCACAAAACTAGCCATTTCATTTTTGGCTACTAATACTGGCTGCCTTCACCTGGAAAAAATGATGCTGTTATTAGTAATAATTCCTATCATTTTTGGAGTAGCTTTTAGTTGAAAATATCTAAATATTCCTTGAACTCCTGTGGACTTCTTATTACAGACTTTCAAGTCTAAGCTTTAAAATTGAGAAAAATCAATTTTCTGATTCCTGCCAACAGCAATTCTTGGGGGATGATTAAGGATCAGCATGGCATATTAACATTGTTGATCTAAAACAAAGCTAGTAATTTTCATCCTTTACCCAATGTTCCAATCAGTGTTCTTAAGTTAATAATGTTAGCTTCCTGAAGCGAGCCTGCAGTCTTTATATTTTCCATTTGTAAGATATAGTTCAATTGGATTTTAGCAAGCAGTATTTGAATTTCCATTCCATAAGGTGGTGCTGACTAAATGCTAAGTGTAGTAAAATTGGTATTAGATCTCTTGTATTTGGGCACTTTAAGGATGATCTGGGCATGAAAATAGGACATTATGCTGTAGACAGTGTATTAATTTTTTATGTGGCTTTAATAAATTGCCACAAATGGAGTGGTTTAAACAACTCAAATATCTTACAGTTCTGTAGGTCAGTAAGTGTAAGGGGGTAGATGCAGTTAATATTTACAAAAGGATTAAAGTACAATCTTTATTAATTTGTAAATAAAGATTGAAATCTGACACAGGTCTTAGTGGGCTAAAATCAAGGTATCTGTAGGCTGCACTTCTTTCTAGAGCATCTAGGGGAGCCTAAGTTTTCGGCTTATTTGGATTGTTGGTGGAATTCAGTTCCTTGAGTCTGTGGGACTGAGGTCATTGCTTTCATGCAGATTATAAACTGAAGGCTCTTCCCACCTTTTGGAGGTAATCACCTTCCTTGGCTTGCGGCCCTGTCCTCAACCTTAAAAGCAAGCAGCAGCAGGTCAGGTCCTTACATCAAATCTCTCCAACTTTTCTATCCCATACCACTCTGAAAACAGCGTGGATATAGTCTCTAATCTTAAGGATGCTTGTGATTAGATTGGGTACTTCCTGATAATCCAGAACAATCTCCCTATTTCAAAGTCCATTTTGCCATGAAAGGTTCTGGGGATTAGAGTACGAACATCTGTGGGGGAACATCATCCTGCCTACATGTGCAGTAAATGCAGTTTGTTCTGTAACTAAAAAATGAAGTTATTTAGAATTGGCAGCTTGAAAATTCAAGGTAAAAGCATTCTCCCAAAATGAATACGTATTATTTGCTTAAATCTCTTAAAGGAAGATAGTAGAAACACAACTGGCTTTTTATAGTACACCTTCTCCTCCAAAAATTGGGTTATTTTAGTTTTGGTTTTATCTTTACTTACTTAATCTTTGGTTAAGATTATTCAAAATAATAAAGATTATACTTTAATCCTTTTGTAAATATTGACTGCATCTACCCCCAAGGTGACAGCCATTACAATAGGGCAGATAAAAATGGAGCAACTTCTTTTTGCTATTCTTAGACACTGACAAGTCATTCAAATGAAAAGCAAATTAAAATGGAGCTACTGAATAGTTTAAAAGGCAAATGTTGCCTTTCTTTGCTATCTCTTACCCAAAAACTTCAGCTTATGATCCAAAGACAGACTGGCAATATTGTCTACTGTCTTTTATCATGCTCCAAAAAGCAGTTGATTATCTTGGAAGGGCTTCAAAAGCAATTAAGAAAATCCCTTATGTCAAGTTACATTTCAGACAGGACAAATTAGATGTATGGGAAAATGTCCTGATAAAGTACTCAAGAAATAATGAATCTGTGTACAATTTGTAATTGCTCCTGCAAAAAATTTACAACATAAAAGGGCCTGTTAACCTGAGACTGGAAGCGCACTGATGGATTTTTTTTTTCATTACAAATGCAAATGCTTTTTGAAATTGAGCCCAGAGCATTTTTAAATGTCCAAAATGTAATTCAAAACATTGTTTATTACATTTCTGTCTGGGCTCTTCACTGCATCACAAGCTGCTTTGTAAATGCTGATTTTTCAGCCAGCAGGTCTGCAATGAAAAATGGCCGATTTGGCTGGCTGATGTAGAGTGTGTCCTAAAGGGCATCTCTGCGACAGGATGAAGGGTAAGGGTTAGCACAAACGCCCCAGAAAGATGGTGATGGATGGTAATTGGAAAGACATTCTAGTTGTTAAGTGTCACTGAGAGTGTTGCCTTTGTTTCTACTTTATGTATTAAAGATAGACAGATAACCTTCTATCTGCATAACCCCATCCCTGTAACTACAGAACAATGCAGGCTCCATGGATCACAGATAATAAGTTTCTCAGGGCAGGGGTTGGTGGATTGGGTGCTGGAGGCTGGAGATACTTAGTCAGAACGAGGTATCATCTAGATAGAGTACTTTTATCACATTGCTGGAAAGTTCAAATGCAATTTCCTTCCCTTATGAACTACTATTCCCCTGTGAGTAAACTGATTTCAACTCTTCTAAACTACTTGGATTTTTTTCCTCAATTTCCTAACTTTTGAAGTATGGATGAGCTCATTGCTAATTTTCTCCCCCATGATAAACATTAGCAAGTGGGAAGTTATTATAGGGTTATTATACAATATTTATGGACCACTTTTTATTTGTGAAGTGTTTGAAGGTCTCTTAAATATGAACTGTTTCCAAATAACCTTGGGCTCATTTTTTATCTTGATCCAAATCCCATGGAAGCAAAGCAATCATGAAGCTCTCTTAAAAGTCATTGGGAGCCCCAGGCTCAGAACCCAGCTGTGCAGCATGAACTATTAGGCCCAGTGCTGCGGGAACCTTTGAGTAACTGAACCACGGGGACTGATGCTCATTTAGGAATCAAAGTTGGTGCTTTGTTTCCTGAAGCCTTTGCCTGAGCTGAGGAAGGTGGAATAAATCCCTCACAGGAGTTCAAATTGTATAGACTTTACTTTAAACACAAATTCTCAAAACAATTCCTTTTGAGACAGTTTAACAAAGTGATGTCTTTTCTGTTTAAAGACTGGGGAACAACAACAACAAAGCCAGTAAAAAAGCAAACTTCAGAGTATTCCTATCCACAGGATGACTCTGATTTTTTTTTTTTTTTTTTTTTTTTTTTTTTTTTTTTGCAGCTTGCAAGATTTAATAGAGTGAAAAAGAGTGAAAACAGAGCTCCCATACAAAGGGAGGAGACCCAAAGAGGGTTGCCATTGCCGGCTGGAATGCCTGGGTTTATATCCCGATCCTTGTCCCTCCCGCTGTGCTCTCGGGCAATAGATGATTGCCTATTTCTTTACCTCCTGTTTTTGCCTAATTAGCATTTTAGTGAGCTCTCTGATTGGTCGGGTGTGAGCTAAGTTGCAAGCCCCGTGTTTAAAGGTGGAAGCGGTCACCTTCCCAGCTAGGCTTAGGGATTCTTAGTTGGCCTAGGAAATCCAGCTAGTCCTGTCTCTCAGTCCTCTCTCTCAACAGGAAAACCCAATTGTTGTTGGGGAGGTTGGCCGACAACTGCTCTCACTGCTTCCTGCTGAATTGGGGCGTAGTAGGGGTTGTGCAGTTGAGATTTCCTCGGGAGGGGTGCCTTCGATGGATGACTCCGATTTCTAAGTTAGTCTTCATTAATGTTCTCTTCCACTTTCATCAGTCCGTGTTCTCTCTTGGTGAGCTTTTTCCAATTTTCATCCACAAATATCATCACAGGTACATACTCTGAAACCTCCCGATTATTTCTGTTATGTCCATCTACCTTCCTCTGCTTTATAACTTGATCATATTCCTTTTTATCTCTCACCAAAGTATGTTTTTCTTGATTTGTTCAGTTACCATTTGACATAATAATAATAGTGTCTACTAAGTACATTTCTAAGTGCTGTACTTGTATAAATTGTGATACATTTGTGATAAAAATAACCCTATTGCATATTATTACTGTGCCCATTTCACAGGTGGAAGGCATGAGACACAGTGATGATAAGTGGCTCCTTGCTGTCAGGTGGTGGAGTCAGGCTTCATGCCCAGGTGACCTGGCTCCAGAGTTCCCACTGCTTACCCCTGTTTTTCACTGGCTCTTGTAATTGGGAGAG
This sequence comes from Homo sapiens, assembly GCF_000001405.40. Lineage (NCBI taxonomy): Eukaryota > Metazoa > Chordata > Mammalia > Primates > Hominidae > Homo > Homo sapiens. Next base: position 163,534,698 of record NC_000005.10, read on the forward strand.
TATCAGCTTTAAGGTCACAGAGACCTGAGTTTGAATGCAAATCTTGGCATTTACATATAAACACCCTGGAAGTTTGAGCTTGGGCAAGTTTAGCAACTTGACTGAGCTTTAGTTTCCTCAACAGTAAAACAGAGATATTTCTGTGAAGAAAACTGAGATAACCCCTGTCAAAGTCCATGACCATGGTAGGTGCTTGATAAAATTTAAAATGTCAGCTAAGGCAGGGTGTGGTAACTCACACCTGTAATCCCAGCACTTTTGGAGGCTAAGTTTGACACCAGCCTTAGCAACAAAGTGAGACTTTGTCTCTACAAAATAATTAGCCGGTGTGGTGTTGCCTGCCAACTGCCACTGCACTCTAGCCTGTCTCTAAAAAAAGAAACGAGTGTCAGATAATTCTTTCTCTCCCTCAATGTTCTCAGCTTCATAATTTGCAAATGAAATTAACTAATTTTTATGTGTTGAAGAAGAGATTTAATATGTTGCTTCTAAGGTAATCTCAGATATCGTGACTTTTCAGGTTGGTGGACTTTTCAATACTACAGTCCACCTAGGAAGAGTTACATCTCTGAAATTGGACCAAGTCACATGTTCTTGGGTGTACTTATTTTTGATCTGGATCTTTTATATTTCACTTACATGTTCTTGTAAGTGAAATGATCTTCAGGAAATGTTTTGAATGAGGAAATGAAGTGGAGCAGCAACCACCTGCTTGTGGGTTTGTATCGTATCACGAAGGGCTGATGGGCCAGTCTGGTGCTCCAAGAATGGCAATGACCCATGGCAAATGCCTCGGCAGTGGTGGCAGTAGAATCCTCCCTGGCCATGGGGCCAGCTGTTTCTGACTGCACACCATGTAGTGAGAAGTTCCCTTTTCAACCTGGACATTTTCTAGGAACCACATGGGCTGTTAATTTTACAATGGCAAATATAACTGCAGATGGCTGTGTGCAAGATTGGGCTGCAGGATAAACATGATGAGGTACCCACTTTCTGGGGACAAAATGGAAAGCTTTATCTTTTCTGTTACACTTATCTCAACAGCAATTAGAATCACAAGCTATTGCCAAGTTTCAGGTACACTTACTGATATGTGATGAGAAGGATATGAAAAGTTTGTTGTATTCAACAAATGAGCCCTTCCTCGAATAAGCCCTCACATCATTTTTATCATCAGCTTGAACTAATACTTTGCTCTACACCCCCTACTTTACTTGACTTTTCCCCATGTAAATTTGGGCATGTTAATCCACAGGCATTTATTTATTATCTACTCTGTGTGCTTTCCTGTGCATTTGGAAATATCAAGAAAAAATCAAGTCCGATCTTCATCCTTAAGGATCTTGAAATCGAATAAGAGCTAAGAATAAAACATACACAAATGCTATACGAACATATTAATATTTTTGGAATGGCTATTTGCAAACTACCAGTTATTTAGTTTTTTTATAGATATAGTCTATGCATAAATTAAGCATATATTTATGTACATATTCCATTTTAAAAATACAGTTGAAAGGATGTTGTACATACTGTTGTATTCCTTGCCTTTTTCATTGAATAGTATGTTTTGTAGGTCATTTTATAGCTGTACATATGTATCTGCTCCATTATTTTAGCTCTGGGATACATGTGCAGGATGTGCAGATTTGTCACATAGGTAAACATGTGTCATGGTGGTTTGCTGCACCTATCAACCTCTCACCCAGGTATTAAGCCCAGCATGCATTAGCTCTTTATCCTGATGCTCTCCCTCCCCCTGCCGCACCTCCCCCACCCACCACAGGCGCCAGTATGTGTTGTTCCTCTTCGTGTGTCCATGTATTCTCATTGTTCAGCTCCTACTTATAAGTGGAAACATGGTATTTGGTTTTCTGTTCCTGTGTTAGTTTGTTGAGGGTAATGGCTCCAGCTCCATCTATGTTCCTGCAAAGGACATGATCTTGTTCCTTTTTATGGCTGCATAGTATTCCATGGTGTATATGTACCACATTTTTCTTTATCCAGTCTATCATTGATGGGCATTTGGGTTGATTCTATGTCTTTGCTACTGTGAAGAGTGTTATAATGAACATACATGTGCAGGTATCTTTATAGTAGAATATTTATATTCCTTTGGGTATATATCCAATAATGGGATTGCTGGGTCAAATGATATTTCTGTATCTAGGTCTTTGAGAAATCACCACACTGTCTTCCACCAAGGTTGAACTAATTTACATTCCCACCAACAGTGTAAAAACATTTCTATTTCTCCATAGTCTTGCCAGCCATCTGTTGTTTCTTGACTTTTTGATAATCACCATTCTGACTGGTGTGAGGTGTTATCTCATTGTGGTTTTGATTTGCATTTCTGATCAGTGATGAGCTTTTTTTTAAAAATATGTCTGTTGGCTGCATAAATGTCTTTTTTTGAGGAGTGTCTGATCATGTCCTTTGCCCACTATTTAATGTTTTTTTTTCTTATAAATTATCTCCCATTCTGTAGGTTGTCTGTTCGCTCTGATGATAGTTTCTTTTGCTGTGCAGAAGCTCTTTAGTTTAATTAGATCCCATTTGTCAATTTTGGCTTTTGTTGCAATTGCTTTTGGTGTTTTAGTCATGAAATCATGGCCCGTGCCTATGTCCTGAATGGTATTATCTAGATTTCTTCCCAGGTTTTTTTTTTTTTTTTTTTTTTTTGAGACAGAGTCGCTCTGTTGCCCAGGCTGGAGTGTAGCAGTGCAATCTTGGCTCACTGAAACCTCTGCCTCCTGGATTCAAGTGATTCTCCTGCCTCAAGTAGCTAGAACTACAGGTGTGTGTCACCACACCCAGCTAATTTTTGTATTTTTGTAGAGAAGAGGTTTTGCCATGTTGCTCCAGCTGGTCTCGAACTCCTGATCTCAAGTGATCTGCTTGCCTCAGCCTCCCCAAGTGATGGGATTATAGGTGTGAGCCACTGCACCTGGCCTTTAATCCATCTTGAGTTAATTTTTGTGTAAGGTGTAAGAAAGGGTTCCAGTTTCAATTTTCTGCATGTGGCTAGTCAGTCCTCCCAACACCATTTATTAAATAAGAAATCCTTTCCTCATTGCTTGTTTTTGTCAGCTTTGTCAAGGATCAGATGGTTGTAGATGTGCAGTTTTATTTCCGAGTTCTCTATTCTGTTCCATTTGTCTATGTGTCTGTTTTTGTACCAGTACTATGCTGTTTTGGTTACTGTAGCCTTGTAGTATAGTGTGAAGTTGGGTAGTGTGTTGCCTCCAGCTTTGTTCTTTTTGCTTAGGATTGTCTTGGCTATACGGGCTCTTTTTTGGTTCCACATGAATTTTAAAGTAGTTTTTTTCTAATTCTATGAAGAATGTCAATGGTAGTTTAATGGGAATAGCACTGAATCTATAAATTGCTTTGGGCAGTATGGCCATTTTCACAATATTGATTCTTCCTATTCATGAGCATGGAATGTTTTTGCTCCATTCTTTTTAATAGCCTCATAGTATGTCATGTGAAAATCAGTTATTTTCTTTTATTATTACCTTATTGTTGTCAGCCCAAACAGGTACATTGAATCTGATCATTCACCTTCTCAATCTTGACTTAAATGAATTTTAATTCATTAAAAAAATGACTCTTAAGGGAGAAAGTGTTAGTAACTGAAGATTTTGACATAGATGTTTGGGATATCATTGAAACAAGTATAGGTCTTTTCTCTGTGACTATTTTGAAGGAGATGACATTTAGTTGGATTTATATTCTGGCTTATTTATTTTAAAAAGCAGCCTTATGAAGTCACAGTCATAACAACATAAACAAGTGCTAAGAAAGCACTGAAGGTGTTCTGAGTATGGAGCAATTGTGAGAGTGATTTTTAATAAAGTGGTGCCCTTTTGTGTCGTGGCTGCCATAACAGTAGATGTAATCCCTGCCCCACTGCTCCATTCACATGTGAAACTGGGGCTTTGGCTTCCTTAGTCTACTTGCTGATTTTATTTTATTTTATTGTGGTAAGAATACTTGGCATGAAGTCTAACCTCTTCATAAATTTCTGAGTGTACAATTCAGTATTATTAATTATAGGGATAATGTTGTACAGCAGATATCAAGAACTTATTCATCCTGTATAACAGACTTTATGGCCATTGATAAGCAACTCCTATTTCCCCTTCCTTCTAGCCTCTGGCAGCTGTCATTCTACTCTCTCTTACATGAGTTGCACTACTTTAGATTGCTCTTATAAATGGAATCATGCAGATTTGTTTTTCTGTGACTGGCTTATTTCACTTAGCATAATGTCCTCAGGATCTATCCATGTTACCTCATATTGCAGGATTTCCTCTTTTTTAAGCTGAATAATAATTGACTGTATGTATATACCACATTTTCTTTATCCATTCTTCTGTTGATGGACAGTTAGATTGTTTCCATGGCTTAGCTATTGTGAATAGTGCTGCAATGAACATGGGAGTGCTAATATCTATTTGAGATCCTGATTTCAATTCTTTTGGATAAATATCCAAAGTTGAATTCCTGGATCATATGGTAGTTCTATTTTTAATTTTTTGAGGAATCTCTATACTGTTTTTCATGGTGGTTGCATCATTTTGCTTTCTTGCTAATAATGTACAAGGGTTCCAATTTTTCCACATCTTATCCAACATGAGTTGTCTTTTGTTTTTTGAGCCTAGCTATTCTAATAGGTGTGAGGTGATATCTCATGATGGGTTTTCTTTGTATTTCCCTGATGATTAGTGATCTTGAGCATCTTTTCATATACCTATTGGCCATTTGCATGTCTTATTTGGAGAACTATCTATTCAAGTTTTAAACCCATCTAAAAATCATGACTAGTTTTTTTTTTTTTTTTGCTATCAACTTATAATAATTCTTTGTATATTTTGTAAATTAACCCCTTATCTGATGTATGCTTTACAGGCATTTTCTCCCGTTCTGTAATTACCTTTTCAGTCTGTTGTTTTTTTCCTTTTCTGCACTCTTGTTTTTACTGTTGTTATTGTTTCTTTGCTTGTATGTTTAAAGGCATCATAAAAAAGAAAATAACATGCTCAGCAAACTTTAACTGGTAATTTCCATTTTTAATACCATAAGAGCTGATGCTTATAATGCTGTTTTAGAAATTCTGAGATGCCTGTATTATTGTTGAAGAAAAACAAAATCCATGCCAGTTTAGTTGCCTATATTTTATTCTAAAAATTTTTAATGCATTTAACTATTGTGTCAAGTGCTATCTATGCGTTATGTCATTGAATCCTCATGTATGTGAGGTAGGTATTCTATATTTCACCGGTGAAACAAATTCAGGGAAACTAAATAACACCCTAGTTACACAGTAAGTAGCAAAGATGGAACTGAGATCTGGTTGTATCCAAAGCCCATATTATTTTTGTTCTGCCACACTACCTCTAAGTCTTTGAAAACTGTGGATCTGAATGTTATACATATGCATGCACACATATACGTGCACATCCACCCACATACAATTACTAGAATAGTAGTTCTGGGACATTTGAGGTAAACTTTTGTTGTAGATAAGGGTTTAGACACCCACACTATAATGCTATACTGGTCTTTTTACTTCAAAAACCTTTTGGCAGCATTGCCAACAAGTAACCAATTTCAGTTATATGAATTTTATTTCACCCTTGTATTGTCTGCCTTGGGTTGGTGGCGATGTGATGAGTAGGTGGAAAAGTCATTGCTTAGTGTTCACTATGTGCTATACTAAGCAAAGAACTTTGTAAGATATACATGTGGAAGCCCATCTATATCATATTAAAGCCCACTTTTCTTGAGGAAAACCTGTGCCATGTGGTTCCTATAGACTGAACTCCTCTTCTGTGCCCTGTCCAAGGGTGGTCATATTATACTCACCTAGGGGCAGAATACCCAAGTTTCCTGGCCAAAATAATTGAATCAGGACAGGCATATGACCCAAGTTGTGTAAATTTGACTTTTCCTTGAGACTTTTGCAAAAGGAAAGGCATTTTCTCTTTATTTTCTTAGGAAAAATAGTAGTAAGGGCAATGATTAGTTGCCATCTTAGCCACCATATGCAGGCTTTTGCCTAAGAATGAAGCTGAGACAAGCAGAGTCAAGAGTTTGAGAAAAAGATTTGAACTCTTAATGAAATCACTTGAACCCTTTGATTCACTGCCTTGAACTTTCCAATCACATGAGTCTCCTTGGAGAAAGGGCTCATTCCAGGGCTGGAGTTACAAGATGAGCATAGGTGCCAGAGAATGAGGAAGTTATTCAAAAAATAATGGAGGCGTGTCAGAGGGACACAGGAATTAACTTGAAGGATCTCCCAATGGCCAAATCTGGAATAAGTTTAGTAAAAAATATAAAATAATAATAATGGATTATAGTACATAGAATAAATATGTGGGAGTCCATAGTGATATAGAGAAATAATTGAACAAATCAGAGAGATGGAACAGCTCTTCCTTACTGTAGAATTCCAGTAAATACATGTAGGATGCATGGTGGAAATAGAAACTCACCATTTGCTAAACACCACAGTAATAATTATTGCAGGCAATAAGTATTGATAGACGCTAAAATTAGTGGGTGGAAGTATGATGAGAAATAGCATATTTGCATGGTTTCAACATATCATCCCACAAAATACTATTTACAAAGGAAAAGTAATTTTTCAGTAGAGAAACCTTGTAAATATCACCTTGACTGAGTGATCAAAGCTCACGTCCCGAGCAATGAGACATATTGACGTGTGTCTATTGATATAATGCACTGAGGTTGCAACGTAACTTCCATGGTATTCTTCCTAAAAATGAATAATCTCAATCTTTATCATGAGAAAATATCAGACAAACTCAAATTGAGATACTTCTATACAATAGCTGGTTAGTATTCTTCAAGCGTTTCAAGGTTAAGAAACACAAAGACTGAGGAACTGTTCCAGATTGAAAAAGACTAAAGAGATACTAAGCTTAAATGCAATGTAGAATTCTGCACTTGAAAAAAAGACATTGTTGGCTGGGCACAGTGGCTCATGCCTGTAATCCTAGCACTTTGGGAGGCTGAGGCAGGTGGATCGCTTGAGTCTGGGAGTTCAAGACCAGCCTGGGCAATATGGCAAAACCCCGTCCCTACAAAAAATACAAACATTAGCCAAGCATGGTGGCACATGCCTGTAGTCCCAGCTACTTGGGAGGCTGAGGCAGGAGGATCATTTGAGCCCGGGATGTGCAGATTGCAGTAAGCTGAGATTGCATCATTGCACTCCAGCCTGGGCAACAGAGGGAGACCCTGTATCAAAAAAATAAACAAATAAATAAAAGAAAAGTAAAAAGACATTATTAGGACAATTGCCAAAATCTGAATCTGGTCTGTAGATTAAGAGTATTTTATCAATGTTAATTCCTTGGCTTTAATCATTTTATGACACTTACCAAGTTGATTATATTTGGGAAATCTGGATGAAGGGTATTTAAAGTTCTGTATGATATTTTTGCAGTTTTTCTGAGATTTAAATTATTCCAAATATAAAGTTATTTCCCTGTCTTGTCATTTTTAGTTATTTTAGGTTGGATTTCTCTCATCTGAAACAAAAAAAAGCCCTAATTTAATAAACACACTTACCTTGTTATTTTACAACAATGCTATAGTGTCAGGCATGAAACTAAGTCTTAGGTAGCTTAAATAACTTTTCCAGAATCACACAATCAATAAAAGAGCAAGGATTTGAACAAATATCTGCATGACTTCAAAATCTTATGCGTATTGTAAAAACAAACAACTGGATAAGTAATCCTTATTTTGAAATTTACCATATTTTCAAATCTTTACCTTGTTCTGGAGAAGACTTGAGGCAGAATACTTGAAAGCTGGGTCCAGGCTAGGAGAAATAATGGCACAATATTAGGAAATGTTTCAGTATTTGTGTTTTATAAGCATACAAGTAGGACTCAGTAATTATATGGTACAGCAGGGCACTCCAATTAGCCTCAATATGCACTTCCTGTAAAAATAATTAACATTTGACAGACAGTATGATCAAATAAACCAGATTAACAGAGGCATTTTTCCAATGGGATATATACTTGGTTTAAATCTTTGATTAACTGTTTTTCTATATTGAAGTAGTTTAAATTTAAGGAAAAGCAAACAGTAGGGCATGTTAAAATATCCATTAACTAAACATCATGAAAGGGTATAAAATGCCTCCAGCTGCCAAAAAACAATTAGGCTGCAAATATGCCTTTGGTTACCTAACCACACATTCCCTAAACATTTAGTTCTAATTAATTTTCTTCATTACACAACAATGCCTCTCCTAATTACACTAGAGAAATTCTATAAACCTACTAGCTATTCGAAGTCTTTATTGCACAAATTATTCTGGCAGGTCCCTATTCTAAGCAAATCCTCACTCTCTAATTTATACGTACCTCATCTCAGCAGACATGGTCTACTTAGTAAACCCTTGACAGCCAGGCAAACTAATCCTGTATGTGACCGTATTTCAAATTAGTAATTTTAGTGAGATGTACCATCAATGATGAATAATTGAAAACATACCAAGGTAAAGGTGAAGAGTACAAGCTCAGAAACCATGTAGCATCTGAATTCATACACATGTTGTCAAGGCTTGTGATCCCTGGACTTGCAATTGAGGCTGATTCAAAGAAACAAAATGGTGCTTTTACTGAACTCACAAAGGGTAAGCAGTCTTAAGGCACCAGAAGCAATACAGCAAATATAATAGTGGGAAGGACTGAATGGGTCCTAGAACCATAGACTTTTAGGGAGAGGCACAAACCATCACTCAATAAATAAGGAAATCAAACCCAGTGAACTGATATGATGTGACATGCTCAAGGTTTGACATTCCTTGGCAGAGCTGTGAGTACAAGTAGGACTCCCTAATTCCCAACCAGAGCCGTCTACACAAGACAGTGCCACTCTAGAGACAGTTTAGCTCAATTTATCAGGGCCTGGTAGCTGGCTGGTAACAATGTTTCTAAGTTGAGCAAAAGACAGAGTTCAATCCCTGCTAAGCCATTTTTTTATTTCCTTTCCCAGCCACATAAAAGTTTGTGATCTTAGTTATCAGAGTTTTGGAGGATGGCACGTGAGACAATCAGTACAAATGCATCCTTAGTATTCAAAACTCAAAGCCAACGGCTGGTATTTTAGCAGCTTCACTTTCTATGCCTAGAGCATGCTGATTAGCCAACTATTTTGGCCCGGGCCTGCGGATTGGCTTTGTCGCCTTCTTGTTTTAAAAATATGAATATTTGCTCATAGCATTAGGTAAAAAATAACCTACAGTTTTGCTACTTAAAGTGTGGTCTGTGAATCAGCAGCATCAATATCACTTGGGAGATATTTGCTCCCCAAACCTATAGGAACAGAATTTGCATTTAAACAAGATCCCCAGGTAATTCATATGTGCACAGAAGTTTGAGCAGCATAGGTCTCAAGCAGTGGTCCTCAAATTGTAGTATGTGTCCTTGAATTCATCTGGCGGGTACCTCATCCCCAGAGTTTCTGGTTCTGTAGGTCTGAGCTGAGGCCGAGAATTTGCATGTCTATAAGTGTCTCCAGAGGCTTCCGAGACAAAATCTTCAATGCTTCTGTCATAGGCTCTGCTTTATCTAGGATTTTGGGGGTGTTGGAAATTCGATTGCTGGAAGTTTTGGTAGCTAAGGACTCTACCAGAGTTGTTGTTCACAGAGTGTGGACTTGTGCAGTTTCTAAAGATGATTCTGGAAATTCTGCATATTTGAGGATAGCAATAAGTCAGTAGTTCCCAATTTTAGAGAGAGGTTGTTAACAGTACAGATTCCTAGTTACTATCACCACTGAAAAAGAGAGAAAGAAAAGAAAGAAAGAAACAAAGAAAGAAAGAAAAGAAAAGAAAGAGAAAAGAAAGAAGGGAGGGAGGGAGAGAGGGAAGGAAGGAAGGAAGGAAAAAGAAAGAAAAAGAGAGAAAGAGAGATAAAGAAAAGAAAGAAAGACCCACTAACTTCAAGTTAGTGGGTCCTGAATGAGGTCCTGAAATCTGCATTTTTTAATAAACATCCAGATGATTCTGAGACAGGTGGTCAATAGACACACTCTGAGAAACTTGATTCAAGTGATGGACATCATAGGAAAAGAGCAGCATCTGAGCCCTCTCAGCAGCTGAGTGCCAACATTGTCCCAATGCCGTGGCAAGTGCTTTTCATAATTTAGCAATTGAAGCAGTTCTAAGAAATCAGTCAACTGGGCCTGTTCCTCACTGATGTCCCAGTAGAACTTGTTCACTCCCCTTTCTTAATTATGTCTGGGCAGCAGTGGAGCACTCCGGCCGCCTGCTCTTTAATCTATTTATCCATCTTAGAACTCCAATTAACCAGGTGCAGCCATCCATCTGGTTAATATGAGGACAAGCTGTTAATTTGTGAATGAAAAAAGAGATACGCAGACAACAAGCAAACTAGCAAGGGCCTCTGTAAGGTAACATTGACTCCAATCTTTGCAAAGCAAGGTGGGGGAACAGGGAAAATTATTTTAATGAAAGAAGGAATTGCTGTTTGTTAGAGGGAAGGGATACAGAATTGAGGCAGCTTTTGGTACTCACATGATTTGCCCTAGGTCATCTCAGAATTTAGTAACTTTAGCTGTGAAATAGAAAGATAACAATACTTAATTTTCATTTCACGGAAGTTAGGGGATGCCATGACATCAAATGAGACAAAACACCTTGTAAAAGGCAACATACGGCCAGTTGTGGTGGCTCACGCCTGTAATTCCAGCACTTTGGGAGGCTGAGGCAGGCGGATCATTTGAGGTCCAGAGTTCGAGACCAGCCTGGCCAACATGGTGAAACCCTGTCTCTATTAAAAATACAAAAATTAGCGGGGCATGGTGGTGTGTGCCTGTAATCCCAGCTACTCAGGAAGCTGAGACAGAAGAATCGCTTAAACTTTAGCGTGCACTGGAATCACCTGGAACTTGTTAAAACCCATCTGGCTGGCCTCTTCCTCAGAGTTCCTCATGCAATAGGTCCAAGGGAGGCCTGAGAATTTGCATTTTTGACAAGGTGACTTTCTTAATTATGCTGGTTGTGGACCACATGTTGAAAACTACTGCTTCCCCGGATAATAAACAACTCTTCCCCTGGTAATAAAATATAAGCTTCCTTACTTGAAAAGTTCATATCCTCCAGCTGAAATTCCTACTCCTGGTGACCAATGTAGGAAGAGTCATATTCTAGGTTTAGAGCTGAGTGAGGCAGTAGAAAATATGCACCTGTGACCTTGGATGCATTTGTATAAAAAAACACTGTGCTAAGCACAATTTCTTTCTTTCCATGTGTTTGAAAAAATATTTAAAGCCTTCCAACTATCCCAGGAGTTTATGATCAAGCTGCTGAGACCAAATAGACCCTATAAAACACTTTGTGAATAATTACTGAGCAAAATAAACTATAAATGCAAAACAGCATTGCCTAAAGTTCCCAGGTGAGAACGCAGTCACATTCCTAAAAGCAGAAATCGGGATTTAAATTCCAAATGCTCAGAAAATCTACTTTATCACTTCTTTTTTTTTTTTTTTTTACAGCCAGCTAGAGGCAAACCTCCTGACTTCAGTTCAACCAGAGATGGGGTGAAGCTTAGACCTCAGTGTCTGCACTGTGTAATTAGATAAAGTTTGAAAATTGTATTCTCAGGGTGTGATCTGTGAACCATCTGCAGCAGAATTGCCTTAGAAACCTATTCAATGAGCATATTAAAAATGGTCTACTGAAATAGAAACTTGGGAGCAAGGTCTTGGAAACTTCTCATTCAGCCAGCTCTGCAGATAAATCTTATGTTTGTTTAGTTTGAGAGGACATGCTCCAGAAGCTTCTCCCCAACCCCACCCAGCACATCAAAGTTTGAGATGATCACACTGTCCTTGAGGTAACCCTGTGTATCATGCATTAATAAGTGGCAGCTGTCCAGAGATGTTTAATTTTCAGTTTGAGCCTCAGTTTCTGGGTAGCTCCAAGGTCCTAACAGGGACTTTATCCTGCCTGTGATAGGAGCCTTCCTTTTGCACCTGAGAGGAGCACAGAGCTCCATGCTGGACAGATGGGAGCCAGGGAAGAAAGACTCTGCTACGTGCAAAAGAGGAGAGGAATCCAAAGGGAGAGAAAATGATCAGGGTCTGAGGATGAACAGCCAGGCTGCTTTTGGTTGGTTCCTAGGGAGCTTGACAGTCTAGGTTAAGAGGTAAACTTGCTTTTTGTTCTGTGTGTGTGACACAGAGTCTCGCTCTGTCGCCCAGGCTGGAGTGCAGTGGCGCTATCTCCGCTCGCTGCAACCTCTACTTTCACCTCCCGGGTTCAGGTGATTCTCCTGCTTCAGCCTCCCTAGTAACTGGGATTACAGTCGCCCGCCACCATACCTGGCTAATTTTTGTATTTTTAGTAGACCCAGGGTTTCACCATGTTGACCAGGTTGGTCTTGAACTCCTGACCTCAGGTGATCCACCCACCTCGGCCTCCCAAAGTGCTGGGATTACAGGCATGAGCCACTGCACCCGGCCTGAATTGATCTTTCTTTTTCTTGTTATTGTTGTTTTTAGATGGAGTCTTGCTCTGTTGCCCAGGCTGGAGTGCAGTGGTGTGATCTCCGCTCACTGCAACCTCTGCTTCCTGGGTTCAAGTAATTCTCTTGCCTCAGCCTCTGGAGTAGCTGGGATTACAGGAATGCGCTATCACACCCAGCTAATTTTTTTAGTTTTAGTAGAGATGGGGTTTCACCATGTTGGTCAGGCTGGTCTTGAACTCCTGACCTCAAGTGACCCGCCTGCCTCGGCCTCCCAAAGTGGTGGGATTATAAGTGTGAGCCACTGTGCCCAGATGTTTTTTTGTTTGCTTGTTGGTTTTTTGTTTGTTGGTTTTTTTTCTTTTGATGGAGTCTCGCTCTGTCGCCAGGCTGGAGTGTGGTGGTGTGGTCTTGGCTCACTGCAATCTCCGCCTCCCAGGTTCAAGCAATTCTCCTGCCTCAGCCTCCCAAGTAGCTGGGACTACAGGTGTGCGCCACCACACCCAGTTAATTTTTGTATTTTTAGTAGAGGCAGAGTTTCACCTTGTTGGCCAGGATGGTCTTGATCTCTTGACCTCGTGATCTGCCTGCCTCAGCCTCCCAAAGTGTTGGGATTACAGGCGTGAGCCACTGTGCCCGGCCAGACTTGTTTTTTTAAAGAATCTGTTTTCTAAAAATAATTAGTCTTAAATTTACTCTTACTCTCTCTAAAGGGTAGGTGACATAAATATGGGCAGTAAATGTAGTCCTGTGGCCCAATTGTGAGCTTTGGGGTGGGGCAGTCTTTTTTCTAGAACTTCATTGAGCTCCTTTCTAGTTATGAAATTAATACATATCTAATGCAGACACCTCTAAAATCACCGCTGAGTGCAAAGATATGTAATCACACCAAATTAATCCGATGATAGTTACTGAGTGTATATCAGTGTGGGATTTCAGATTATTAAATAAACAGAACCAAACTCCGCATTTTCTACCTGCCATGTTCACCTAATATACAGTCACTATTTTTCTACCTTAAACTATATTCTGTGATCTGATTTTTTAAAATGACTGAATAGCTTCTTATTGTATCGATGTTGCGGTTTATATCTGTGGTCATTGATGATAGAATGTAGTAGTATCCTTTGATGGTTTCCAACAAGATTTCTTTATCTTATACCAGATGGCATTTCCTAGCTCTTGCCTGACAATTAAGGGATAATGTTCTGATTATAGTAGTTGTTACATTTTCCTCCCTCCAGACCAATTAAGTTCTCATTTCATATTTAGGGGCTCGCTGAAAGCAAATGCAGCAATCCCCAACCCCTTGTATTCTATTCATTAATTCTTGTCTTTGGCAAATATTGAAGAACTGGAGGTGATTGAGACACAAACCTTGTCTTCCATGGGTTTTATTCTGATGGAGCCCATGGGCAATATACAAATAAAAATAAATATATAATACAATAGCAAGTGGAGATAAGAATCAGTTAAATAGGTCTAGACCTATTACTATTAACTGGAAGGATATTCGTTATATTACAAACGTTATAACTGTCAGCAAAATCTGGGTCACAGGCTGAGGTCACGCATGGTAGACCAAGGGGAGGAGCTTGAGGGCCCCTCTTCACCTTCAATACCTGCACGCATCTCCATCAGTCACTGATGGTCTTTCTGGTTTCCTCTTTTATCTACCACATGAAAAGACTATCTGATTATAATTTGATGCCTGATAATTTCTAAGTTAGGTGGAGAACATCAGGCTTCCTTTCTAAAGGAGTCATTTTGTTTACAATGGCACTGCCTTTGCCTTGGTGCTGATCGTTTTTGTGGTTTTTCTTTTGTTGTAATCTTATCCTTTCCTTTCCTTTTTTTTTTTTTTTAATCGATGAAGGGTTTATATCGGGACGGGCAGTGTTGAGTATTTAGTTTCTTTTTTCAAATTGAGCACAATGATATTTATTACGCATTTCTGGTTTCAAGCTAATCAATAAAGGAGGCCAGCAAAAGCCCGCCCTTCCGGAGGCTCGGGCTCACTGAATGTGTGTGGCAAAAGCTGGAATTTTATCTCTTAAGAAAAACGGATGGATCCCACTGCTATCTGACTGCTCTGTCAGACAACAGATGAAGAGAAACCCCTCCAAAAAGTTGTTATGGTTTCTCACTGGACTTTCAGATGTCTGTTCACAGATGAGCTTCTAATTAACCAGAAATCTGTCTCCCACGAGGTCAATAAAAATCTGACACCTTTTCAGAAGTACATTTTGGAGTGACTTTCTGGTCATTTTAGAGAGCATTAAAACATAAAAGCATTTCGCTTTCCAATGGAAGTTCTTTTCTATTAGTACCAAAGATGAAATCTCCATGATCCTTTATATGTTTCTAAGCAGCATAGCTAAACATCTCAAAGAATTTTCTCATTATTTTTCTGTAATTCAAACCTATGCAAGCTTAAAGGGAACAATAATGATACCTAGGATTGGCTTGTGTAGACCCAGATGGCTTTTGCATATTTTCATTACACATTTATTTAGTAATCAGAAGAAGTTATTTTGATTCTTATATAACCAGTTCCTCAGCCAGAGTAAAGTCAGAATAAAGTGAACTATCAGGCGTTATGAATATACCCATATTAGAGGAAAATATCCTTTCAGCCCTATCTTTATGGAAAAGGACTTAGGAAGTGCAAGTTCAAAACTTGGTAAGTCTGACCACTGTAGAATTTATTTCCTTAGTGTGGCATGTGTAAATTTTTTTGTGGGTTAAAAAAAAAAGATTGGATCAATTCTGAGGGATTTTATGTGTGGAGTCTTTCTGGAAGAGGTCTTTGTAAGTATAAAAATCTTTCTAGGTAATGTCCTTGAAATGGGTAAGGAGGGAAATGATAAACTGAGATGAGACCTTTCAGAAGTGCTAACAGATCCTCAGACCTGACCTGACCATCCATATTAAAACAGGACCGTGGTCTCCATTCAGGAGCTTTTTGATACCTTTTGATCTAGATATGTGAGATGTCTGGAGTCAAACCTGGAGGGTTTCCACAGGATAGTGTGGCTGTTTGGGTTCCCAGAAGCTTCCTTTAGCAGGTTAAGCAAGAAGTATATTCTTTAACAACCAAACCTCCTGTTCCTTAGCGTTAATCCCCAGCCACGTTAAACACATGTTTCCAAACTTTGTATTTAATGCATATCTAAAGACCAGTTTTGTCAAGGATTTACTCTGTCTTCCTTGTGCTCTTTGAGAAACTTAGGCAAGTCCACACATATTTTTTATAGCCTGCCTCACTCTTTACTATATATGTCAAATGTTTCAGCCTTCGTAAGGGAACAACTGTGCTCTCTCTGGATATAAATGTTACTGCTGTCAGTGAACTCAAGTCTATTTGTTCAGTTATGGAATTTTCTCTGAGGTTGCTCACACCTGTAATGCCAACATTTTGGGCAGCTGAGGCAGGAGGATCACTTGAGCCCAGGAGTTTGAGATCAGCCTGGCTAATATAGGGAGACCTTTTCTCTACAAAAATTAAAAGAATTAGTTGGAAATGGTGGCAGGAGGATCCCTTGAGCCAAGGCCAAGGAGGTTGAGGCTGCAGTGAGCTATGATTGTGCCACTGTGCTTTAGCCTAGGCAACAGAGACCTTGTCTCAAAAATAGAAAAAAAAAAAAAAGAAAAGAAAAAAAGAAAAAGAAAAAAAAGAAGGAAAAGAAAGAACTCTCTCTGGATGCCTAGAATTGAATATTTATGTCCAGTCAGTTATTGTTCCTTTAGCTTCCAGGTGAAACTAGTAGGGGCAGGAGATAAAAATTTAGTTTTTCCTAATAATAATAATAATAATAATAATAATAATAATAATCATCATCATCATCTCATGGATACTCATTGTAGAAAACAGGAAAAAAATTAAAAAGCAAATCACACACACGTCACACACACACACACACACACACACACACAAACTCATGATTTTATCATGCAGAAATAGTCATTATTAACATTTTGGCTTACTTTCCTCTGGTCTTTGTTTTAGTAATAATATCGATAGAGCATTTGCCGTGTACTGAGTACTTTGCACCCATTGAGAGATAGGTAGTGTTATCCTAAGTTCCTAGAAACCACTATGTCACATACAGACTAGAGGGCAATGTACATTATGTTCTTGCACATCTACACACCATAATCAACAGACACATATACAAACATGCATGCATATTGGGTTCCTGTGTATCGGTTTCTCTGTACCTTATTTTACTCAACATGCTGTCATAAACATTTAACCATGAAAATAGATAATCTTTGAACATACCTTTTGTTAAGGCATACTATTTCAAGCTGTGGATATATCACAATCTACTTAGTCACTTCCCAGTTGTTTGCTTTTTGGATTGTTGCTGCTGTTTTCAGCACACTTGTTTATTCTACCAAATCAGAACCAAAATATCTATTTTCTGAGGCTTGAATATTTCCAATAAGGGTTAAGCCCATTTTTTTGACTGCCTGCAAACTGTCTCTTATATGAGGTTACAAACATATTATAAATAAACAGACTTTGAATTTGAACACTTCTAGAAAGAGGAAAGGGGGATTAGAACAACTCTAAAGGGTTGAAAGCCCACCTTGGAATCCAGAGCCAAGTCACACCATAACCCTTTCTCCCTCTTGACACCTCCATTAATTCCATACACAAGTTTTTTCAGGCGTGGGTAACTTTATTTTGATAAAATTATAAGCTTTGAAAATACTTGTAGGATATTGCACTGTATTTATTTGTCATGTATCTTTATTCTTTAATCTGATCAGCTACTTTTCTATATCTTTCTTGGTATCAACATGAGGAGCATAGGCCATTATTTTGTAGAATGTCCTTCAGTTTGGGTTTCTCCAGTGCTTCCTCAAAATTAGATTCAGGTTATTCATTTTTGGCAGGAATACCAGTTGGTGTTTGCCCTTTCTGTGTATCGTATCTGGAGACTCATGCTATCCATTGGTTCCATTACTGCTGATGTTAACTTTGATCCCTTAGTTAAAGTTGAGGGTGTGTCTGCCAAGTTTCTCTACTGTAAAGTTATTATTTTGCCCTTTGTAATTGACAATTTGTCAGGCAGTGTTTGAGAATATGTATGTATCCTATTCCTCCTTGACCTTCTACCCACTAGTTTTAGCATCTCCTATTGCTTGGACAGCTGCAGAATGGTGATTTTCTAACTTCATGATTCATACCCATTTATTAGCTGCTGTTCTACTATAAGAAAAAGCTTTTCATTTTCCTTTATTTAACAAAATTCTGTCACCAAAGCCCTCATTCCTGGGACCTTCATTTAATCGCTCACCTATAAACATTTATTAATATTGGTATAGGCTCATGGATTCTTATTTTATTTGCTGGTTTATAATCCATTACTATCATTTTTTTTTTTTGATGCTCAAATTGTGCCCAGATTTGGCCAGTAGGAATCCACCAGGCTGGCTTCTGTGTTTTCTTGGCAGGTCCCCAACATGTTGTAAGTACTGCTACATGTTGTAAGTTCTTGTGGAGTTTACATTTTGGTAGAAAGTCAGAGAGGCCTTTGGTATAGTTCTATTTTTATTCATCATGCTTGGTATTTCATGAGCTCTTCCATCTGGAAACTTAAGTCCTTTTGTTCTGAAAAATATTAAAATAATTTTCAGTTTTCACTTGAATGGGCTTTCTAATTTTCTTATCTTCACTTTATTTTCATTTCTTTGTCTTTTTTCTCTGATTTCTGAGAGATTTCCTCAGCTCTTTCAATTCTGCTGTTTAGATTTTTATTTCTGCTGTCATGTTCTTAACAGCCTTATCTATTAACTTTAAATTAAAAACGATATCCTGCTTGTGCTTCATTCCCATTAGCTTGCTGAAGATATTCATGAAACTGTTTCACTTGAAATTTCCATTTTCTATATAGTCTTTTTTCATGTTGCATATGTGTGTGTGCACATTGTGAGTGTGTTCTGTTGGTCTGCTTATTTTCTTCTTTCTTGTTAGATTCCCTCAAATATCTGGTGATCCTTGGCTTTCTGTTCATTTTTAAAAAATAGATTATTTTTTAGAGCAGTTTCAAGTTCATAGCAAAATGGAGCAGAAAGTACAATGATATCCAGCCCCTCCATCCACACACAGCCTCCCCTACTATTGACAGGCAGCAGGGTGGTACATTTGTTACAGTTGATGAACTTACATTGAAACATCATTGTCACACAAAGTTTACATTAGGATTCACTCTTGATATTGTACAATTTTGTAAAATGCATAATGACATATATCCACTATCATAGTATCATAAAGAATTGCCAGGCGCGGTGGCTCATGCCTGTAATCCCAGCAGTTTGGGAGGCTGAGGTGGGCAGATCACTTGAGGTCAGGAGTTCAAGACCAGTCGAGCCAACATGGTGAAACCCAGTCACTGCTAAAAACACAAAAATTAGCTGGGCATGGTGGCGGGTGCCTGTAATCCCAGCAACTCAGGAGGCTGAGGTAGGAGAATAGCTTGAACCTGGGAGGCGGAGGTTGCAGTGAGCCAAGATTGCGCCACTGCACTCCAGACTGGGTGACAGAGTGAGACCCCTGTCTCAAAAAAAACAGCAAGAAAAAAGAATGGTTTCCCTGCTCTCAAAATCGTCTGTGCTCCATGCATTATCCATCCCTTCCCCCGGCCCCTGGTGACCATTGATCTTTTTACTGTCTGTCTGTATGATTTTGCCTTTTCTAGAATGTTACATGGCTGGAATCATACAAGTCTGCTCATTTTCAAGTACACGGCATAAAAGATTAGAAACTGAGAGAGAGAGTGGGTATTGTCAAGTGTGAGCATCACTCCAGTGTGACTTCATCAGCAATCTTATTAGGGTACCCCAAATATCAGTATTGTTGGGTTTTTCAACTTTAGCTAGTCAGAGAAGTCTTTTGCCATGTTCTACCCAGAGGATATAATTTGGAGTGTCAACATTCTGGGGTCAGGCAGGGAAGAAAGGCTGGATATCTCAAGTTTTGGTATGTAAGCTTTCTCTGAATTCCCCTGTTTTTTGTTGAGGATCGCTGCCTTAGACTCTGTTTTGTCTTCCCTGGCCCTCTGTGCAGAGTGGAGGAGGGAATCTGTGTATCTAACTACTTATGAAATAGACTCTATCACTTTTCTAGTTTTCTCTTTTTTTTTTTTTTTTGAGACAGGGTCTCGCACTGTTGCCTAGGCTGGAGTGCAGTGGTGCAATCTTGGCTCACTGTAACCTTCACCTCCTGGGTTGAAATGATTCTCATATCTCAGCCTCCCTAGTAGCTGGGACTAATCATGTGCGCCACCACACCTGGCTAATTTACTTTTCTAGTTTTTTAGTCTCATTATTACTCTATGTTCCATGAGGTATCAAATGCCACAGGCTCCTGTGCATTTTGGGTTCTGATGTGTCAATGCATTTCTTCTTTAATCTCACTACTGCCAGTTTAGAAAATTCTGTTTTCTAGGTCTGCTAAATCAATTTCCACTTAATCTGTTTTCCAGATCCCAAAATTTTATATTCATTTTCTCTTCTGTTCCTTTTCCTGAGTTCGCACCTTTTTCTTTTTCAATTCCTTTACTATTGATATATGAGATTTTAGAAGAGAGGAGATAATGTGTGTGTTCTATGTGCTGAATTTTATTGAAAGTTTCCTGACACTTTTTTGGTGTTATGTTTGTATTCTTATGATAATAAAGCACATTCTTGACCAAGAAACCCCCTAGTTCATCTTTCTGCATCATTCATACAATTATAGGGTCAGAAGGGAGACAGATTTCTGTTCAAACAACTGCTCAGCCAGTATTATCTTTGTGCACCTGGTCAAGTCACTTCATCCTTCAAGCTTTAATTTCCTCTCTTGTAAAATGAAGATTAAACTGGTACTTGTCTCATATGAATGTTTTAAGATTATCTGAGACAATAGGTGCTAATGTGCCATCATGGTGGCTGCCATAAAGCAGGTGCTTGGGAAATGGCTGCCCTTCACCTCCTGCTCATCCTTCTGCCAGTTTAAGATGTGAACACAAAATGGTCAAAGAGTTGTGACATTTTCAGGAATTGAGCCTGTTTCTGAAATGCTGATTTTTGTGAGAGGGAATCTGTAGGTGTCACCTGGACGTGGCCTTTTGACATTCAAAGTAGAGTGATCCAATCCACAGGTGAGGGGCATAGCAGTCCTGGTGCATTTATCCATTCATTCATTCACTCATGCAGTAATGAGTGCCCATTGTATGGGGCATTTTAAAGTAAATATTATATATCCTGTCAGCAAATAACTGAATACTTCAGGATCTCAAAAAGGGACATTCTTTCATAGTAAGACTTTGTAGAATTAACATGTTCTAGCCAGGCCTGGTGGCTCATGCCTGTAATCTCAGCAGTTTGGGAGGCTGAGGTGGGTGGATCACCTGATGTCAGGAGTTCGAGACCAGCCGGGCCAACATGGTGAAACCCCGTCTCTACTAAAAATACAAAAAGTTAGTCAGGCTTGGTGATGCGTGCCTGTAATCCCAGCTGCTTGGGAGGCTGAGGCAGGAGAATCGTTTGAACCTGGAGGGCAGAGGTTGCAGTGAGCCTAGGTCGTACCGTTGCAGTGAGCCTAGGTCTTACCATTGCACTCCAGCCTGGGCAGCAAGAGCGAGACTCTGTCTCAAAAAAAAAAAATAAAAAATAAAAAATAAAAGAATTAACATGTTCTTCGTATTATCTAATATTCAATGAATATTGAAATTGTTTTCATTATTACACATTGTTTTCTAAATAATTCCTCTGTTTATTGACTTGGTTTCCAGATGTGATCTATTTATTGTTTTTTGATTCTGAAATCTCAATTTTCTTTTAGCTTTTTTACCCCTAGATCACTCCCTCTTCCTTTTTTTCCTCTGTGTATTTGCTTATTGAAGAAACAAGGTAATTATCCCATAGAAAAGTCTTACATTCTAAACTTGGTCAATGCTTCCTCAAGGTGAAGATTGACTTGTTCTTTTAGTTCATTGACTTGTTCTTTAGTCTTTGTAAGTAAGAAGGTAGAACTAAAGGCACATTAGTTTCTGCATCATTTCATTTTTTGTTTTTAGAGAAAATATAGTGTGCCATGTAGTTTATGTTTCATCACATCACGTAATATGTAATGATTCACTGTTAAGCTTTTTGTAATAGTAATATCAATCAGGATTCAGGTGGTGGTGTTCTTATCCTTTCAATGTAAAGTTTCCCATCAACATTTTATTTATTTATTTTTATCATCTCTTGATGACTGGATGATTGTTATGAGTTGAATTGTGTCCCCTCTAAATAGATAGATTGAAATTCTAAACCCTGGTAACTGAGAATGTGATTTTATTTAGAAGTAAGATTGTTGCATATATAATCAAGTTAAGATGAAGTCATTATGGTGGGCCTAAATCTAATATAACTGGCATCCTTATAAGAAGAGGGGAACACCAGGTGGAGATGGAAACACATGGGGAGAGGATCACATAATGACAGAGGCAGGGCTGGGATGACACAGACAAAAGCCAAGGAATACCAAGGATTGATGGGACCATCGACAGGGGCGAGAGAGACAAGACAGGATTCTACCTAGAGTCTCAGAAGGAGCACAGCCCTGCTGACACCTTGATTTTGGACATCCAGCCTCCAGAGCTGCGACAGAATGCATCTGTGTTGTTTTAAGCCACCCAGTTTGTGTTGGTTTGTTATAGCAGTCCCAGGAAACAAATACAGTGGCCATTGCCTGGTCTGGTTATTTTATTAAAGGTTGAGAAATAGTGATTTTTGTTTTCTATCAATTTTTTCTCCGTTTATTAGCTGGAATTCCTCTGAATGTAAATGTTTCTATCCTTCACTAAGGTTATTTTCATTGCCTTGAAGTTTATTTACCCTAGATAGGCATAGTATATGCTGACTGTTTTTTTTCTTTTTATTATAAAATTTCAAAGTAATAAGTTGGTGCTCTAGCAACCTTCAGGGATGTCCACTGAATTTATTTGTTTTTCCTGTCTTTCTTCTCTTTCCCTTTTGAATATATTATGGACTTACAAAGGAAATAAGACATTTCCTTATTTAAAGGAAATGTCGTTAATAAATTATTCTGGGCCCCTGGGCACAGTTGTACATGAAATATAGGGTTTGTATATTTCCCTTGAGTAAAATATATGCAAGGAAAATGACCTTGTTAGGATGTCTAAGAAAATGCCTTCTGGTGCCTCAGTGAGTGTCTACCTAAGTTCCAATAAGGTCAAAGTTGAGTTTGGTTGAGGTAATTCTCTGAATACCAGTATAATATTGGGTATAATTATTTTACTATTTATTCTTCAGTTTGATAAATTTTATATCTCCTTGGAACTGTGACCATTTTACCTGGAAGAGAATTAAACTTAGATGTATTGTCAGAAATTCTTCCTATCTCAAAACCGTTATGAACTCTGAATAGAATCCTTCTTTTCATGGGGCCAATGAGCAGCAGGATAAAGAATTGCGTAGTAGCAACTGGGTGGAGATTTGTGATTATTGCAACTTTGTCTTCAAAAACAAAAACTTGGTTATGAGAATTAGTGTATCCGAGGGAAAAGGACAGATTACTTAAAATTGTAACTATCTTGGAAAATCCAATTGTATCCTCTTAGCTTTGTTTCATCTCTCCTCACTAAATTCAAGCTCCTCTAGAACAAGGCCGTGTCTAACTTATCATTATATCCCCCAAACACTCAGTTTAATGTTTTCACAGAGTAGGTGCTCAATAAATAAATGAATTTAGTTAGAATTCAATGCAATTAAAGTTCCTCAAAAGACCAATATACTTTAGACAAATTTAGAGCAATGAACATCACGTGAGAAGATAGAATGGATCCAATTACCATAAAAAGGATATATTAACTACATTCAAAATTATGTGGAAGTACAATGATAAAGATGCTTACAATATAAAAAGGTTATGTTGTAACATAGTATCCCATTAGATAAAGAAAAATGGTAGGTAATATTTCAATATGAATTTAAAAAGAAGAATGTTTTGTGTGAGGGAGTGTGTGTGTGTGTGTGTGTGTGTGTGTGTGTGATGGGCTTTATTAGTCAGGATGCAATTAAGCAAAAAGAAACCATATAAAAATCTCAATGTGAGGAATCTAACATGGAGAAATGCTTACAAGGTTAGATTGCTGAAAAAGCAAGAAGGGAATACTGAGGTATCACAGAGACAGTAACTGTGGGACACAGCTACTTCACCTAAGATCGAGAAGCAAAGGATGTGGCCAGGGGTCATCAGTGCCTCAGAGGAGGGCTCAGCCCTCTGAGGAGAGAGCATTGCCTAGTTTGGGCTGGTACCTTTCGAAGGAGCTCCACAGAAATGGTTCTGGGAGTGCTTAAAAAACCTGGAGGCTGGAAGTGAAACTAACTGCACTCCTCAGGCTCAGTACCATTGCTGGGGTGATACTGACAGAAACAGCAAGGAAACTGCAGGTGAAATGTTCCTCTCCCTTCCTGTCCTCCAATCTCCCTCTAGTCAGAAATGGGAGGGGTAAGCGACACAAAGAGGGGAGCAATAAACACTGGAGCTTACTTGAGGGTGGAGGGTAAGAGGAGCATGAAGACTGAAAAACTACCTATCAGGTACTGTGCTCACTACCTGGGTGACGAACTCATCTGCACACCAAACTCTAGCAACACACAATTTACCCATGTAACAAATCTGCATATGTACCCCCTGAACCTAAAATAAAAGTTGGGGGGGAAAAAAAAAGGAAATGTGAGGTGTGAAGTCCCAGTCGAAGCATCACAAAGAAGAATATGCAAGAGTAGCTTTGAAGTAGGGAGACAAGAACTTAATCATGGTTGTATCAGGGAAAGAGATATAGACACCTGGTCTCACCCTTTACGTACTTCTGCGTTGTTTGAACTGGGTCTATGGTGACCAAGCCTTACTTATTTTTTGTGGAGATACGATTCACATACCCTTCTAAAGTATACAATCCAGTGGTTTTTTAGTATAGTCAAAAAGTTGTGCAGTTACAACCACTATGTCATTCCAGAATATTTTCCTCAGCGCAAAGAGAAATTCCATGCCCTTTAGCTGTCACCTCCTATCCTCCTACACCACCTACCCTCTGGCCCTAGGCAATCATTAACCTACTTTCTGTATGTGTAGATTTACCTATTTTGGACATTTTATACAAATTGAATCATATAATATGTGGTCTTCTTTTGCTTAAAAAATTGTTTTTAAGGTTCCTCCATGTTGAGGCATGTGTAGGTACTTTATCACCTTTTTTTTTTTTTTTTTGAACAGAGTCTCACTGTGTTGCCCAGGCTGGAGTGCAATGGTGCATGATCTCGGCTTACTGCTACCTCCACCTCCTGGGTTCAAGAGATTCTCCTGTCTCCACCTCCCAAGTAGCTGGGATTACAGGTGCCCACCAACTCGCCCAGCTATTTTTTGTATTTTTAGTAGAGACAGGGTTTTGCCATGTTGATCAGGCTGGTCTTGAACTCCTGACCTCAGGTGATCCACTCGCCTTGGCCTCCCAAAGTGCTGGGATTACAGGTGTGAGCCACCATGCCTGGCTGGTACTTCATTACTTTTTATGGCTGAATAATATTCCATTATATGGACATACAGCATTTTCTTTATCCATTTACCTGTTGATGGAAGATTGGGTTGTTTCTCCACTTTGACTATTATGAATAGTGCTTTTATAAACTTTTATATACAAAATTTTGTGTGACCATATGTTTTCAATTCTATTTGTTATCTACCAAGCAGTGGAATTGCTGGGTCATATGGTAGCTCTATATTTAACATTTTCAGAAACTACTGAACTGTTTTCCACGGCAGCTGCACCATTTTCCATCCCTAGCAGCAACGTATGAAGGTTCCAGTTCTGTGCATCCTCACCAAGACTTGTTATTGTCTTTGTGGTCATTGCCATCCTCATGCATGTGAAGTGATAACTTATTAGGATTTCTCTCTATAAAATGAAATTATACATTATTAGTAACCCCAGCATCTTTTCATGTGTTTCTTGACCATTTGTATATATTATTTAGAGAAATATCTATTCAAGTCTTTTGCTCTTTTTTTTTCTGCAACAGGGCTTTGCTTTGTTGCCCAGGCTGGATTGCAATGGTGTAATCATGGCTCACTGCAGCTTTGACCTCTCTGGCTCAAATGATCCTCCCCACTCAGCCTCCCAAGTGGTTAGGACTACAGGTATGTGCCACTGTGCCTGAATAATTTTAAAATATTTTGTAGAGATGGGATCTCACCATGTTACTATTGTTCATTTTTTAATTGAGTTGTTTGTCTTTATGTTGTTGAGTTGTAAGAGTTCTTAACGTATTTTAGATACCAGATTCTCCTCAGATATATGATTTAAAAATACATTCTAACATTCTGTAGGTTGTCTTTTCACTTTCTTGATAATGTTCTTTGCTGCACAGAAGTTTTAAATTATAATGAAGCCTAATTTATCTGTTTATTTTCTTTTGTTGCTTGTGTTTTTGGTGTCGCAGTTCAGAATCCATTGCCTAATCCAAGCATAAAGATTTATATCTGCTTTTTTGTGTTTTACAATTTTAACTCTTACATTTAGGACTTTGATAGAGTTTGAGTTAATTTTTGCATGTGGATATACAGTTGTCTCAGTATTATTTGTTGAAAAGACTATTCTTTTCGCATTGAATTACCTTGGCACGCTTGTTGAAAATAAATGGATTTCTGAGCTCTAAATTCTATTCCATTGATATATATCCCTATCTTTATGCTAGCACCATACAGTCTTGCTTAGTGTAACTTTGTAGTAAGTTTTAAAATTGAGAAGTTTGAGTGCTACAACTTTGTTCTTTTTCGAAGTGTTTTGGCTATTTGGAGTGCCTTGAATTTCCAAATGAATTCTAGGGTCAGCTTGTCAATATCTGCAAAAAAAGGCAGCTGAGATTTTGATAGCAGTTGCATTGAATTCCATGCTTTACTTTTAGGAACAACGCTATTTCCATTTTGACCAGAAAATCTATGTTTTTCAAGATGCTAGCTCTCTTGGTAAGAGGCATTTATTGTAAGCTGTATTAAATAAGCTCAGATTAAAATAAAGATTTTGTCTCTTTTTAGAGCATATAACATTTATAACTTTAAATTTATTTGGGTGCAATAAATATTTGTGTAATTTTGTGAAGACAGGAACTATGTCTAGTGCTGATCACTGTGTACCCAGGCTAAGCCTGGCAGCCTCTACATAGAATTTGCTCAAAGAATTGTCAAGAAATGGGGACATCTTCTCTAACAGGCCAGGGAAGAGGAGCAGAAGGGTATGTGGTCTGATGCTGTCCAAGGTCCCAGGATATATTAAAAAACCCCTCAGTTTGACCAGAAACAAACGTATGCACGGTTTACGATTTCATTTATATGAACTGTTCAAAAATCTGGGGATGAGAATACGGAGTGACTGTGATTGGCATGAGGTTTCTTTTTAGGTTGACAGAAATGTTCTAAAATTGGATTGCCGTGATGATCGTTCTCTGTAATTGTACTATAATTCATTCAATGGTACACTTGAAAACAAATTTTATGGTATGTAAATTATATCACAATAAAGCTGTCTAAAAAAGAACTCCAGCTTGAAACTGAGGCCGTAACCCATTTTTAATTTTTATTGAGGGAAACAATACAGACAAGGCAAGTCAAAGGGGGTGATATTTCACTGGCAAAAAAAAATGTGGAGGTGGAATGATTGAAAGGGATAGTGGAGCTGTACAAAGCAGTTGGGACTGACGCTCACAAAAAAGGTGATGAGGGATCAAGGGCCAAGAGTCCGGTAGGGAATAGGTCTAAAAAAGGACTTGGAATACAAAGTAGAGAAAGGACATGAGGTTGAAGAGAGACTTGGGACTGGAAGCTTAACCCCTCTGCCCAGTTCTTGACAGTGAAGAAACAAAGAAGGTCATGGTCTTGCTTTCCAGAGGTACTAGGGGGAACCACATTTGAAATGCTCCAGGGCAGGGCTGGTCACCCTGGTGTGAAAAGACTATAGCAACTGCCAGAGAAACGTGACAGTGTGAAAACCTTCCATTTAGGAGTCATCAGTTCGCCATTCACCCTTGTCAGCCCAGCTGCTGGGATGGCTCAGAGGGAAAAGAAATGATTGATAGTGGCCCTTGACAGGGTACAAGGGAGAAAGTAAATGTTCGACAAATGACTGCAGGTCATGTTGGCCAGGCTCTCTGACTCCCAATCCTGCTCTTGAACTTTATGATGGAGAGTGTGCCTCCCTCATAGTCTCTTCAGTCTAAATCACTTGCACGGCCTGAGCAACATAGGGAGACCATGTCTTTACAAATAATTAAAAAATCAGCCAGAAGTGGCGGCTCGCATCTGTGGTCCCAGCTACTAGGAGGGCTGAGGTAGGAGGATTGCCTGAATAGGGGAGATGGAGGCTGCAGTGAGCTGTGATTGTGCCACTGCACTCCAGCCTGCGCAATGGAGTGAGACCTTGTTTCAACAGATAAATAAATAAAAGCAAAATAAATCACAAATGAAGGACTTCTGCTTTGATACTTTTGTTCACTTGAAGCTAAAATGGACTTGGCCTTCAAATGCAGTTTTGTTTATTTACAATGTCAGCTCTCGCAGCGTTCTTTAACATGAATGATTGCCAGGAACTATGTTAAGATCTTGCCAAGCGTCCTCACACCAACTTGAAGAGTGAGGGACTGTCAGCCCCACTTTACAGATGAAGATATAATCTCAAACATGGATTAACTTGCTGAGATCACACAAGTAATAAGTGGCAGAGGTTGGGGCTTCGACTTGGGTGTGTCTGAAGCCAAAGCCTGTTTTCTAGGACACTTTCCTGTCCCCTCTTTCCAAATATTGACCTATAATGTGAATCCTTACACAGAAAAGTGGACCAGCAATTTTGCCCTCTGCCTACAGGTTGAGTAGTAGGGAGTGCCCGTTGATTTTGTGGCAAGGGCTGGCACAGTGCTGGGAGTTGGGGCTGGGCCTTGTCACAGCAGTCTGCAGCCCTCAGATGCTCTGGGTCCAGCTGGTTAGTACCAGCCAGTCAGACAGCATTTTCTAACACTGATTGCAGCTGTGTAGACCTGGCAGCTATGTCAGGCTCCCAAAATAAAAGCTTAAGGGTCTTTTATTTTGTTACCAACTGGCCTGGTTTTGACACTTAACTGGGAACAACTAGGCTTTCAAGTGCTGGGTTATATGAGCTCAAGTTACCCACTGTGTTTTCAGATTATCACTTAAACAATCACATGCATGAAATTTAAATCTAGCACTTGCACCTAAATTCAAACTAGAATGTTACGTTAAAAACCTACAGGCTTTGTTCAATCTTGGAGAGACTTTAACTCCCAAGGGAAAAAAAGAGTCCTATTGCACCTCAATCCTCCCTAGGGTGATGGTAAGGATTAAATAGATGGCATCATTTCCATTTTACAGATAAGTTGGATCAGAAGGGTTTCTATCTTGAGTGTGCCTGGCACCTTGTTTTACATCTGTATATACTCCACTGAAAATCATTGTTTATTGGTTGAGTCACCCTATAGTCAGGAAATGGGAAAAGGAAATAAAGGTATGATTTATGTAGTTTTAGGTGTACCGTTGTTTCCATTCTGTCTGGTTCACCATCCTGGGGAAGTTTTCCTTTCTACTCTGTGTCCAAGTGTTGAATTCCTCCTACCCTGTGAGAGGATGACTACCCAGAAATGACCTCTGGGGTTATCTTGGACTTGAATGGTGCAGAGGTAACAACTGATGGTGTGGAGCCTACAAATGAATGTGAAAAGCAACAGGTCTTCCCCCGCCAGTCTCCCTTGCAGCAACCCCGCAGGAAGGCAGTGAGATGAAAAGCCAGGTATGGACCCCTGTGGCAGGGAAGTGTCCAATGTCATCATTAGGTCAGAGAATTGCACCTCCTTGCTATTCAGCTATTTTAATGACATTTTTTCCCACTTGATTTCTTCTCCTTGCTATAAGGTAATTCAGTGTGGAATGAAACCCAGAGACCGGAATCTGATTTGAACAGAGGTTTTATTGTAAGCGGTATTTGTGTTCTTTATTCTCTTTATTTTTATTTTATTGTTTTTAATTTATGTTTACAGTCAACACAATAAGCCCAGTTTTTGTGTTCTTTAAAGTGTAAGTTTTTTTCACATATTGTTCAATGTTGTAAATGTTTTATATTTATGAAAACTACAGTTTTTAGTCATAACCTTTCAAGCCTCCTTGGGAAACAGCTGCACTATTCTTTTAGACCACACGAGGGCAATGGTGTCACGTGTAAAAGATGCTCGCCTGCTGCTTTCTGAACAGATGGCACATTTGTTAGACTTCATTGGATGTATTTTTCCTTTATTGAAGCACAGGGGAATTTCGCATTTGCAGGTAGAATGGGGAAAGACAGTTAAAATTTTATACCGTATTTTTATCTCTTTGTTTATGCTGATAAAGGTAGCAAAGGCAGTTGATTTTTTCTCTTTTTTGCTGTTTTGAGGGATTGGTGTGCTAACAAGTTGAGGTCAGCATTCATTACCACAGTGACCCTGGCAGAAGATGCTCTGTTGATTTTGCATTTCATTGAAAATGTCACAGAGATAATACATAAACCCGTCTTTCCCCCCCAAACCCTCCAATACCCTTTCGATATGATTCTCATCCTGTTGTTCCTATTGGATTATCTTTGTGATTAATGTTTCTCCACGCCCATTAAGTAGGGAGACTACAGCCAGCTTTCTCTGAGGATACCTTGTGTGACCTTACTTACTCCGCGGTCACAGAAACTCTGAAGTGTTCCTTTCACGGATGGGCTTGGTCCTGCTGGGTTCCTAATGTCCCCCAGTCTCTCTGGGTTCTGGAGGTCTTCACTCAGAACTAACCAGCTCACTCTTCCTAAGGCAGAATAATGCAGAGGTTTCACCCAAAAGTAGGCAGTACTAGCATCTTTTCTATGGGAATATTTGGTTTGCCATGTTATATTGGCCTGTCCATTTTAAAAAAAATTAGTTTTCAACGCTTAAATGCAAAGACTTCTCATTAAAGATCTAGGTTTCTTGCTTTTCTTGAAACATCGGACAGCATGGTATTTCTAGCCTGAACAGCCCCTGGTGACAATCGGCAGAGCCACCTTTGTGGCTTTATGCAGTCACTGCACACACAGATCTTCCCTTTTGTTTTCCTGACACTAAGGGAGGTGCCCTTTTTAACCACGTTTGTACTCTTTTCGTTGTAATAAAAAGGAAAATGAGAATTTAATACCCATGCCCGTCTCAAAGGAAAAAAAAAAATAGAAAGGTATAGTAGGAGAGCCACATGTCTCAAGAAAAAAAAATGATCCTAAATCTAGACCTCCCTGCTGTAGCACTTAGAGTAATTGCCTGGCCTTGCGGGCATTCGATTTTCAGCACCTGGGAGAGCTTCGTCTTTAAAAGTGGGCTGGCCTGGGGTTGTCCTTGGTTAAACCCCAAGGACACTTGAGAGTCCAGTCATCTTTTATCCTGATGGTTCAATGGGGACAACCTCATTTAATCTTACAACAGCCTGCGAGGTAGTCACTGTCCTATATGGGTACACTGCTTAGCGCCATACCGGGCACGCGTTCAGAGGTCGACCACGCCCTGACTTTTCCTTAGCTTTATTTTGGAAGCAGTGGGTTTTAAGGCTGGTGCTCCTCGGAGCCTCCTAACCATCACTCGTTTGGCAAGTTGCAGATACACTGCCTGACTAAGCTGGGAGAAAGAAAGGGTTAAAGAAGGAGAGCGGGAGGGGAAAACCCTTTGGATCGTGGGCTCTGACCCAGACGCGTCTCCATGCCCGCTCTGCAGCCTCGCGGTGGCAGCTGAGCTGCACGTAGCTGGAGGAGGCTGCAGGAACAGACAGGAAATCCATTCTTGTTCTGCAGATACGTCGGCAAAACTCCCAAAGCAAACAGCAGAGGAAGTTTGCTTTAGTGGAGACAAACTCACAACTTTGCTCTTTCAAAGCCTCTGTTTACAAGTCAAAGCCCAGGCTCAGTCGGGCTTTCTTCCCACACTCACCTCCAGAGGTGCTGCCTGCGGGCGTTTCGCTATCAAAGACCCGCAGCGCCGCGGCCGGTCCGGGATAAGCCGGTGGCTGCGGCTCCAATGCGGAACCGGTTCTCTAGCCGCTAAGGAGCCAGGGCTGCTCACCCCAGGCCCCCTGAGGTTCAAATTTGGGAAACGGAGAGATGGGGCGCGGGGGAAGCCCTTAGATCTAGTGAGCCCTAGAGTTGAGCATCACGCGCAGAATGAGGTGACTCAAAAAGGAAATTGGCAGGTGCTGGCCTTGGGTAATTTCCCAGTGCCCAAAAGTGCTAAACCACGCTGCTCAAAGAATAGAAGCCACCAAAATATCTGAGTGGTGGTGCTGGCTCTGTCACCTGAACTGTGTCCAGTGTTATACCTGAATTGGGTGTATCTGTTAGCTTAAAATAAGATAATACTGTAATAGCTAGAGTCTGGAATAAAAATAAGTTATCTAACGGTGAAGTTTGGTGACTTTTTCAAAACAATAGCACAGATCTTATGTAACTTTATATTCCAATAAAATCTTTCCTGTGGGGGAAGTGAGTAAGATGGTGCTTTCAGCTGATTAACAGGAGACCAGGCCCAGGGGTACCAGGCAGACAGAGAACATGGAGATCGGGTGAGTGGCTGGCTTTCTTGCCCTTGAGGAGCTGAAAGCAAAAAGATCTCAGATAAGGTGGAATACTGTGTTCAAAGCCAACGGTTCTGGGGGCAGCTGCATTTGGTTTTGAATCCTGGCTGTGATGCTTTCTAGATGGGGATGTTGGGAAAATCACATACTCTCTTTAAAACTTAGTTTTCCATTGCTGAAAAGGGGATGGAGAGAGCCGTTAAGCACTTCCTCAAGGTTACACAGGGGGCAAATGACAACGCTGACTTTCAAACAGAAATGTCTGATTTCAGAGCCTGCACTTTTCACTGCATACACTTCCATTGATTGAAAACCACAGCCCACCTCCCCAACCCTTGGAGCCCACGCTCCTTTAGATTTAATCTCAATGCAGATCTTGAGCTCTTAGATCTAGGGCATTCCATCTTTGCTGCTTATGTTATGATTGCTCAGTTCAGGAACCTCCCCTCTTTCTGTCTATTCAGGCTTTCCAAGTCCTTTGTAATCTGGCCCCAGTGTTTTTCCAGCTGAATCTTCACCTCTTCTCAACCATAATTCCTGGCTAATCCTTGTGCCTTTTCATGCCTTTTTCTCAGGCCATCCGCACTTTCTGTGATACTCTTCTTTTTTTCTGCAAAAGTTGGTGTGGTTCTCTGCCCCTGCATTTCTCTAAACTATTTGTTTCTAGAGTGTGCCCCGTGGGGTTCAGTGGTCAAATAAGCTTGGAGAATGATTGTTTTTTTCAAATGGAGTTTTATGCTAATGTGCATTATAAGTTCCTCAAAAGATGCGATTGCATGCAGGGTTTCTCAAACAATTTAAACCTAGGAATTTAAAACTCACTCTTCCTCCCTCCCTCTTCTATTCTTTCTTCCTCCCTTCCTCATTCTCTTCCTTCCTCCTCCCATCCTTTTTTGTTTTCTTTTAAAATATTTCATGGGGCTACAATGCCATACTATGTGTTTTGGAGGATACAGCTCTCTTATAGTTATGGTGACTGAATTCCTAAGTAATGAGCCCAAGGCCAGACTTGAGGACTAATTCTATTCCTAGACAGGGTATGATGAGGGCATCAATTAGCCCTGATGATACTCTGCTGAGAATTCATTTTTTGCATCTAGAACTATGCTCTTTCCGGCTTGCCTAGTAACCAAAATCCTGTCTTATAAGGCATTCCAGTAAGTGCATTCCCACTTTGGGCTCCTGCACATTTTCTAATTCCTTTGGCCTGATTTGTCATTCCAAGGTCTGGCATCCTACCCAGACCCCAAACTGGACTCTGTATTGCTAGTTTCTCTTCATGGCATGGCTTACATTGCTACCTGTGTTCTCTCAATCTGCCTTTCCTGGTGGCCTGTCTCAGTATCCCAATCTTCATTATTGGCTCTATGCCTTTCTGACCCATCCTAGCTCTTTGTCAAGTATTTGGTCTGGTTTGGTTGTTGAAGACTTTAGGCTTTTGGGCCAAACAGTTCCAATTCCAGTTCCACGATCTGATAATTGTACACTCTGGAGTAAGTTACTTCACTTTGGACCTCAGCTTTCTCATCTATTAATAGAGGTAACTCCCTCATACAGTCCTTGTTGGGATTAAATGATAAACTGCAGGTGATATGCTGCTAATATCACGTGGCACAGAACAAGAGGGCAATAACTATCAGTCGTTATATTACCTAAGTCTCAAAGGCTTCTTCGATCAGTTTAGCCCACACTGAGCCCTCTGGTCTCTAAATATTTTGTGCTCGGTGTCTCATACTTAGCACTCAATGCTGTATGTGACTTAGTTACACTGTCCCAAGCTAGATTTGGAGTTATTTTTTTTTTTCAAAATTATGGATAATTTCATACATACTCATTAGTAGAGAGAATAGTAGCATGGATCCTCCTGCAGTTGTCATTGAATTGAGATTTTTGGGATAGCTCTTTTTTACCTTGCTCTACTGTTAAATGTATTATTGGTCCATACACAGGTGACAGGGAATTTGCCCTGACTGAGCAAGAGCTACCCACTGTGTGTGAGGCTTCATATAAAGAAGTACCTGCTCAGCCTCTCTTGGAATATGGGACCACCACAAAGTCTCTGTTTTTTTCTAAAGAATGGGGAGATGGAAGAATGGCACCCTCTCATATGGTTCCTGGAGAATCCACTTCACTTTCCAAAACTTTATTCTCCTGTCTCCTCTTGTCAGTTATTCAAGGCTTGAATTGTGTTCAATTCATTTTGTATCCTCAGCCCCTAACAGAACTTGGTGCAAAAAAATCTTTGAATGATTGTCTTTCCATTTTTGCTAAAGTTTTATTAGAACTGTTTTCTAGTATCAGAATTGAATCCCAGTTCTAGACCTAGAGCCTTAAGGCTGCAGACCTAAAGAAGACAGATCTCAGAGCTAAATCTCTCTCTTCTCTCTCTCTTTTTTGTACTGGATGATTGACATCTGAGGACACAGCATATTGACTTCTTTTAAGATGTTGAAACAAATAAAAACTATGTGCAGGAGGAAACATGATCCTACATTTATTTATGAGGCATCAGACAATGTCTCAGGAAACAGATGTTTTGTGCTGTAATTCCTCTTGATGGCACTGGAGCCTTAAATATCATCGCAAGTCCAGCCTTTCACATTCTAAATCCTATTATCTAGGTTAGCTCATCTGTATTCAAAAGATCAATGTTGCATTATTACAAAGATCCTTTCAAGTGTAAAAAGGATGGCACTTCATTACAGAAAGTAAAAGAAACTAATCAAACTTTCTTGGTGAAATCATTGACTTTTTAAAGTAAAGGGCAAATTTAAGAATTTGAAAGTCCGAGATGCGAGAGAACCCAGTGGTTTAGGCTCACCCTGGCATGTGCCTGGTTGTAGCATGTGGGTCTTGGGTAACCCAAAGAAGAAAGATTTCTTAAAAAGAGTATCAATGCTCCCAGCTGTTCTCATTTCTTCTGTCACCGCTTGGTTGTGTATCTTGGAAAAAAAATATACTTCTGGTGGGAAGACTCAAGGAGAGAATCTGTGCTGTGTGGTATACTGGCAATATTTGTACTGACCTGGTTAATATAAATTGTTAAGAAAACATTGGTAAATATTATTTATTCATAGTGTTAACTATTCTTTCAATAGGCAGTCCTTGTTTCTTTTCATTGCAGTTGGCATTCTCTGGGTTGTGTATTCACATACAGGATGTTTACTGGGGAGTACTTTTGGGATTGGCACCAGTGGAAGGGAGGGGAAGAAAACAGGATGCAGTAGAGGGAGAAGTGGAGTATGGTGCATGCCCAAGGATATATACACAAGGACGAGGAACTCTGGAGCTGGAATGGCCTTTCGAAACTCTCTTCCCTGAGGAGCAGACAGCCTGCCCAACAGTCATTGTGTTGTAAGTGGACCACCTTGGAGAAGGAGTTTGACTTTACCAAGGCATTGCTCTTTAGCTGGGGCAATCCCCAAAGAAAGATGGTAGCTAAGGACTATTTGCTAGCAGCACTCCTAGCAGCCTGGGTAAAATTCCTTTTATTTCTCAAAGAAGAATCTGGGAAGCACGTCACAGTCTCTACCACTCTTAATATCTTAAAAGAAAATGCTCATTGATCAGCTTCAGTGTAATAGGACTGTGGTAGGTACTGGGGCTTATCGTGGTGAATAAGAAACAGTCCTTGCCTTCAAGGTATTTATCATCAGCCTCTTCTTGCTAAGATTTGTTGATTATTACGATATTCCAGGCACAGTTCCAAAGAGTCTACTTGTATGAACTGTTGTAACGCACTAAGCCATATGAGATACTTAGAGCTCTTATCCTCATTTTATAGATGGAGAAACTGAGGCACATGGGGGAGAAATTTGGGGAAGGCTCTTTTCAGAGTCCTGATAGCCTGCTTCTATATTGCTTCCCAAATGTTGCCATTTCTGTAAGATCAAAACCATTCTTTGTATTCTGGTCACTTGTATCTGAGTTAACTATAAAATTTGCTTACTGACATATATTTAGCGTGGCTATTATGGTAAAGCTGCCCTGTCCAATAATAGTAGCCGCTAGTCACATAAATCCATAGAGCATTGAAAATGCAAACCGTCCAACTTGAGGTGCGTTCTTAAGTGTAAAACACACACAGGATTTCAAAGACGTACTGTGGAAAACAAAATGTACAACAGCTCATCATTTTTTTTTTTACATTGATTGCATGTTGAAACAATAATATTTTGGATATATTGAGTTAAATAAAAGTCTATTTTAAAAATTAATTTTAGCCTGTTTTCATGTTTTAATGTTGCCACTTGGAAATTTAAAATTACATACATGGCTTGCATTTGTGGCTTGCATTTTATTTCTATCAGACAACAGTGCTTTAGAGTACCTGAGATTTTTCCAAATGGGATGTATTTTGCTCTTAAATGCAGAGAAAGTCCTTATTTACTTTGGTATTGGGATCAGGTTCTTTTGATATGCTTCATTTAATTTGTATTTATTAATAAGGATTCTATTCATCGGATAGCCACTATGTGCTGGTTGTTTAGTGATTGTTGAAAACTAGTTAGAGGCAGGCTGAGTGAGATGAATTAAAGTTCTATTGTTGCAGGGGAACAAGGTCATCAACTTGAGATTAATCAACGGATTTTAAATCACCAGGAAGGGATATTTTACCCTCAGCTTTACAGTTTCAGCATGTAAATTGCTGTTTAGAGGAGAGCCTGTAAAATCAATCCAGCCTTTCTCCTTTCAGAAATTAAAAGCAATTTATTTTTGTTTTTGGCAAATCCTGGAAAGCCGTTCTACATCCAACTCCTTCTCCCTGACACCACCTGTGTTGCCTGTTTTTTAGGCCTTTGAATAGGGACGTGAGAAATTCAGTGGTTTTTGGGTCCCACAAGATTTGGAGGAAACCCCTCTGGTCCCTGTTGGGGAGTCCATCTGTCCCCACCTGGTACATTTTACTTCAAATGAGTCAGAAACTCCAAAGCTAAACTTGGCCAAAGTAGCACATGTCATGTGGACTCCACCCAGAGCCATATAAATCATCCCCGGATCACACCAAACTTGGCCTCCAAACTGGGCACAGATTTTTCAATCTGGTCCTAGAGTTTGCCAGAAGGCAGGAGGACCACAGGAATGTGTGGGATGCATCTGGCTTTTATCCCAACTTCTGTGGTTAGTGAAGCTTGTCTGATCCGGGATGGGGTATAAACACAGCCGTGTACTTGAAAGACACCAAACCACCTTGAAGGGTCATTTCATCCAAAGTCCTGCAGAAAACACTTCTGTACATAGCTGTGTAAGCAACTACTCAAGTTCGAGAGATGATCTGTAAAAATATATATATATTTATATATATATCAGGCATCCCAATTGATTGCCATCTCAGTACTTTCTAATATCAATATTTTGATGACAAACCCAAGCTGAATGAACTTTCACTTCTTTTTGAACAGATATATAGAGGCTGCCTTATTAGATAAACTGACTCTTGAATACAACAACATTGTGTTTTGTTTATCTGATTTTTAGGACAGGCTCTTTTTAAAGTTTTGTTGTTGTTTTTAATGGGGAAGAACAATAATGATTAACTTTCTTTATCACATCTTGTTCTCCTTGGGTCAATGCAATTTATTTTCCAGTTTTCAAGGAGGTGCACTCTGCTATATGGTATTTATCTGATTTGTGAAATAACCTATCTTTGGGGGGAGAAGACTGGGAAGGGTTGTTGGTATTTTTTTTCTCAAGCTGTACCTGGACCTCCTCCCTGCTCCCCCTACCAAACAAACTGCCACCTCTACATGAGAGGAACAGCACTCTCAATCTATTCTCCTTTCTGCTCTTCATAACACCACAAATTAGTAATTCATCTGAAAATCAAATAAAAGCATTTATGGAAACCAAGGAACAGAGCTTCCCAGGAGCTTCTTAGTAAAATCAAAATCACTGCTCTGAGTAAGAAGCATTCTTCAGTCTGCCCAGGCAGCAAGGCAGCTGAGTAGGGGTTCAGGATTTATTGGCTGTGCCTTTGGGATGGTTACTTAACCTCTCTGTGCCTTGGTTTCTTCACCTGTGAAAAAGGAATAAGACCGTATGTTATAGGGTTTTATGAGGCATAAGTGAGAGAATACTGTGGAATGATGAGCGCAGTTTCTGGACTGTAGTGAGTTATCAAATGTGAGAAAGTAGGCAGCAAGGTGGTAGTGAAGGGTCATCTCTACCAGTCTTTTTTTTTTCCTCTGGGTTGAATGAATTTAATTGAATCTTAAGTTTAAAAAATTGATATATAATAGTTGTACATATTTTAGGGGTACATGTGATATTCTGATGCCTGATTACAATGTGTAATGATCAAATCAGGGTCATTGAGATATCCAGCACCTCAAACATTTATCTTTTCTTCCTTTAGTTTTAAAGCTTTTCCACAAAGTTATTTGTTTAAGGCTGGGCATGGTGGCTCACACCTGTAATCTCAGCACTTCAGGAGGCTAAGGCAGGCGGATCACCCGAAGTCGGGAGTTCAAGACCAGGCTGGGCAACATGGTGAAACCCCATCTTTACTAAAAATACAAAAATTAGCCAGGTGTGGTGGCGGGCATCTGTAATCCTAGCTACTCGGGAGACTGAGGCAGGAGAATCGCTTGAACCTGGGGGGTGCTGAGATCGCGCCACTTTACTCCAGCCGGGGCAACAGGGCGACTCCGTCTCAAAAAAAAAAAAAGAAAAAAAAATAGCTACAGCCTGTAATAGCTTGAGACAGGCTGGGCATCTACCTTTCCATGAGGCCTCTGCATGTGGCTAGGTTGACTTTTTCAGTACTCCAAGATGAAAGAAGTGAAGGTCACCAGTAACTGGTCCCAGAAACTGTCACAGGGCCAGCTATATCCTATTGATCAGAGCAGTCATAGAGCCCACTCAGATGCAAGGGGAAGGGATATAGGTTGTTGGTTTTTTTAAAAAATATTTAAATTAGGGCCTTGCTTTGTCACCCAGGCTGGAGTGCAGTGGTGTGATCACAGCTCAATGCAGCTTCAACTTCTTGAGCTCAAAGTTATCCTTCTGCCTCACGCTCCCAAGTAGCTGGAATTATAGGTACACGTCACCATGTCTGGTTAATTTTTTCTGTTTTTTTTTTTTTTTTTTTTTTTTTTTGTGGACACACGGTGTCACTTTGCTGCCTAGATTGCTCTTGAACTCCTGGGCTCAAGCCATCCTCCCACCTCGGCCTCCCAAAGTGCTGGGATTATACAGGCATGAGCCAACATGCCCAGGGCACACTTGCTTGCTTTTCTTTTTCTTTCTTTCTTTCTTTCTTTCTTTCTTTCTTTCTTTCTTTCTTTCTTTCTTTCTTTCTTTCTTTCTCTTTCTTTCTTTTCTTTCTTTCTTTCTTTCTTTCTTTCTTTCTTTCTTTCTTTCTTTCTTTCTTTCTTTCTTTCATTCTATCTCCCTCCCTCCCTCCCTTCTTCCCTCCCTCCATTCCCTTTCCTTCTCCTTCCTTCCTTCCTCCCTTCCCTTTCCTTCTCCTTCCTTCCTTCCTTCCTTCCTCTCTTTCTTTTTTTCCAATCAGCCTACATCATGCTTTGAGGACACAGGTTTTGATGCATAGAAGCATCAAGACAATTTATGGCCATCTGCTCCTCCACTATTGGCTCTGCTGATGCTAATGTTTAAAGTCACCTCTTAAAACATGGCTGAAAGTGTTCAAAACAGGAAACAGGACATAACAGCCTACAAGGCTATTAGAGAGGCCAGGAGATTTCCTTTTTCTTCTGGTGGTTGTTATTGCAATTTATAATCTCCTAATAGCTTTCCTAATAGCTGTCACCCACTGCGGGCCCCTCATAAACTTATCATCCACTGGACTCTTCACATCTTTATTTCATCAACTGTTATTAGGCTGCTGTTTCATATTTGTATAAATTCCTTTTTGAATTGAAAGGCAGAATTTGATTTTTGTTAATAGAATTTTCATCCTGTTGGTTTAAGCTGGTTATTGTTTTGAAAGCAGTTGCCTTTAGGATGTTTGAAAAATGTATTCATAGCTCAGATGGAGTTTGTGGCTTTGTTTGCTCTTGCCAATTCACTGCAGCAAGAGTAAACTTCCAAAAACTCAAATATGGCTGTTGACCTCTGCGTCAAATGCTTCAGAGGTCCAAGGTGTTGTCCTCAGCAAAAAATCTGACTTTTTTGCATAAATTATAGCCTCCTGACTATACTGTCATTTTCACTTTTTATTGTGGAGGGAGCAGCAACACGATTCCTTTTATAATTTTCTCATTGTTGATGTAATGGAACACAATAAAAAATTAATCTTCTATCGGGCATCCTTTCTAATTCTTTTTCTTTGTTCTAGCAGTTTTTCCACAAAATAGTCCGGAGATTTTATGGGCACAGTGCCATTGCCCATGAGTAAAAAGTTATTTTTTTCCTATCTAATAGTTTTGCAGTTTATTTTTCATTGAGTTGTCTGCCCTTGAGTACAATATTGAAAAGAAGTAGTGGTTGAACAACCTTGGCTTGTTTCTAATTTGAGAGGAAACACTTCTGACTTTTCATCATTAAGTATTCTGTTTGTTGTAGGTTTTTGTTTGAAGATACTATTTATCAGATTAAAGCAGTGTCTTTCTTTTTCCTAGTTTGTTAGTTTAGTTTTAATGCCTGAGTGGATATTGACTTATAGAAGGTGTTTTTTTTTCTGAATTAATTGAAGATCATAATTCTTTTCTTTCTTTTAATTGGTAATGTGGTAAATTACAACAATACATTTCTATAGTTAAATCCACCCTTTATTCCTTTTTATTCCTGAGTAGTATTCCATTTATAGATTTATCACTATTTGCTTATCCACTTATTTGTTCATGGACATTTGAATTGTTTGCAGTTTTTGGCTATTAAAAATAAACTGTAGGAATATTTATGTACACATCTTTTTATGGACATGTTTCATTTTTCTTGGGTGAATGCTGAGGAGTAGAATGTCTGGATCATATGGTAGATGCATGTTTAATCTGTTAAAAAAAACTGCCAAACTATTTTCTCAAGTGGTTGTATTATTTTATATATTTCTATCATAGTATATGAGAATTCCGGTTGCTCCACATCCTTGTCTTTAATTGGTATGATTATCTTTTAAATTTTAGCCATTCTTTTGTGTAATGATACATCATTATGATATTAATTCACATTTTCCTAATGACTAATGCTGTTTTCCATCCTTTCATGTGCTTATCGGCTATCTGTATATCTTCTTTTGTAAAGTGTTTATTCAAAGTTTCTGTTCATTTTAAACATTGGATTGTTTGTCTTCTTTTTTTTTCTTAAATTTTTTTTTAAAGACCATCCATTTGGCTCAGAAGGTTGTTTGTCTTCTTATTATCAAGTTGTAACATTCTTTATATACATTCTGGTATAGGCTGCAAGTCCTTTATCTATGTTTTGGGAATTTTTTTTCTAGTCTGTGACTTGCTTTTTTGTTTTTAAAAATAGTGTCCTGGCTGAGTATGGTGGCTCATGCCTGTAATTCCAGCACTTTGGGAGGCCGAGGTGGGCAGATCATGAGGTCAAGAGATCGAGATCATCCTGGCCAATATGGTGAAACTCTGTCTCTACTAAAAATACAAAAATTAGCTGGGCGTGGTGGCAGGCACCTATAGTCCAAAATACTCAGGAGGCCGAGGCAGGAGAATCACTTGAACCCAGGAGGAGGCAGAGGTTGCAGTGAGCCGAGATTGCGCCACTGCACTCAAGCTTGGTGACAGAGTAAGACTCCATCTCAAAAAAAAGAAAAAAAGAAAAGTGTCCCTTAAAACCAAAATTGTTTAATTTTGAAGTTCAATTTGTCATTTTTTTAATGCCTTATGTCTTCTGTGTCTTACCTATCTAAAAACTTTGATCTATTCCAAGATTGCTAAGATTGTCTCCTATTTTCTTCTAGAAGTTT
The DNA here is from genome assembly GCF_000001405.40 of Homo sapiens. NCBI lineage: Eukaryota > Metazoa > Chordata > Mammalia > Primates > Hominidae > Homo > Homo sapiens. Next base: position 163,576,804 of record NC_000005.10, read on the forward strand.
TATTATGTAGATCTATGATCCATTTTGAATATTTGTGTATGGTGTGAGATAGCAGGTTAATGTTGTTGGATTTAGTTTTTCAATTCTTTGTAAAAAATTATTTTTATACCGATGCTCAGATAAGTTGATCATTTCCTTTTTCATGCATTCTTTCTTTGTTTCTTGGGTAAGGTTGTTGTAGCCTAATAAAATGAACTGGATAGCTTGCTGCCCTTTTCAATTCTCTGAAATAGTTTGCATGAGATTAAGATTATTCCATAACATTTAGAAAAAATTACCCTTTAAACAGCTTTGGCTTGGTGATTCTGTGTGTATATATAACAAGTGATTTAATCTTTTAAAGGCTATAATTCTATTTATATTTTCTATATCTTCTTGAGTCATTTTCAGGATGTAGTTTCGCAGGAAATTGCTCATTTATATCTGTTTTAATAGCTCAGGAGTTCGAGACCAGCCTGGCCAACATGGTGAAACCCTGTCTCTACTAAAAATACAAAAAATTAGCTAGGCATAGTGGTGGGTACCTGTAATCTCAGCTTACAGGCCTCAGGAGGCTGAGGCATGAGAATCGCTTGAACCGAAAGGCAGAGGTTGCAGTGAGCTGAGATCGCACCCAGGAGACAAGTGAGACTCCGTCTCAAAAAAAAAAAAAAAAAAAGCATAAAGGCAATCTGCTTTAGATTTCTTTTTATTAATATGATGACTGCTATCAGTTGAAAGCTCATTTAGAATTGTGACCAAATCTTATTTTTCACTATAGTTTCTGGACAAACAACGCCAAAACTGAGGCTTCAGATAAGTTGGTGAAACTGGAATTCAGTCCAACGGCACGTCTAATTTGCTCTACCTGCAAGATCTATCCAGGCACATCTTACTGTCTCCTCTGCTGTCCTATGACTCTAGTTGAGGCTTCATCATCTCTTGTCTGGACTTGTTTGAAGATACTATTTATCAGATTAAAGCAGTGTCTTTCTTTTTCCTAGTTGGTTACTTTAGTTTTAATGCCTGAGTGGATATTGAATCTTAGACAGTCTCTGGGTTTCCCTGTTATCAGTCTTGCCCACTCCCACCCACCAGTTTTCATCTATTTTTTGCAAAACTCTCAGAAAAATCCTTTAGAAACTTCCAACAGATCATGTCACTCCCCTGCTCGAAACTTTTAAGTGTTTTTCCATCATACTTAGAATACATTACAAATGGAGTAGGAAGGTAGAATTGACCAAAGGTGTCTTCCGAATCCCAAAGCTTGCTGTTTGGTATACAGAAACTAACTCTTATAACTTCCCCCATAGGTATCAAAGGTTCCTCCCCTGTACTGTAACTGCAACCCACACCCAAATCCCTCCAGTATATTGGCTGAGAGCTACAGAATTTAGGGGAAAGTCTTTCTGCTCCTTGATAGAGATGTTTTCCTTCAAAGGAATTAGTACCATGTGCCAAGACCTCTCAGGGCCACAATGCTAGAGACCTTCCTATCGTGGCTAATTCATTAGTTCAAAGCGATACCACAATGCCTTTGCGCACATAACTACAAATATATCCAAGTGACTAGAGGGAATCTATTTTCATTTGGTAATCTCTTTTTCTTTTCTAGTTATTCAGAAGATTGAATTGTTTATTTTGTAGGAGTTTTTACAATGCCAGTTCTATATGTATTTATGTCTATTTGTAATTATTTATTTTGCCTGATTTCACAAAGGATTTGGGGCAATTTACAAGATTGTTTACTATCACATGAAAATATGCAAAAAGATATCAAGACTATAGAAGTTATACATTATACTTGGAGATAAATACAATTAGTTCCAATACAATTACTCGAGTTAAAAGAACTTTTGGTTTCTGAGCTTCCTAGCAAGCACATTCAAAGAGGAAGTAATGTCAGTTCAATTATTTACATAAATAAACAAACATAGCCATTCCTTGGGAGAGGGAAATCTTTTGTTGGTACCTAGCATATATTTTTTTAATTGCATGATTTCCTCTCCCCGTTAGGAAGAGGGTTGGATGATACCAAAACATCCTAAAGCAAAAGAATGGCTTCCTGTTAGGGGTTTTCCCTGCTGGCGGCATTGCTTAATGACAGCAACTCAGTGAAATGACTTTGGAGGCAACCCAGGCAAAATTTTGCTTTCCGATGGTCCAGCTTAGTTCCAGGATATAGTTTAGAATGCCCGGCATAAACTTTGATTTTCAGAAGAATGACACGATTCTTTACAAATAATGGTGGATTCCTAAACTCTATCATACACCTACTACCTTGACTAGCTGGGAGCTGGGGATGAGGTCCGTGAACTGTTTTTCTTTCTTTTTTTTTTTCGTTTTTGAGACTGAGTCTCGCTCTGTTGCCCAGGCTGGAGTGCAGTGGAACAATCTCAGCTCACTGCAAGCTCTGCCTCCTGGATTCAAGCAATTCTCCTGTCTCAGTCTCCCGGGTAGCTGGGACTACAGGTGCACACCGCCACGCCTGGCAAATTTTTGTGTTTTTAGTAGAGACAGGGTTTCACCATATTGGTCAGGCTGATCTCAAACTCCTGACCTCAGGTGATCCATCCAACTTCCAAAGTGCTGGGATTATAGCTGTGAGCCACCATGCCCAGCCATGAGCTGTGGTTTTTAAATTTTCTTACTTTTAATATATTTCTTGAGGTATAATTTATATACCATTCAATAATCCATTGAAAATGTACATTTCAATTTTTTTTTTTTTAGGTATTTGTACAGTTGTCCCATTTTCACTACAATCTAGGGAAAACTGCATTTTTAAAATTTTTACTTTAGGTTCAGGGGTATATGTGCAGGTTTGTTATATAGGTAAACTGCGTGTCATGAGGGTTTGGTGTATAGATTATTTTGTCACCCAGGTTATAAGCATAGTAACCCGATAGGTAGTTTTTGATCCTCTTCCTCCTCTCACCATCCACCCTCAAGTAGGCCCTGGGATCTGTTGTTCCTCTTGTGTCCATGTGTTCTGATAGTCTAGCTACCACTTATAAGTGAGAACATGCGGTATTTGGTTTTCTGTTCCTGTATTAGTTCACTTAGGATAATGCCCTCCAGCTCCATCTATGTTGCTGCAGTGGTCAAGGCGTCGTTCTTGTTGATGGCTGTATAGTATTCCATGGTGTATATGTACCACATTTTCTTTATCCAATCTACCGTTGATGGGCATTTAGGTTGATTCCATGTATTTGCTATTGTGAGTAGTGCTGCAATGAACATATCTGTGCATGTGTCTTTATAGTAGAATGATTTTTTTAATTTTATTATTGTTTTCTGGCCCTAATATCTGTGGGGAGCAGAAAAACTTATATTCCTTTGGGCACACATCCAGTAATGAGATTGCTGGGTAGAATGGTAATTCTGTTTTAAGCTTTTTTGAGGAATTGCCACACTGCTTTTGACAATGGCTTAAACTAAATTACAATCCCATCAACAGTGTGTAAGCATTCCCTTTTCTCTGCAACCTTGCCAGCATCTGTTACTTTTTGACTCTTTAATAGTAGTCATTCTGACTGGTGTGAGATAGTAACTCGTGGTTTTGATTTGTATTTCTCAAATGATTAGTGATGTTGGACATTTTTTCATATGAAAACTGCATTTTTTTTTGAAAGCTGCATTTTTAACAGGAGGCTTTCAGTAGCATGAGCTGGGCTGTCAAGTTGAGAAACCTGGCTAGAAGGGATCAGGTGGATTACATGACTCTCATCCATTTTGGTTTGAGCTTTAGCATTGGTAAATAGGTCTTTGGAAGTAGAAAGTTCACTCTTGTTTTATAAAACCTCGGCAATGATATATTTAACATTGTTGCTTTTAGTATCCTCAGGTGATAGTAAGAGTCAATCATGCATGAACATTTACTTTGGCTGAGGTACAGATTTGAACCTTGCTCTCTGGGTCACTGGCTATAAAACTGAGTCCTTCAGGTAGTTGGTGAGTCTTGGCAATTCTCCAGCATCCATATCTCAAAACAGGTTTATTGTGTTTTACTTATAGGCACAATAGCTAGTTGTCTTAGAACGGAGGAATTATGCTCCCAACAAAGCTCTGATTATCATTACTGAAAATGGAGGACCTCATTTCAGTACTGAAAATAGATGTCTTTTATTTATAGGCAGAAAATAGAAATTTTGGATGCATTTAAAAAGTGTGCATGTTAGGGAGAGGGTGTGTGTGTGTAATAAAATGTTAAGGAATCTGCATTAGCAATACAAGGATTCAGGAAATATGAGGCATTAGAAACGACAAGGGATACTTACAAGGTTCTTCTTCAGCATTTCCCAAAATATGTAAATCAGCATGTTCCTAGATACAATGTAACGAATGGGTATTGTGGTTAAATAACTCACAGACCCTGAAAGGGTCATCCACCTTGTTTCTGCAGGATGTTTCAGGGCCATTGTATGTTACGAATCTCTACTGGGGTCATGGATTTTATAATGAAATTTACATTTTTCTGTAGAATGTATTTGCAGGAGTCTGGGTCTATTATGATTTTTCAGTTTCAATATCCAATTTATCTTACTTTAATTGTATAATGTTGAGTAAGTTAAAACTCAGAAAGATAAGTAGTTGCAAATGGTGACAGTGTTTAGAAACAGATTGTTTTGCTATGTCAAGATACTTACCAAACTCAGCAAAGAGGAGCAGTGGGACATTTTTGTTTCAATTGTCTATTTTTTGATTGCTGCTGGATATGACCTATATGCTTTTAATTTTATTATTTTATTTTATTTTTGAGACAGAATTTTGCTCTGTTGCTCAGGCTGGAGTGCAGTGGCTCAATCTCAGCTCACTGTAACCTCTGCCTCCCAGCCTCAAGCCTCAGCCTCCCGAGTAGCTGGGTCTACAGGTGCGCACCACCACACCAGGCTAATTTTTTGTAGAGGTGGGGTTTCCCCATGTTGCTCAGGCTGGTTACAAACTCCTGAGCTCAAGTGATCCTCCTGTCTCAGCCTTCCAAAGTGCTGGGATTATAGCATGAGCCACCGTGCCCAGCCTGGAGCTATATGCTTTTCAACCAGTGCTACCCAAAGTATGATCTGTGGACCAGCACTGTTTGTTATGGTCTAGGTTAAGAAAAGAACAGAAATCGAGAATTAGTATTTAGAAACTTTTAAAGTTACTTGTCAGTGCTGTGACATCCAAGCAAGTGATCAGTGGACTCTTCTTGTTCATCAGCGTCTGGTCAGGTTGGGTGATGTCAATCCACATGGTGGGTTACACGTAGTTCAGCCACTTACTGTTATCATCTGCAATAGAACAGAAGTTAATAAACAAACAAAAGCAGACATTTTTTAATTTTTTCTCTTTTTTTTTTTGTAACCACAGATCATTTAAGAAACACTGCATTGAAGGACAATTAAGCTGTTGGTTATGTGTAATTACATACTCTCTCTCTCTCTATATATATATATATATACATACATATATATGTATATTAAGGCAACATATATATGTATATATATATATATATATAGAGAGAGAGAGAGAGAGAGAGAGAGAGAGAGGGAGAGATGTTGTTTAAAGGAAGGGATCAGGTTGTTGCCATACCTATGACATTGTAAACTATTACACCTCTGAAAAGTCTTCTATACAACTGTTTGAAACTTGTTGATTTTCTAGAATCTTCCACCAGACAAAACCTAATTTTCTATTCTAGAGAGGGACAGCTTCTTTTTTGCTGGGGATATTCTTCTTCTAGGATATCAGAGACACCATTGAGATTGGTCTACCTGCATTCAATTAGCTATTCACCCTCTCACCATGATTTAATATGGTCCATTGGCATTTTCTTGATTTAGAAATTCTGTGAAAATAGAGCTCAATACCCTTGCCTGCATAGAAATTCTGGAGCAGCTATGACGTACAGATTTTAGATTTTAGTGATTTTCTTTTTCTGTCTCTTTCTGGCTAACACTTTCAGAACTAGCACTGTAATGATTCCTAGTAAGAGCTCAGTACATGTTAAAAATTACTAAAATTATTCTCTGGTTCCTGTATGTGAAGAAAGACAATACAAACATTTTTATAAGGAGAATGGTGAAACTGACTCCTTATCTGGTTATTTCAGAGGACCATCATAGATGATAATCACTTAGGAATTATTTGGTGGCTCAGATCTGATTATTAAAAATATTATACCTGAATGCTTGTGTGTTTTGCCTTATGCACTGATGCATTTTTGAATTTTAAGGAAACTAGAGCCTTTTACCTTCTTCTTTTTTTCTTTTTTTAAATTTTTATTTAATTTTTTTTTTTTTTTTTAGTATTTGTTGATCATTCTTGGGTGTTTCTCGGAGAGGGGGATTTGGCAGGGTCATAGGACAATAGTGGAGGGAAGGTCAGCAGATAAACATGTGAACAAGGGTCTCTGGTTTTCCTAGACAGAGGACCCTGAGGCCTTCCGCAGTGTTTGTGTCCCTGGGTACTTGAGATTAGGGAGTGGTGATGACTGTTAACGAGCATGCTGCCTTCAAGCATCTGTTTAACAAAGCACATCTTGCACCGCCCTTAATCCATTTAACCCTGAATGGACACAGCACATGTTTCAGAGAGCACGGGGTTGGGGGTAAGGTTATAGATTAACAGCATCCCAAGGCAGAAGAATTTTTCTTAGTACAGAACAAAATGGAGTCTCCCATGTCTACTTCTTTCTACACAGACACAGCAACAATCTGATCTCTCTTTCTTTTCCCCACATTTCCCCCTTTTCTATTCGACAAAACCGCCATCGTCATCATGGCCTGTTCTCAATGAGCTGTTGGGTACACCTCCCAGACGGGGTGGCGGCCGGGCAGAGGGGCTCCTCACTTCCCAGATGGGGCAGCCGGGCAGAGGCGCCCCCCACCTCCCAGACGGGGCGGCCGGCCGGGCGGGGGCTGACCCCCCACCTCCCTCCCGGATGGGGCGGCTGCCGGGCGGAGGGTCTCCTCACTTCTCAGACGGGGCGGCTGCCGGGCGGAGGGGCTCCTCACTTCGCAGACGGGGCGGCTGCCGGGCGGAGGGGCTCCTCACTTCCCAGACGGGGCGGCTGCCGGGCGGAGGTGCTCCTCACTTCTCAGACGGGGCGGCCGGGCAGAGGCACTCCTCACCTCCCAGATGGGGTGGCAGTCGGGCAGAGACACTCCTCAGTTCCCAGATGGGGTCGCGGCCGGACAGAGGCGCTCCTCACATCCCAGATGGGGCGGTGGGGCAGAGGCGCTCCCCACATCTCAGACGATGGGTGGCCGGGCAGAGACACTCCTCACTTCCTAGACGGGATGGCGGCCGGGAAGAGGCGCCCCTCACTTCCCAGACCGGGCGGCCGGTCAGAGGGGCTCCTCACATCCCAGATGATGGGCGGCCAGGCAGAGACGCTCCTCACTTCCCAGACGGGGTGGCGGCCGGGCAGAGGCTGCAATCTTGGCATTTTGGGAGGCCAAGGCAGGCGGCTGGGAAGTGGAGGTTGTAGCGAGCCGAGATCACACCACTGCACTCCAGCCTGGGCAACATTGAGCACTGAGTGAGCGACACTCCGTCTGCAATCCCGGCACCTCGGGAGGCCTAGGCAGGCAGATCACTGGCAGTCAGGAGCTGGAGACCAGCCCGGCCAACACGGTGAAACCCCGTCTCCACCAAAAAATGCAAAAACCAGTCAGGTGTGGCGGCGTGCGCCTGCAATCCCAGGCACTCTGCAGGCTGAGGCAGGAGAATCAGGCAGGGAGGTTGCAGTGAGCCGAGATGGCGGCAGTACAGTCCAGCCTCGGCTTTCACAACTTTGGTGGCATCAGAGGGAGACCAGGGAGAGGGAGAGGGAGACGAGGGAGAGGCCTTTTACCTTCTTAATTTTCCTTTTACTCAGAAGCATCCTTTTTCTAACCATTTGTGTGACTGATAAACCTTATGCCTTGTATTTTAATTTTACTTTATTTCTTAATGATATAGCTTGATCTTTCCATGTACATACAACATAAGTCCATCTCATTCTTAGATGGCAATTGAGTTTTCTGTTGAATGGATGTACAGTTATGAGTTCTGTCACCCTTGCATTGGTGGACACTTAGGTTTACTGGCTGACCTAATCATGACTATATAACTAGTCAAGTTGTAGAATATTAATGTAGATAAAACGTTTTACATTCATGCAAATTGCCGTGTGCTAAAGGGACTAAAGTAAACCAGAGTGGCCCTAAAGGAAAAAAAAGGCAGCAATTTCAAAGGCGTTTGAACAACACTAAAATAAAATTAATTAACTTCCCTTTAAACAACTTCTTTTAAGTTTTCATGGCAATTTGTGCTTGTGAAAAATTCTTGGCATGTCTTCTACAGGGAAGACACTCACTCTCTGTAAACCCTAAAGATAGGAGGAAAAAGAGGTAACTCCAAGTAGAAAGGGAAGGCTCTGTTAACACTGGACAGGGCAGAAAAATGTTTTAGTTGCATGATTTTCTGCTAAAAGGCCCCTTGAAGCAATCTGAAACTCTGCAATGTTAATTTCATAGTAAAATTTTTCTCACAGAATATTAAAACATAGTCTGGATATGAGACAGCCTCTAGTTGGTTTCCAGTCACATTGCAGGTGGTCAAATATTTGTGGAATGAATGTGGCTGTGAGGTGAATGGCTGTAGCTGAGGACTCATGGTGAGTTCACCACTGCTTGGACCATCAGCTCCAAAGAATGATCAACAGCACGCTGAGTCTTCCTGAAAGGCTGAAAAGTCACCCAGAAATTCAGATAAATTTCAAGATCTGGAGTTGGGAAACAGAAAAAGTTCTTCAACCAGGCTTCAATGTCTTCTACAGGGAAGACACTTACTCTTTGCAAACTCTAAAGATAGGAGAGTTTTACCAGCCTGGCAGCAGTTGGGAGAGGTTCCTACTGTGGAAAAGCCTTTCTATGAAGCACACATAGATGCAACATAAGACTCTTAAAAAGTTGAAGGATGATTATTAAAAGCAAATGATACTCTTATAAATCACGTCAATCCCCTATAGAGATAATTTAAAAGGTTGCCATGTTACTTATTTATCTATTGAGACAAGGTCTTACTGTATCACCCAGGCTAGAGTGCGGTGGTTTGATCACGGCTTACTGCAGCCTCAATCCCCCCAGGCTCAAGCGATCCTCCCACCTCAGCCTCCCAAGTAGCTGGAACCACAGGCAGGCACTACCGTACCCAGCTAATTTTTAATTTTTTTGTAGAGGTGGGATCTCACTATGTTGTCCAGGCTGGTCTTGAACTCCTAGGCTCAATCGATCCTCCTGCTTTGGCCTCCCAAAGTACTGAGATTACAGGTGTGAGGCACCATGCCCAGCTGCCATATGTTTTTAATTGGAGATATTACTTTTAAAGAAATCTGTGGCCATAGATTAGGGCTTCAAAGTTAGACATACACAGAGAAGAAAGCCACAGACCCATAAACTCCCCCCAAAATTTGACTCTACCTCCTTCAAATTGATGTGGAAAGCTATGATTTGGTGTTGTGTGACAGAAGATGATTTCCTGGAAACTGAAATTATAGCCTTGGGAATAAAGTAGCGTGATGCAATGGACCAAGCATTAGAAGATCTGGGGTCTGGTTCTTGTTTTTGTTCTTTAAAGACTTTTGTATTAGGAAACTTATCCTGACTAGGCTTAATCATCAGAAAGTTTGGAATAAAAATACCAGTCCCACTTGTTTTATAAGGTTGTTGCAAGGATGAAGTGAAACAAGTGAATATGAAAACATTTTATAAACTGCTGTTATACAACTATAAAGTCTCATTACTTGCTGAGGATTACAATGTTCTCAAACTTTACTGTGTGGATAAGAATCATTTGTGGTGCTTGCTAAGAATGCAGTTTGGAGAACTTCTATTTCCAGCAATCCATGAGGCAACGCAGCCAGAAAAACTCCCCCACTACACAACTCCTAGAAATGCTGGACAAAGTATAGCCAACATCATTATAAATACGTAACTGAGTTTGTGATCAAGAAAGGAAAATTCCTGGGGTCAGAAACAGAACTTGTGATCAAGAAAGGAAAATTCCTAGGGTCAGAGACTGGAAGTGGAGCAGCAACTTGAAGGCATAATTAGATGCTAAAACCACATTACCCTGAGGGGCAATAACCTAGATTCCTGCATCTCAGGATAGAGGGGGACAGAAGAGAAAGTCTAACTCACTCACAGTGGAGAATGGGAAGTGTGACCTCCCATTCCCCACTGGGAGTGCTCTTTTTCCTCATGAAGAAGGGCAAGCTAAAAGAAAAATCTACTACTGGCAAAAAGAAGTGACAAGGAGATAACTCTCTTGGCCTGAGTTCCAAGCAGGGGTGGGAATGCACTCTTCCCTCTGGATTATTCCATAGGCTTGCCCTTCTGAACCTTCACACCACTTGCCCGATCCACAAAAACCTAAACTCTGAAACTAACTCTGAATTCCTGGGTTGCTGGAATCAAGGCAAGGAGGGCAGAAACCAGAGCACTTTTTCCTTGCAGGGATGCTGCCTCTCTGCCCAGGTGTCTCTGGGTTCCAGGTATCGAGCCCAATTTAATATTAGTTCCAGTTCCCAAACCCATAAGATCCAACAGAAATATAGATTCTCAAGGACTTCAGCCATTGGATCTAAGATACAGACTGTCAGCATGTTTAAAATATTTAGAAAGTACAGATTCCTACGTCCCACCTTAGTCTTAATAAATCAATAGCTGGGGTAGCCCCAGGAATCTGCAATGAGAATAAGCATCCCAAAGGAGTAAGATGCAGAGAGCTCTCAGAGGACCCACTGGAGAATATAGCTTTGCCAGTTTCCCAAGATGTATTCAATCATCTACTTGAAATACTAAAATTATTCAGAATTGGTTCCACCTCTCCATCAGTGGGTTAAACAGATACCTATTGATGACAAATTTCCTTTTCTCCCTTAAGGCTATTGAGACTTTAACGGTTTTCTCAACTGAGTTGAAAATTGGGAAGCCTGAATTTTTCTTTACAGGACTGAAAAACAAGCATGCAGAACAAAACAAAAACAACCCCCTCACACCACCACCAGAAAACAATGATAACTGAACCAACACGGAGAATAAATTGAAGTAGCATCCTTTCCCTGCCTTCTGCCATCTGCTTCCCTGGCCTCCCTTGTGCATTGCTGCTGAATCTGGCTAGACTGGAGATTCCCCCTCGTCTTGTTATGACTTATGGAGGTTAAAATGGTGCATAATGGACCATTGAGGCAGATGGTAGCTTTCTTTACTGTTTATGTTCTTTCCATATTGAATGCTTGTAGTTGCTCCAGATGCATTTTGCCCCTCAGAGGAGGGGCGGGGAAGGGCTCGAGGAAGGGTTAGATGAAGGTCTCAAGAGAACAGCCACTAGGAAGTTTTAGTCCTGGTTCTCCATCTTCTCGTTCTCTGTTGCCTTTTTATCTATTGAACTCAACATGAGAGGGGTATGCTTTTGAAAGGTCTACGCAGGGAAGAGTTGTTTTTCCTATCTTTGAGCTGTTCAGCCATCTGTCCCAATTTCTTCCTGGTTTCCTGTTATTTTCATTCTGCCTTTTATAAAGATTAACATGCAGTGCAACCACATATTCTATTAAGCTTGTCTCTTCTCTACTTTATCTCGTTAACTGCTTGATCACTGTGAATAAAAATAATCTTCCATTAAGTCACAACTTCAAATGTCTCTGAGACTTTAGATCAAGCAAACCTTCAACAGCTTAAAAAAAATTGCTTTAAATCCAAGAGGTTCACTTCAAAGGAAAACCTATGGGTGTTCTCAGCCCAACTGACAGGTAAATAGTCATTTGTAACTAAAGATATGCAAGTGAGAAAACACGACTTACTCTGGAGTTTGTAGTTTCTGTTAACTTCTCCAGTTGGGGCAAGTTAGAGCTGACCGTAGGGTGGGGTTGGCTTGATCACACAATGGCCTATACATGGAGTTGGGGCAGTATCAGGAGGCAAATCTGCAGTTTTCTGTTCTAGTCACAATTTACTTTTCTATTTACAAAGTTAATTTAAAAAATAAAACAGGAAAAAGGGGAGGAGGTGTGCAGAATATCACCCCGACCACAGATAGCCACTGTTAACATTTTGTTAATAGTCCTTAAGTTCTTAAATTTGTGTGTGTGTGTAAAACACATACGCATACATTTATAAAAGTAGCATACAGTTAATATGCTTTTGTAGTCATCTTTATACTTTCTTTGTCAACATATACAGGTGGTCAAAGGATAAAATAGCTTTTGCGTGTGTTGACCCTTTTACCTAGGCTGCCCTTCTTTTACTCTTAAGAGACTTTTCTGATCTCCCTGATTTGTCTGTTTCCCATTGGAAGCTCTCATTGCTGAGTGGATTTCTCCTGGGCACTAATAACAATTGTAACTTTTTATTTCTGTGTGATTTTTGATTGTCTCTCTCTAGAGACTATGCTGTGAACTACATATAGATAGGGACTAAGTATTCCCAAGGCCTAGCACAGTGCCCGACACACAGTAGGTTAAACTTTGGTTTGGACGAATGAATGATAAGTTTTCAGATCTACAAGTTATTCCATTGCATGCATAAAAGATTGCTTGTCCCACTATAGTTTAATTTGAGGATTCTTATTGGCTATTATAAATGGGATACTAAGAAACTTTATATAAAACAGCCTTGCCTACATCCTTAGTTATTTAGAAAAATTTCTAGGAGTTGGATTCATAGACTAGAGGGTAGAGCACACTTTAATGCTTTAGATATGTATTGCTAAGTTGTCTTCCACAAAGGTACTAATTATTAGTAGTCTCTAGTAGTAGTTCAGAGTGCATGTTTCCCTGCATCATTGCCAAAATGGTCATACTTCAAAAAATTTTTTCTGCCAATTCATGTGTTTTTCTTTCTGCAGATTGGCTATTCCTAATTGTTATTTATTTATTTTTACCTGGACATCTGTCTTTTTGTATTTATAACAAATCTGCAAATCAAGATTTTTGGTCATGTAAGACATATATTTCTAGTCTGTTCACTGACTTAAAATCTTTTTTATGTATTAATTGATATATGGGTGCGTGTTTGTACAGATGCAAAACCCTCCATCTCTTTTCTTTATTGTTTTTTGTCTTTTATACTTATACAGCTTTTTCCACAGTAAGGTTACAGAAATAATAGCTCAGAAAAAAATCTAAGGCTGTATATGTGAGTATACAGGTAGAAAAGACTGGATTAATCTCTAAATGATGCTGGTGAATTGATCAGTTTTACAGAGGGGAAAAAGTTATTCTCATCTAACACCTTATATCACAATATGTTTCAGATGGATTTCAAACAAATTTTGAAAAGTGTAAAAGAATGGAAAGAAAATCTTGGTGAATATATGGTTTCACTTATCTTTCTTTACTGAATTTTCAAATTTTGGAGTCTAAGAATTACTTATTTTTTTTTTTATTTTAGAGGCAAGATCTTGCTTTGTCACCCAGGCTGGAGGGCAGTAGCACTATCGTAGCTTACTGCATTCTGGAACTCCTAGGCTCAGTTGAGCCTCCTGCCTCACTCTCCTGAGTAGCTAGGACTACAGGCCTTCCCCATTGCACCTGGCTAATTTTTTTTTTAATTTAATTTTTGCAGACATAGCAGTCTCCTTATGTTGCCCAGGCTGATCTTGAACTCCTGGTCTCAAGAGATTATCCAGGCTTAGCCACTGTAGTGGTTGGGATTATAGGTGAGAGCCACTGTGTCTGGCAAGAACTACTTTAGATTAAAAAAAAAATTCTTATTGTAAAAGTCTGGTAGGCCCTGGCGTGGTGGCTCACTCCTGTAATCCCAACACTTTGGGAGGCCAAGATGGATGGATTGCTTGAGCTCAGGAGTTTGAGAGCAGCCTGGGGAACATGGTGAAACTCCGTCTCTACTAAAAATACAAAAATTAGCCAGGCATGGTGGTGGACACCTGTAATCCCAGCTACTTGGGAGGCTGAGGCAGGAGAATCGCTTGAGCCCAGGAGGTGGAGGTTGCAGTGAGCCAAGATCATATCACTGCACTCCTTCCTGGGCAACAGAGCAAGAATCTGTCTCAAAAAAAAAAGTTTTGGTTAGAAATTTTGATCAGAAATTTCCCAAGTAGTTCCATGTTGAGAGGGAGATTTTAACTCCAGATCTCTGAATTTCAGGTATCTTTTCCTGAACCCCATAATGATGCTTTGCCTACTTAAATTAAGCCAGGGCAAGTAAGTAGTATGGTAAAAGGGAACAGACACAAGACTTGGGAGCTGGAAGGCGTAGTGTCTAGTCCAGGCTTCATTTCATTATTTATCACATATTTTTAGTTAGGTCATCTTGGGAAGACTTTCTCTTAGATATTTTCCTATCTGTAAAGTGGACTAACAAAAATCTCTGCAAGGTCTACTTCACAGAATTGTTAGAAGACCAAATCAGATAGTTTAAATAAATAGTATTCATTACTGAAAAGTGGTGTGTTCATAAGAATAGCACAATCTTCTTTATATTGTGCTATTTATGTTCCTGTCTATCTCTCCTATGGAACCATTTTTTTAAATCTTTTTTTTAAATTATACTTTAAGTTTTAGGGTACATGTGCATAACATGCAGGTTTGTTACATATGTATACATATGCCATGTTGGTGTGCTGCATCCATTAACTCATCATTTACATAAGGTATATCTCCTAATGCTATCCCTCCTCCCTCCCCCCACCCCACAACAGGCCCTGGTGTGTGATGTTCCCCTTCCTGTGTCCATATGTTCTCATTGTTCAATTCCCACCTATGAGTGAGAACATGCGGTGTTTGGTTTTTTGTCCTTGTGATAGTTTGCTGAGAATGATGGTTTCCAGCTTCGTCCATGTCCCTACAAAGGACATGAACTCATCATTTTTTATGGCTGCATAGTATTCCATGTTGTATATGTGCCACATTTTCTTAATCCAGTCTATCATTGTTGGACATTTGGGTTGGTTCCAAGTCTTTGCTATTGTGAATAGTGCCGCAATAAACATACCTGTGCATGTGTCTTTATAGCAGCATGATTTATAATCCTTTGGGTATGTACCCAGTAATGGGATGGCTGGGTGGGTCAAATGGTATTTCTAGTTCTAGATCCCTGAGGAATCGCCACACTGACTTTCACAATGGTTGAACTAGTTTACAGTCCCACCAACAGTATAAAAGTGTTCCTATTTCTCCACATCCTCTCCAGCACCTGTTGTTCCCTGACTTTTTAATGATCGCCATTCTAACTGGTGTGAGATGATATCTCATTGTGGTTTTGATTTGCATTTCTCTGATGGCCAGTGCTGATGAGCATTTTTTCATGTGTCTGTTGGCTGCATAAATGTCTTCTTTTGAGAAGTGTCTGTTCATATCCTTTGCCCACTTGTTGATGGGGTTGTTTGTTTTTTTCTTGTAAATTTGTTTGTGTTCTTTGTAGATTCTGGATATTAGCCCTTTGTCAGATGAGTAGATTGCCAAAATTTTCTCCCATTCTGTAGGTTGCCTGTTCACTGTGATGGTAGTTTCTTTTGCTGTGCAGAAGCTCTTTAATTTAATTAGATCCCATTTGTCAATTTTGGCTTTTGTTGCCATTGCTTTTGGTGTTTTAGATATGAAGTCCTTGCCCATGCCTATGTCCTGAATGGTATTGCCTAGGTTTTCTTCTAGGGTTTTTATGGTTTTAGGTCTAACATTTAATTCTTTAATCCATCTTGAATTAATTTTTGTATAAGGTGTAAGGAAGGGATCCAGTTTCAGCTTTCTACATATGGCTAGCCAGTTTTCTGAGCACCATTTATTAAATAGGGAATCTTTTCCCCATTTCTTGTTTTTATCAGGTTTGTCAAAGATCAGATAGTTGTAGATACGTGGCATTATTTCTGAGGGCTCTATTCTATTCCATTGGTCTATATCTCTGTTTTGATACAAGTACCATGCTGTTTTGGTTACTGTAGCCTTGTAGTATAGTTTGAAGTCAGGTCGCATGATGCCTCCAGCTTTGTTCCTTTGGCTTAGGATTGACTTGGCAATGCGGGCTTTTTTTTTGGTTCCATATGAACTTTAAAGTAGTTTTTTCCAATTCTGTGAAGAAAGTCATTGGTAACTCGATAGGGATGGCATTGAATGTATAAATTACCTTGGGCAGTATAGCCATTTTCACAATATTGATTCTTCCTACCCGTGAGCATAGAATGCAGAACCATTTTTTAAGAGCAGTTTTGTTCTCCCCTGTACTGTGAAAATGCTTAGCATAAAGGCTTTGCTGAGTAGGTTATATTTTGCAATGACTAAGAGCTCTGACTCTGAAGTCCTAATGAGTTTTGTTTGAACCCAGATCCTGTCATTCGTGTTGGTGTGACCTTGGGAAAATTGTTTAAGTTTCAGTTTTCCCATCTTTGAGAGAGGAAATAATAGGATCCATCTTGGTAAGTCAGGAAGCTTGGGTTATGTGAATAATCCATATCAAGGTTGTGGAAATAGAAAAGAGAGTGTAGTAGTTAATGTATCTATATCTGTATCTCTAATCTATATAAACATATTCTGCAGGAGTGCTTGGTGAAAGTATGATCCAGGGACTCAAATTATGATCTTGTTCTCCCCTTTTGATTTGCTTTTCTCTTAGTCTCTATTTTGCAAACAGGATTTGTCCACTTAGCAGAGAAGATGATGTTTCAGCTGTTGCTTGATGTATCAAGTTCTCTAACTCAGGATTTAAATGATTTACCAATATAAAAAAATTGTGATGAACTAGTCTACTTGATTCTACTTGGTCATATTCTCACCCTGGATCAATCGCATGGTGTGATGAATGGGGTGCTTTTATTATTTAGACCTGGTCTTCTTGCCCACTCTACTTGTGGTGGCCATGGGGTACTAGAACCGGCACTCCCACCACTATCACATGATTAGAGAATGGGAGGAAGAGTCTTCTAATGGGATGTGGTGGTATTATAGGCTGTGTTAACAGATAAAAACAACCAGTCTGCTACTTTTCTTATAGGACTGTTGTGAGAATTCAATGATAGAACTTTTTTGTATCCTGGTCTGGAATATAGCAAGCTCTTACTAATATGATTATTTATTGGAAGGATATTTGTGTCTAGGCATCTTGCAGAAAGTAGTCACTTTGTTAATTGTTTAAACCTCTGAATGAGTTTATTCTAAACATGTAAGAACGAGTTCTAGGAGGTCATATGGTAAGAGACAAAAGGCAAAGGAGCCATCCTTACTCTTCGTAGGGATTAGGCTAGAAAAGGGCACTGGGGGTTAGAAAAGGAAGTCTATCTTTTCCAACCTGGGATTCCTCATAATAAGTACTTATTTTTGGTGGCAGTCGTAGGAGTATCCAGCCTTGGGTCTCTGCTGCCATTCCTGACCTCGCTTCAGAGTCAGAAGGTCAGTCTGAAACAGGATTAAAGTGACAGAAGACACTGGCTCCTCCCCGTTTTCTTTTCTTCCTGTTGGTCAGGCTGAGACCCCTAGATTTTTGTCCTTTTGTCTCTCCAGGTTTGGATTTTTCTTAGTTTTGACTTTTTCTTGTAGTCTGACTCAGATTGTGTTAAGCTGGAGCCCAGTGTTAATACTTAATGAGAAATGGAATTTAGTTCAGCCTCTTTGTATGGGTGCATTGTTGAGACTAAAAAAACTGAAGAAAAAAGAAAAGAAAAAGAAAACCAGGTTGAACCTTTTGACTTGGAACCATGGAAAACACTCTTCTTGTTTAAGCACCATCAACTTAAAGTTGAGACTTCCAACTGGCATCCATCATCACAGCAAGCAGGCAAACCTATTGAAATAAACCCAGTTACTTTTTTCTTAAAGACAGACATCAGGAGACATAACAAATCATGTGCAACAGGATATATTTTTGTGGTAATTTTCCTTGATTATAAACAACATTTTGATATACTTGTCTCTAAAGCATCTATGAGAAAGAGTTCAAGTGAATAAATAGTTTCTGCATTTTATGATGTGATTTTAGTTCCTTTACCTTGGCTGCTTAAGGATGATGGCTTAATCTGATATTCCTGAAAATAAGAAATATCTATATTTCCATGATCACTGAAAGTTCACATTGGATTGTAAACTCAGATAGAACTGACCTGAGGCTTATCAGAGCTGAAGCAAAGGAAGCGCATGAGAACAGAGAAGATTTAATCAGAAAGAAAATTCTGCTTGAGAAACAGTCTTTGCCCCACCAAAGTCTTTTGAGTTTAGGAGGAAGGAGGACAGGGGATGAGAAACAGAAATAAGGACCATTTCAAATGTTATTTAAAAAATAGCACCCCCTCCACAACTTCTCTTTCCAGTTAGGTTTAATAAAAAGTAATCCTGCACATTCCTCGGACATCTTCTGTTTATGTTCTTGACGCAGATGGACTAATGGAGACGTCCCCCTCCACTGGATAATAATGCCCAACAATAACATTGCATGTTTTATTTGCTATGCTTTTTGCAGCTGACTTGCTTTCCCCAGCTCTGTAACTTAGCTTCTTTATTTATGGATGTAATTTTTATCTCCTCTTTTCCTAATGGGGATGTTTGGAGAACTGAGGGAACAGTTATGAAAACAACTCTGTAGGGCAAATAACCAAGCCTGTGGCAGTGCAGTGCTACCCTGAACTCACAACCCATTTTGGAGTTGATGTGCTGCTGGGGCCGAAGGACATGTCCATCACCCTGTTCTGATACTATTCAGGGCAGACAGATGTGGGCATAGAAGCTGTTGTTATTGGAGGATTTTCCTGCTCAAGCAGAATGATGCACTGTAGCTTTAATTTTAGCAAGAAAGATGATGGTTACTGCTCTAATGCCTCTGATTAAGGTCAGCAGCAACACTGCTTGGGAACAATTAAGATTGCTTTAAAAAAATCTATTTTTTTTCTATCTTGAAAGTTGGGGGATACCAGAAGGAAATGTGTTATGTCTGTACAGATTGTATCAGGTATCTATTGCTGTGTGGCATACCATCCTAAAACATAGTGGCTGAAAACAACAACCGCTCATTTACTTAACACTTTTGCAATTTGGGCAGGGCTGACCTGGGAGGCCCATCTCTGCTCCAGGTGATGTTGGCTGGATGCACACATGTGTTTGTGGTCAGCTGGCTGGTTCTGGTGGTCTCAGAAATTGGGGCTGTCAGCCAAGGTAGCTTGGTTCTTTTCCTCGTGGTTCCCCAACAGGATAGCCTGGGATTCTTAGATTGCATTTGCAGCTCTCCAACTATGTAAAACGCAACCCCCTTGCCTTGACCATTTTGTGAACTTCCAGGGGACGTGTCACAAATGTTCTCAGATAAGACTCTTCTGTTGAAACTGTGCTTCTCTGCCTGCTGTTGCAATTTCTGCCTGCCCCTGCCTGTCTCCCAGCATGGCAGAGTTGCCATTGCAGCTGTCTCTTGCTTCAACAGAGCATTGCACCCACGTGTTCCCAAAACAGTGTGGCTCTCTGGGGCAAGGTGGGAGCACTGCTCCTCTCTCCTTTGGACCGTGCTATGTTGGAGGGGGGCCCCAGGACTGCTTGCATCCTCATTTTGTTTACCTTTCTCCACGCTTTATTGTTCTTCATCCATTTCAGACATGAGTCCTGCAGAGACTTGGCTGGAATTGAATGGATTTGACAGAAGGCGCCATACTGAACTTAATCCAATGACATTTTATTCAGTTGAGCCCATCATGCCACATTCTCTCTATTTTTAGGGTGAATTCTCCCAAGAATCCTGATTTGCTAGACAGGCCTAGATATAACTGATCCTCATTTAGCTCTTCAGCCAGGACCCCTCCTTCCCTCATCATCCCTCTCTTGAACCAGCACTGTTATCAAGCAAAGTTTCTTTTGTTTTGAAGGTGAAGAAACTAAGTTAAGGAAATGGGAAATTGAACTTCTTGATTTATGCAGTGGCTGCAGGTTAGTGAGATGCCAGGGCTCTTATTTAGTCCATCCCTCTGTTGGCTAATCCTCCTTATCCTAGGGAATCAAAGATATCCTGTGGGGGTAGCAACGAGAGACTCCATATGGTGTTCTGCTCTTTCTCACCCTTTTTAATTTGGCTCATTGTTCAATCTTAATTTGCAATTGTCACAGCTGCGATTACATTTCTGACGTTCCACCAACTCCAAAAACCCTTGAATCTGAACCCTTGGCGGTTTTAATTTTATTTTTGTTGAGAAAGGTTATGTTGTCACAATGGATAAAGCTAGCACTTCAGCAAGGGAAAACATTTTTTTTTGGGGGAAAAATATAATTCTAATTTAGTATTAAGCCTTAGAATGGGCTGCAACTGTGGAACCTCAAGTGCAGGGGAGTTGACAACTCAGCCATAATCAAGCTAACTGAATTGGACAGAGCAATGTGAGACATAATTAGCAATTCTGTTCAGCGAGCTGTCTCCTGAAAAACTTAAAATACCTTCCCTGCCTCATGCATATTCAGTGCCTCATTTGCTATTGTTTTTATCCAACAGGTTGAAATTCAAAAGGGAAAAATTCTGAGTTGTCTGTCTCACTTTCATCCTCCACATTCTCCTCTCTTTTCAGCAACCCCCTCCCTCAAGCCAGTCCCATTTCAATACAGCAGGTCACTCCAATGCCAACTGCACATTGACAAATACAAAATATTCTGAGCACAGTGTTTTTTCTCTTGTTTGTATCTTTTTCAACACTTCTGCTCATTTAGATAAACAGAACAGGTATGTTTGCCCTGGGGAATTAGAGCCACTTGATTGTGTGATCAGGCTTCTGAAGGCACATTGTTAGAGTCAGGAATCCTTTCCTTCACATGATTGCTGCGTCTTGAGTAGGTTTGGGATGAACTGGAGATTGATTGATGATCCCAGGCTTTTCCTCCTGATCTCTGTTCACCATGATGGGTTCGCTTTCACTCTTCTTGATGTTCCAGGCAAGTTGGGCGTTTGTCTGTAGATGCGCAGTGAAATCTCAGAGGCAGTGAGAGGAGAGGAAAGAAAAATCAAATATATTACCCTGTGTTCATTGCATCCCCTGGTTAGCTGAGCCTAGAAGTTCTACATTAGAAGCCTGTCTGCTTGGTACCCAAAATGTGGTGGGTGTCACCACTCTGGAAGGACTTTCCAGGAATTACTAGTTATTTGGAGAGGCAGTGCTGTAGAGTGAAAAGCAAGAGTGAGTTGGAACTGGTGTCAAATCCTAGTTTTGTGCTTACTAGCTGTATGATAACTGTCTTAGACTGTTTGAGCTGCTATCATAAATTACTACAGACTGAGTGGCTTCAACAAAATAAATTTATTTCTTATGGTTCTAGAGGCTGGCAAGTTCCAGATCAAGGTGCAGGTAGATCTGGTGTCTCAGGAGGGCCTGCTTCCTGGTTTGCAGATGGTCATCTTTTCATTGTGTCCTCATGTGGTAGACAGCAGAGAGAGGGAGCAAGCTCTAGTGTTTCTTCTTCTAAGGGCAATAATCCCATTCATGAGGGTTCTACCCTCACGACCTAATTATCTTCCAAAGTCTCCACCTCCTAATACTATCACATTGAAGGGTAAGAGTTCAACACAGGAATTTTAATTTAATTTAATTTTGAGACATAAACGTTTAGTCTGTAACATTGACCAAATAAAACTTTACCTCCCTAATCATCAAGTGCTTCATCTGTAAAATGGAAATAATAACAACACCATGTGTGGATATTATTGAGGCTTAAATAAGATAATGTATAGGGAAAACCTAGCTGAGTGGCTGGCACATCGTTGGTGCTCTACAGTCATGCTTTTCCTTTTAAAAATTCCTCAGCTTCCTCATCTTAGTCTTTATTTTCCTTTTGTTTCTTTTTAAAATTATATTTTGCAATATTATTTTAGGAAATATAAAATATGCTAAAAATTCACAAAATTACTCACGACTTTCAATCTCTTTTTCTACAAAACTCCTTTTCAAAAGACACATTCTAGCAATTAGTAAATGCTGATTTAAGTTGTATCATCTTTCCCTTTTCCTATTAATGTCTGCTAGAGGCGACTGGCCAAAGGCATAAAGTTGAGTTAAATGAGAAATTAAATATTTTTTCTCATCCTAAATTCCTGGAAGCATCACCATATTTCCTCACTTCAAAATAGCCTCCCTCAGATTTTAGCTTTTCCATTTAGGGAGCATTAGGATAAGAAAAAAATTATGTTAAAATTTTCAGTTTGCTGACTTAACTTGGATGCCAAAGGTTTGATTTTTGCATGCTTTTAAAAAGTGAAAAGTAAAATGTTAAGGTATACTCAGACTTGTAAATATTTTAGAGGAAGCATATACTCTAAAAGAATTCCTATGTCAAATATGATGATAGTTATGCTAGAGACTTTCAAGAGGAAATAATAGAAGGAGAAGGGTCTCTAATATTATATATTAGAGGAAGAGAGTTGGGAACTTGGTCCTTTTCAACGTTAAATTTGCTATAGTTCGTTGACCTCTGAATGAGTTCACAAGACAAGAAACAAATGCAAGGACTGAATTAAGTAGAAGAATTCCACCCCTGACTCCCTCCTGAAAGCCAGTAGATCTTATTATATGTATCATACCATTTGGCAGGTTATTTAGCACTTCATTGATTACCATCACACACTGTGCTCTAATTGTTTCCCAAGTAAAAGTCTTGCTTCTTTCAAAATATTGTAAAATACTTGAAAGAAAAGGTCATATCACATACTTATTTTATGTGGCTTCCCACAGGTCCTAGCCCATTCTACACATGCATTAAGCAAAAAAGAAATTCTTGCAAATTGGAAACAAAATGAGAAAAAAATGAATCTATGAAACTTCCTTCTATTCACAATATCCATTCATTTTTGTGAATGAGCCAAGACTGTGACCCACCATGCTCACAAATGGAAAGGAATGTACAGGAGGTTAGAAGAGATGAAGGCCAGAAGAAGAGCCTTTGAAATGAATATGTTGAACTCCATCAATGGAAAGAGATGGAGTATGGGGTGATGATGGAGAGATAGGGAAAGGTAGAAGAGAATCGGTGGTTGCTCAGCTTCCATGGAGAGAATTAAGACCATAATCAAGTTCCAAAACAGTTTCTATTTCCTAAGGGTGGGGAACAAGATAGGGAATATTCTAGAAATCATGACTCCCTTGATGGAACAACCTTAGTTAGGTCTTCTGGATACCCTCCTGTGTCTCTCCTGCAGGAGCTTGACCAGCAATTCCTCGTGGAGAATTGAGGAAGCCAGTACTGTGAAGAATGGGGACAAAATAGGATCTGGATGTTTGAAGCTTAGGGCTTGCACACTATTAACAGTGAAAAATACCATCCTTTGCCTCCTTGAGCAAAAATCCCTAGAGTTTTGAAAGTAATTAATCTGGTGTTTTTACTTTTACCCCAGTAGAAGCCTAAATCCTGAAAAGTCTCTGCAAAAAGTATATTTTGTTGACAGATTATTGTGTAGGGTATAACCTCCCACAAAAATCTTGTCTAAATCCACCAGAATGGCTACAATGAATGATACTGTACCAAAGTCGTGGCTATATTTGCTGCATTGCCTTCGATTTTTTTTTTTGCTTCTTTCCCTCTCACACTTTTTTTCTAAAGCAGCGAGTCTATTGAGAAATCTTATTAAAAATCACAAACTGAACAGCACGCTTTTTTTTTTTGCCAGCCAGAAACAGATTTTAAATGACAAAAAAAACTCCTTTAATCTTTTTGTAACATCTTGACAGTTGTGCCAGAAGATGTCTGCTTCTGCCTTCAAACTATAATTGCTTTTGGTCTGAAATAATTCATTTCCCACTCTTTTTCCTCTTCTAGAAAACCTTGCCCTTTCAGCTGGATATTTTTCCTTAATTTTGTGGCTACTTTTTTTTGGAGGGCAATGGGAAGGGTTAGGGAGCCAGGAGGCTAAGGAGACCAGAATGAATGTCATAACACACACATTTTGTGAAGGTACAACGTAGAATAAAGAGAGGATCCGTGAGCCAAGCAATGAAAAAATAACACATTTTGTCATAAAAATGAGGTTAACCATCACAGTTTTTGAATATCTAGTGTCATCAAAGGTATTTGACCTTTTAAAATCCATCAGAGCATGCTTCTATTTGCTTTGTTTTCAATAACTCAAGTGCTCAAGTATGATAGTTGAAATCCTTTTTAGAAGCCAGTATCTTTAAGATCCCAAATCTTGCGTGTTCTCCAAAGAATTATTTTAAAAACATTGGAATAAAAGCACCATCAAATTTCCATAAAACGGGCATTTGTGGATTCTTTAGCACAGAACACTTCTGATCTATAGTATACACGTTATGGGAACTAGAAACAGGTGATCTCAGCAACAGGGAGAACTTCGTGAGATAGGGAGTTTAGGCATCCATGAGAATCCACAACTGCAAAGTAGCATGGTACATCCTTCTAACCTCTAGGCTCAAGTCTTGAATCATGAAGAATAGAAAAGGAAAGATATGACAGGAA
The DNA here is from genome assembly GCF_000001405.40 of Homo sapiens. NCBI lineage: Eukaryota > Metazoa > Chordata > Mammalia > Primates > Hominidae > Homo > Homo sapiens. The sequence continues at coordinate 163,601,180 of NC_000005.10, forward strand.
AAAAGAGGATGTGAAAGAAAGACAGATTGATCATCGTGCAATGCATGATGTACAGATCATATGGACTTCTTGCAGTGCAGTGTACATATTCCCCACCTATTTCTGTAATTTTCCCAAACCAGTTCTGTGAAGGTAAGTGTAGTCAACTCTTTCATGACTCAGTTTTATGAATGATTTTGGTTTGTTTGCATCCATTATCATTAGAGCCCAGAAGAGGACCATGACAATGCATGTTGGTGGTGGTGGTGGTTGGCTAGGGGGCTGGAGGGGGATGATGAAATTTGCTGGATGTGAATGGAGATTTTTCTAGCAGAACATCTTCTTTCCTTTTCTAACTGCTTGAGAAAATAGGAAATGCATGAATAAAAAGAGAAAAAAGGGAATCTCAAGCCTCTGTTGCAGTACTTCTTGGAAACTGGATTAGGCACACTGTTGCTAATCTAGTTTCCAGCAAGTACTGTGACAGAGGTTTGAGATTCCTACTTTCCCTGGATGCTACTTAGCTATTGAGGCCCAGAATGGAAATGGTGCATTTCTCTGTAGGCAGGAACTAAGGTACATTTGGAGAAGCAAGGTTTCTTCTTTTTAAGGGAAAGGGAGGTTAAAAATTAACATGCATTAAGTACTTACTATGAGCCAGGCATAGGGATGCTCCCCGTAGCATGTGGCTGGGCCTCTGTCCGTCCTCAGGAAGGCTAGGTCGAGAGAATCAATTATCTTAAGAGCAAATCCAAAGTTTATGTTATATATTTTTATGGTGTCTTAGGAGTTTTCTGGTGGATGAGAACAAAAATTCAATCTTTGCTAGCTGGGTCTCAGACCGAGAAGCGAAACAATTTTTTTTTCTTTTGGGTTTTTTTTCCTTAGGTCATATCCATGGTAGGTATCACAACCATTACTCATTGCCTAGGAGTAGACTTTTTGTTTCTCTCTCCTCAATTCAGGACCTGAGATGTCTTTTTCATTTCTCCTAAGTTGTTATTTAATGTTATCTGTCCTTCTTGGAATATGGAGTCTGTTTAGTCTTCATAGTCCCATTTCCAGGACTCTCATGACACTATGTTATTTCTTTTTCTTCTTTCTTTTCTTTCTTATTTATTTTTATTTTTTTAATGGAGACAGGGTCTCGCTCTGTCACCCAGACTGCAGTGCAGTGGTGCGATCTCGGCTCACTGCAGCCTCGACCTCCCGGGCTCAAGGCATCCTCTCAATGTTATTTCTAATTCCATTCTTCCTTCTCAGGAGCATGCCTCAGATCTATTCCAGTCTTCTAGGATTCAAGCAGTTTTGTGAAAAACTAATGATCTTTTATTTTTGTTATTAAGAGGTCTGGTGTTCCTGGGGGATCGGTTTCCTCTTAAGATCATCTTATTGTATCCTCATAATAGCTTTGTGGCTAGGCACAGTGGCTTATGCATATAATCCCAGCACTTTGTTTGGAAGGCCAAGACGGGAGGATTGCTTGAGGCCAGGATAACAGTGAGAGCTGGGTAACATAGTGAGACCCTGTCCTACAAAAACAACATAGTGAGACCCTGTCTCTACAAAAATAAAAAATAAAAAATAGGCTGGGCATGTTGGGGCATACCTATAGTCCTAGCTACCCAGGTGGCTGAGGTGGAGGGATCATTTGAGCCCAGGAGTTTGAGGCAGAAGTGAGCTTTGATAGCGCCACTGCATTCCATCCTGAATAACAGAGCAAGACCCTGTCTCAAAAAAAAAAAAAAAAAAAAAAAAAAAAAAGAAAGCTTTGCAAGGTAGGTAATACCATCTTTATTTTACAAATGAGGAAACTAAGATCCAGAAAGCTAGATAACTTGCTTAAATCACATCATTAGTAAATGGTAGAGCCAGAAGTTAAACGCTGATATGTTCAAGTCTGATAGATCTGTCTATGTTTCTGCTACACAGGATCTCTTAAAGACTAACATTTATTGAATGCCTACTAATGGGTCCAGTACTACGCCAAGGCTTCTGTGCTGAGAAATTCTAAAAGGGAGTTGGCATAAAAGTTGAAGACTATTGACTACCTAAAATACTATGATGAGAGAGATTCTGTGGTCCTGTCTACAGTCAAGGGGGAAGGATGCTGGGATTGATTATTAATGTCTGTTATGGGAACATGATAGGGTGGCCTTGCCAGTTTTTCATAGTAGTTAACTATGACTTACAGAGTTACCCAATAACAGAGGCAGAATGACATGGTATTTAAAAGCTAGATTTTGGATGTCTACAGACCTGATTCAAGTCTTGAATCCACAATATACTTAACTGTGGTGTACTCAAGCTGAGTCTCTGTTATTTCATTCTATAAATGAGGATGATAATAGTATCTACTTCACAGTTATTGTGAAACTTAAATGAGACAATTCACTTAAAAGCACATAATGCAATGCTTGGCATATTGGGTCTTCAGGAAATGTTACCTATTAGAAATAAAAGTCATGAGAATGGAAGTTTACCTTGATAGACCATTTACTATTTTTTATTTTTGTGTCTCTAATCTTAGAGTGGTTAACTCTCTAAGAATATCTGGTTGACATATTTTTCACAGTGACATAAAAGAGTAATTATTTTCTCATTTGTTTCCCTGACAGCTTTCTCTTCACTTCCTTAAGATTAGAAGTTCTAATTTGGCTAATTGATTCAGTTAATAATGAGCACCAAATTCTGAATAGGAGATTGGTAAGAAGGGTTCTATAAAACCACTGATAAAGGTGTGATGCAGTAAAAACATCAGAATAGGTGTAATAATTTTAAGGGGCTGTGGTGGGATGCAGGAGTATAGAAGATCCTAATATCTGTGTTTTGAATAAAGATGATATTTCTTTTGCACAATTTCTCTGTCTGTGTTTCAGTCTTGTGAGATAAGAGGAATATGAAGGGGATTGAGGAGGGGCTGAATCTGAGAAGTGTAGCCACAAACCACTGTTTCTTGTCCCAGTTCCATTAGCACCGTATAGTCAAGTGCTTTGGTACTGTGAGTGTACTTCGGTAGCTTGTAATTGCCCTGTGCTTCAGTCAAGAGATGGGTAATTGCTCCTATGGGCCATGGATTTCCTGCTAGCAGCATCTGATTGAAACAAGCCATTTATTGTGGTTAAAAACCCCAGAATTGCTGCCGTGTTTACAGATAAACCTTCTGTGCGGCAGTCATTTATTCTACCCAGCCATCCATATATCAAAAATATTACACACTACCCCCCTCTTTTTTTCTTGAAGACAGATCAACTATTCTTTTCAGTTTGATTAAATTTCAGTATGTAGTGTTGATGTGCCAACTCTTTTCTCTTGTAGCTTATGATTTAAATAAAGTTGCATTACTTTGGACTTAAGTTCTATTCTCTTTTGGGGGCAGTTGTTAATAGCCACACTCCACACTACTGTAGTTGTAGTCAGGTACTTTTGCAAAGTTGTCTTTTCTTCTTTCTGTTCCTCCAGTAAGACAAATACAGATATTATAATACTCATGTGTCTGTTGATGCCCTCATGACTTGAAACGTAGCGAAGGTAAGCCATTTATTCCTTAGCAATTATGAGCCTTTAGGTTTCTGGTAAGACGAAAGAGAACTGTTTGTTTTCTAATTTTAATGACACCTGCATTTGCAATGTGTACAATCCATGATCCTCCATAATAACATAAGGTAGATGACACTCTGCCCATACTCAATTTTTATCGAGGTTCCTATTCATCGACCTCTACATTTCCATTAAAATTAGGTTTTGGCCAGCCGCAGTGGCTCACGCCTGTAATCCCAGCACTTTGGGAGGCTGAGGCGAGTGGATCACGAGGTCAAGAGATTGAGACCATCCTGGCAACATGGTGAAACCACATCTCTACTAAACATACAAAAATTAGCTGGGTGTGGTGGCACACGCCTGTAGTCCCAGCTACTCAGGAGGTTGAGGCAGGAGAATCACTTGAACTTGGGAGGCAGAGGTTGCAGTGAGCTGAGATCATACCACTGCACTCCAGCCTGGTGACAGAGCAAGACTCCGTCTCAAAAAAAAAAACAAAAAGAAATTAGGTTTTAGGGGCTGAATGAGCAGTTCGACGTCTACATATGATTCAAACCTGTCCAGTTGATCTTGAGATTTGGTTGAATTTAATTTAATTTCTCTGTTTTTGAATAGTAACATTGATAACCATCTTTCACTTGCTTCCTTCATTCTTGTGTCAAGAACAAAGGAATGGTTAGAGATAAACTGGTTAGGGATAAATGTTCAGGAACAAACTGGGAATTCCCTGGACTTGGGAAATCAGAAACTTGGTCATTTCCCACCACATCCCCCTTTTAAACTTCCCTGCCAACCTGTATACTTGGTTGGAGTTCATGACTAATGTATGTTCTTTCTATAAGAATGAGTAGGATTGTCTGGTAATTTTAACATTTCCGTGCAAATTCTATAGGTTGATTGGTAGGAAATATGGTTAATTCACTTTTTTTTGATTGAATAACTGTGAAGGATTTCTATCATTATGGTCAGACCTAGTCAAATAAACAAAAGAGATGAAGTTCATCTTATTTATTTATTTATTTATTTATTATTATTTTTTTGAGATGGAGTCTCGCTCTGTTGTCCAGGCTGGAGTGCAATGGCATGATCTCGGCTCACTGCAACCTCTGCCTCCCGGGTTGAAGCAATTCTCCCACCTCAGCCTGCCGAATAGCTGGGACTACAGGCGTGCACCACCACGCCTGGCTAATTTTTGTATTTTTAATAGAGACAGGGTTTCACCACATTGGCCAGACTGCTCTCAAACTCCTGACCTCAAGTGATCCACCTGCCTTGGCCTCCCAAAGTGCTGGGATTATAGGCGTGAGCCACCGCACTTGGCTGAGGATCATTTTTTGTGTTTTCTTTAGCACCCTATGCTCTGTTTGCAGCCCTATTTTCCTTAAATATGTGGAGCTGGTCAGTTTATTTATAATGGAGTGTCCAAGAATATATTAATTAGGATTCACACAGCTCTATTCAAGCTTGGGTCCCTCAGACAATGATTCCTAATTTACTCTCCAAATTCTGAGGTTGAAATTAATGGTTTGAGCAAAAGCAATATACAATAGTTGAATTAAAGCAAAGAATACTTGTCCATAGTACACAGATCAATAAATGTGGTGCCCTGGTAGATGGAAGATGAGCTGTGCGTGTCTGAGTGCTTAAGAGCATGGGCACAGAACAAGAAAATAAAAACTCAGCCCCTATGGTGGTACAGGTGTATGAAGCATTTTAGCAGATCCAAATTTCGCATAAAGATTCATAGAGTAAGAATTAAGTTTACAAAAGTAATTCTTCATAAATTAACACTTTCTTATAGGCTCAGGTAGTTGGCTTATATATTTACCTTGTTTACCTTATGAGGTAGATGTATTCTCACCTTACCTAAAGATGAAGGTGCAAAGGCTCTTGAAGGTTGAATAACTTGATCTAGGTCATGGAGTTTGGAAGAGGAACAGCTGGGGTTCTAACTCAGACAAGCCTGACTCCCAAATCCACGTGCTTTTCACGATTTCATTCGGTTCTTTAATTTTTCTTATGATTTCTCTGAATAGTAAATTTCCTTAGTGCAGTTAAATATGATTTGATTGATTGGTATTTGGTTTTTGCTTGGCTTTTAAAGAACTCCTTCAATTATTGATTCATTCAGCTAATATTTATTTTCGTATCTCCCGTGTGTCAGGCACTGGTAGCCACTGAGAATACAAAGATGAATGCAATGTGGTTCCCTTTCTTTAGAAGCTTTCAGAGAGGGAACAGATATGCAAAAAATATTTATGATTCAGTATGAGAGCCATATTAGAAGTATGTCCAAGTTTCAGGCGTGGGACAAAATGTAAGAAAGCATTTTGAGGGAGGAAGTTGTATTTGGCAAAGGGGTCTTACAAAAAAAGGAGTTTTAACAGGGGTCTTAAAAGATAGTGATGATGATAATAATGATAATTAGATAATAGCTACTAGTTTCTGAACACTTAGAATGTTCCAAAAAGCTGATTAATGTCTTATGTTGTTTAAAACTCTCAACATCTTTAGGTGTTCTTTTCATATCTCATTGATGAGAAAACAGAAGTTAGGGAAGTTAAACAACTAACTACTAGATGATGGAACCAGGATGCAAAGTCAAGTAGCTGGTTTCAAAAAGTCAGCCCCATTTTGTGGATCTGTTTTACTGAAGCTATAGTGAGTGAGGATTTGCCTAGAAGATTGTGGGCTTGGGATGAAGGGACAATTGAAGACTGCAGACGGGTTTGACTGGCCAAGTGACCAGCATGTGCAAAGACAGGGAGAAGAGAAACAATGTGGTATAAATTGTGGAGTTCTATGTTGCAACATCTGGCTGAATTGTACCTTATACGTTGAATGTTGTTAAGGAAGAAAGCCCTGAGATTGTGTTCGGATCAAGAAGGACCCATTTGGACATGAGAAGGAGTTTGGACTAGGCGTCATTGGAGGACTGTAAGTAGGGGAATGAAATGATCCCATTAGTTTTCATCAGTGAGGTATGCACAGGTAATTAGAAGACATTCTAGGTTTCAGGGATATGAGTTAAAGCCCTCAAAAAAATGTTAACAAGCAGCAATTTAATAGCTTTAACTTTTTATCATCATGCTTTCTTTCTAGTCAGAGCACTTCTGACAAAGAGGTTAGGTAAGTCCTTGAAACTGAAATCTGCAAATACCATGCCCATTTATCTGGGTTGCAGATAGAACTGAAAGAACCTTGATCACGCTTTTTTGTTGTTGTTTTTTCAGACAGAGTCTTGCTCTGTCACCCAGGCTGGAGCGTAGTGTTGTGATCTCGGCTCACTTCAACCTCTGCCTCCCAGGTTCAAACGATTCTTGTGCCTCAGCCACCTGAGTAGCTGGGACTACAGGTGTGCACCAACACGCTCGGCTAAGTTTTGTATTTTTAGTAGAGATGAAGTTTTGTCATGTTGGCCAGGTTGGTCTTGAACTCCTGGCCTCAAGTGATCCACCCACCTTGGCCTCCCAAAGTACTGGGATTACAGGCATGAGCCACTGCACCCGGCCTTTATCACTCTTTATGTCACCTGAGACAGAGATTCATTCTGGACCAGTGCTTTGGAGCAAATTGCTTTCTCCCCAAGGAGGGCCTCATATGGAGGATTTGTGAGTCACAGATTTAGGTCTTTCTCCCCACCCTGCCTCCCCTGCTCCGGCAGAATGCATTCTAACATTTTATAGGCTATAACCCAAACCCCAGGCTTGCAACCCATAAAATGGATATTGACAACCCATTTGGGGGAAGGAGAGCTGTGGTTGAAAGGGTCACTGGGTTACCGATCTTGATTGCTGTCTTTCTCGGTATGGCAGCTATCAGACGGAATGCACCACCTGAAGATTTAAAGCCAGCAGCAGTCTTAATCTCTTCTGATATTTTCCTCCTTAGATTGGCTCAAGCATTGCCTGACACTGGCAGCTGTTTTCTCTGACTTTCTTTGCTGTTATATGATGACCTTTTCTTTGTTTATTGTTTTATTTGAACTTTCTGAGAGTTTATATAATTGATGGGCCTGTGTACCACAGTATGTCTGGAAATCTGCTAGTGAAATACTACAATGTCTGTATGCATGTTTTTTCCTTTCCTTCCATCTCCACCCTCACTTCTGATGTCAGATAGTCAACATTCCAACTAGTGAGCTGATATGGTAATAGGGAATTTTCCTTATCTTGTAAGCAAAAGGTTTGGGTCAATCAGAGTCACCTAGGGTCAGCCTACATTAGAAATATCAACTTTTTGCTGACAGTTTCTTGGGCTTTGATATAATACCCAAGTTGTAGGTTTTGATATATTTCTGAACAGAGATCCATCTCTACTTACTTTACCTCAGCTTGACAGGGGTGTTGAAAAATACGAATCATGATATTGTTCATTACTTAAGAAAAATATGCAGTAAATGATTGTCAATATAGGTTTGCTAGCTTATCATGTAATGTTTTTGTCTGATTTAATAAACCCACAGGAGTTAGAAAAAGACACAAGAAATGAAAAAAAGCAAGTTACAAAACAGAATGTATAGAATCCCATTTTTGAGCTAAATTGTATATGATATCAGATTAAAGATATGGAGGAAAAACATCAGAAAGTTAGTAGTGATACCCTTTGGGTCACAAGGATTTTTTATGTCATTTATTCCTGTATTAGTGTGTGATTTCTTATATTTAGAAAAGTTTAAAAACAGAGACATTAAGCACTGGCATAACTCAAAAGCTTCTCATATGTAACAAGGTAGAATGATTAGCAAATACATAAAATATTTTATATGTTTCAAATAAAGAAGTTAATTGTTCAGTTGACGTGGTTAAGCCTAAAGTTTCCTAGTTGTCATTTTAAATTGAACTGTGCCTGGGTTTTGTGAGAATGATTGAGCCTCTGATATTTTGACAGTAAGGAATTAGGCTTGGTAAGTTATTACTTTCATATTCTTAGAGCCTGTGATCAAGGTAAGCATTAAAAACACTTCCACTAGTTTTAGCAATTGATATGCAAATAGATGCATTTGCAGATAGCTCTTGCTCATGTTTGGTGCTAGCCATGGTCATATATATACATATATGTCTATATGTATACATATTTTAGTACCTTCTCTGTCAGTCAGTCCTGCCTAATATCCATTGGGAGCAAATGGTATGCCAAACATCATAATGGGTGTTCAGAATAAGAAATACATGATGCCTGTCCTCAGGGGGCTCATGGTTGCTTTGAAAAGGAATTCAGTGTAAATATTGAATTTCATTGCTTAGATGTGTTTTCATTTATAGAGGGAGATGGATTCTAAAATTGTTGTGCTTCGCCATACCTTCTGAGAGGTGTTCTAAAACAAGGCATCACTGCCAGGCAATGTTGTGACTGAATATTTTCTCAAGGGGATATAGTTAATCATTAAACATCTAGTTTGGTGCTGATTTAGCAAAAATTCTTCATGAGTGTTCACAATTGTGATTTTCCTTGAGTTGCTTAGGGTAGATTTGGAAACCTGAGGGTGAGAGCTGAAGTGTCTGGTTTGGCTCAAGGGCCTGATGTGAGGGGGAATTTTTAGAGTCTTTTCAGGATCCTGTAAAGTTAGTCCTGTGTCCCCTGCTCATGGAATAATGCTCTAGGTGCTTAGAAGATAAGAAAACTAACTACTAAGTAATGGAGTTGGCAAGAGAAATTTTAAATCCAGAGGGCATTCATCAAGGTTGATCAGGCACTCAGATTGTCTGGGTTGGCTCTTCGTGATCACGGAAAACCAGCAGGGGGTGGGGTGCAGGAAGACATGATACTCAGGGTTGCCTCTTATTTCTGTTAGCAAATATGTCTGTTAGAGGGCATCGTGTCTTGATACACAAGATATCAAAATTAAAAAATTAAAAATACTCCAAAACAAATGCATTGAGAGAAATTTATGCCAGAAAACTTTCAAATATAGAGAAAAATGCTATCCCTTTAATATCATTATTTGAGAGAAGGTATTCAGATTTTTGAATGAATTTAATATTTTTCATAATATTTGTGTTTATATATGGATTTGATCTATCTATCCATCCAGATTTGACCTACATACACATATGAATTCATTCCAGTCATTTTCTGAGCCTAATTTCCTCTTTTATAAAATGAGGACACTGATGCCTTCCTGGCACGTGACAGACACTAAGATCAGTTTGTGGAGCTAAATTTAAAGTGCTTAGCACAGTTCTTGGCAAAAAGTAAGGCATTCAACAAATGCTGTACCCCTTCCTCACCTTTATGTTGGGATATGAAGATGAGTGAGACATAGTGTCTGTCTTTGAGAACCTTCTGGTTTAGTGGGAAAGAAAACCAGGTTAATAAATAGAACCCATGAGACCTCCTATGGAAGGTGTTTTGGGCCTGACAAGGCAATGACTAAGGACCTCTGTGTTTTCACCACACCAGAATTGTCCAAGTCAGCCATGTTATTTGCATAGGATGGAATTGAATGTCCACGCAAAAGCCTTGAAGTCATTGGCAACCTGTAAGAAAATGTTGTAATGGTGAAAGCGCTTAATGTGTACACTGAATAGAGAATGATTTTTAGCAGAGGGCGTGCATTAGTTTCCCAGGCTGCCATAACAAAGTACTGCAAACAGGGTGGCTTAAATAACAGAAGTTTATTGCCTCGCAGTTCTGGAGGCTCAAACTCTGAGGTAAAGGTATGGACATGGTTGGTTTCTTCTGAGGGCTGTGAATCTGATCCATGCCACTTTCATAGCTTCCAGTGGTTTGCTGGAATCTTTTGTGTTCCTTGGCTTCTGCTGTATCACTGCCTTCATCTTCACGTGGTGTTCTCCTGGGTGTATGTCTGTGTCTGAATGTCCCCTTCTTATATGGACACCAGTTGTTTTAGATGAGGAGCCTACCATACTCCACTGTGACCTCATCTTAACTAAGTACATCTGCATTGACTCTGTTTACAAATAAAGTCAAGTTCTACGATACTGAAGCTTAGGACTTCTACATATGAATTTTGGGGAACATAATTCAACCCATGATAGCACCCTTTTTGATATAAGAAGTAAGTGTTTCTGTATATTTTTTAAGGTACAAGGAGGAACAACAAATTAGCATTTCTCCCAAATGCAATAGGCATTAGAAAGGCACACATTTTATCTGGATGAACACAACAGAAAAGAATAGATATTGAGAGAGAAAGAAAGGAGCTAGCCTTCATTGGATGCTTTCTATTGTCTAGACACTATTAGATTCTTTGTCCAAGTTATTTCATTAAAATAATTCAGTCCTCATTAAGACATACTTATAGGGACATTTTGACTTTGTAGATGTAGAAACTGAGGCTCACAGGCGTGGAATAACTACCCAGAGTTTGGAGCCACAAAGGGGTAGAGATTTGAAAAGTAATTTGTTGCGTGCCAGAAAACATGTTTCTCCCTTCTAGCATGATGTCATCCCAAGAAAAAAAAAAGAAGCTGTGATGATACATGAAAGATTGTGGAAGTCAAAGACCCTAGAACATTGTTCTATAAAGAGTGGCTCTTGTCAACTGGAGTAGCATTATCAGTCAGGGTCTTAGCCATATTTTAAAACTTTAAAATAGAAACAGATACCCCAATATTCTTTCATTCTTGCAAAGATCCTATTATAGGCAAACATAAAAACCATCAATCCAAACCTCAGTTCAAAAAATTTACAATTTTCTACATTTTCTTACCCCACTCATCAGCTTGCTCACCACCGTAGGAAAAACTGAATCCACAATTGGATCATAAGAAGAGGCTCTTCTGGTGGTTCACATGGAAACTTTGGCCACTTAAAATCTGACTTTCTTCTGTTTAGCATTCAACATATTCAATCCTCCACAGCCTCCGCGACCCCCCCACCCTGCCACCATTTCCCTTTCTTCTTCTCTATTCTTGTCCTACCACATCCGTGTCATGGAAATGGCTACTGAAATAAATTAGTTTAATTTGTGAAATCACATTATGGTTCTCTCTGCTCATGCCAGTTTGCCCAGATTAGCCCAAGCAGATGGCTCTGGAGTTTCATCACTGGTGAGAAAAGGGGCCTTTTCCAGAGATGAAATACTAGTGTGGGAGAAATGTTGTGGATGCCAAAAAGCTGTGTGCTTGAGTTTTTGGGCTAGCAAAAGCAGAGCTTCACATCAGGTCGACTCTGCCTTCTGAAGAGAGGGCTCTCGGAGAGCTAGAAGCAGCTGGTTCTGGAGAAAAGATGGCTTGAAAAGAATCAGAGGCATTATGAGTCTTAAATTATTTAAGTTCCTCCTGTGGCAGCGAACTGTAATTGCTTCCTATTTCTGTAAATATTAGCAGCTGTGAGCCTTTCAAGTAAGAAGCTAAAACAGCACTCAGTGTATCATACTTAACTCCGGAATATTGTTAAATATCTGACCTTGGGCTGTCAAAGCACACTCATTACCCACACTAGCCCTTCTGCTGGGGAGTTGTTGACACTCTGAACTGGTGCTTTATTTTCAGCCTGGGCTGTAATAGCCTCGATGGATGGAGAATCAGCAAAGGGAATTGCAAGTCACCAAGTAGCAACGTCTTGATCCATTTCCTCAGAGGAGGTCGCTTTTGCGCTTGCTGCCTTTTAGTTGTTTTCACACCTGTGACTCCACCTACAGCTGGCATGACAGATCCTTCATCAAACAGCAAAAACTTGAAGTCAGCTGCTACTCTTCCCAAACTACTTTTTATGCCAGCTCTTACCTCTTTCTTCTTCATTGATCTCTGCCTCATGTTCCATGCTATAGTCATACTCATTTTTTTTCAGTCTTTAGATCCTCATATTCTCCCTTGTCTCTTGGAGTTGGTCCATGCTGAGCCCTCTATTTGGAACACACTCTGCTCATCCCATTGTGCCTCTATGCTAGCTTCCACTTATTTTTACTGATGACACCTGCTTTTATTGATAGACGCCTTCCCTGACCATCCAAATCTTGGCTAGTTATGTCTTACTTATTTTCCCATATTTCTGGGCATTTTTCCCATAAGAACACACACCACACTAGATTGTAAAAACTTATTTTGTGGTCTTTGTCTAGTGAGCTCCCTGAGGGTAAATGTCAGTCCTATTTGTGGTTTTAGTTGCAGGGTCTGTTTGGAGACTGGCACATAGCAAGTGCTTCATAAACATTTGTCGAATTCATGCTTCTATGTCTAGCATTGTTGAGACCCAATACCAGAGGGATTATCTTAGTCTTGAGGAATAGAGCTGCCAAGCAATCAGTCTATGTGGCAGAATCTCATAGATGTCTTCAAATAGTCAGTTCCTCTCCTTTCTTGTTAATACATTTGTTTGGATTAGAATGTGACCAGCTCAGTAGGTAAATCATGAATGGCCTAAGCCAATTATTAAAATCCCATTTCTTTTCACCATTGTTTGGTTCAGCAGTGGGCATGCGGGTCCGTTCTGGCCAATGCGACATAAAGGGGAGTACTTTGAAGGTTCCAGGAAAGATATTGCTTTTTGTTAATAGAGTTTTGTGAGAAGGAAGCCATTTTGATCCTTGCCCATTCCTTTCTACTTACGTGCTTTCATGGAAGATAAAAAGAGGTGCTACAAACGGTTAGCAACCATGAGGAAATAGACCCGAAAATGAAGGCAACACATGAGGACGGGCAAGTGGAAAGATGGAAGGTTCTTAGGTCCTTGATGGTGTTGCTGAGTTGCCAAAGTCAACCTTGGGACAATTTGCCTCTGGATGTTTATGAAGCAAACAATAAATCATCGTCTGGTTTTAGTTACTTTTTTGTTACCTACAGCTAAAATTATTCTAACTGATATAGACACCAGGAAAAGAAAGGTGGGTGCATGGATTTTGGGGCTCATTTAAAAAAACTGAAGAGACGCTGTGACATGATGAGAGAAGACAGCATAGAAAATGTACTGGATTTGAGGCTGAGACATCTTAGTTCTATCCACAACTGTCCTGAATCTTTTCTGTGTGATCTTGGACAAGCCGTTCTTCTGCCTTATTCTCTAGTCAGGCAATAATTTATTCAACAGGCAACAAAAAATGCATTTGATTGCCAACCGTGTGTTATATACTATATTAAGTGTTTAGGAACACAAGGTTAAACTAGATGATGATCTCTAAGTTCCTTTATTTATAAAACTGATTCATCTTTTATTTTTATGTCTTTGAAAAGAGTTTTAGAAACTGTGAGTCCATAAAAATCCTGTACAACTTCCCCAGAAAATCTGCCTTGATTCCAAGCATGTTTACCGTTGGCCTTTCTCCTCATCCAAATTTTTTGCAGATCCCGTCTGATAAAATTTAAAAAAAACCCCACAAACCCACCAGCATCTGTCTCTGGCAAGCATGCTCGTGAGTCACATCTCCTCTGCAAAGCAAAGTCTCATGAAACTAACTGATTAAAAGGAGAACATAAAGAGGGGGTAGTGTGTTGAATTTATTTTAGGTTTAGCCTTCTAATTTCCATTCCACTTGCACTTATTTATTCAGTCACAAGGTCTTGGCACTTGCAATATATTTAGGTGACCCTGCTCTGGCTCTCCTCCCTAGTTTCCTGGTGGGGAAGAAAGGTTATGGTGTTGTCATCAGTGTCATTATAGCCACAGCTGACCACACTCAGTGGGTGATTTCTCACCGGTTCATCATCATCTCGCTTTGATTGGGACAGTGCTTTTGATTCAAACTCCCACAATCCTGCAAGTTGTTTATAGGTAGTAACCCCTGTTCTTGGTGGTGGTGCCGTGCTGCTCGATCGGGAATCATTCTTCTTAGCTGGGGGCACTGGGCAAAGGCTGGGTTGCAGATAGTCATCATTCCAAATGGGATAGAGGATGGTGAAGAGCTGACCAGTAGCAGCTGCTGGTTGTAAGTTTTAGGATATTGGCTTGACTGCCAGGTGTAAGTAATGTAAAGCTTATACAGTGGTTCATGGTGTGTGGACTCAACAAATTCTGTGTTGTTGCTCTTCTATTGTTAGCATGTGACTTCTTTCTCTGGGTCTATGGTGGGTGCTTTAGTTCCCATCACTGGGTCTGAATTTCAACAAGTGGGAAGAAAGGAAGAATAATAGGATTGCATGTGTCTTGTTTTTTGGATGTGACCCAGAAAGATGCACGAGTAACTTCTGCTCATGACCTTCATTGGCTAGCACCTGGTCACGTAGCCACATCTAGCTTTAAGGAAGATTAGGAAATGCGGTATTTAACTTGGCAGCCATGCACACAGATACTTCTATTATAACAGAAAAATTGACATGGGGTAGAAGGCTAGAAATCTCAGGCACAGTAATCTTCAAGGGATGGTAACAGGAGTAGCAACTTGGTGAGTTTCAGCATCTATGCAGCTGTGAATTCTATTTTTTTTTTTTTTTTGAGACAGGGTCTCATTCTGTCACCCAGGCTGGAGTGTAGTGGTATGATCTCGGCTCACCGCAAACTCTGCCCCCCCAGGCTCAAGCAATTCTCCTGCCTCAGCCTCCTGAGTATCTGGGATTACAGCTGTGTGCCACTACCACCTGGCTAATTTTTGTATTTTTAGTAGAGATGGGGTTTTACCATGTTGGCCAGGCTGGTCTCGAACTTCTGACCGCAAATGGTCCACCCGCCTCGGCCTCCCAAAGTGCTGGGATTGCAGGCATAAGCCACCATGCCCGGCCACAGCCCTGAATTCTTTATGGAATAATTCTCACTTGAGCAACACCTCATAGTTTCCCTCTTGTATTCTCTTATTTGTGTTCTTGTTTCTTCTCCCAGCTACTGTCCACTTTCTGGGAGTGGAAAAACCTGTCCTATAACAGGATCCTCCTGTACTGGGATTAGGTCAATGGCACTTTCTGTGATTTAAATCATATTTGTGCATTTGCTTCCATTTTTACAGGCTGGAGAAGCAGATTGATACCTAAACATATACTTCAAAGTAGAGTTTTGCCCCATCCCTTCCGCCAGTGTGTTAGCAGAGCCCTTTGCCTCTAAAGGGGAGAGCAGAACCCCAGTACCAGCTGCGATGCGTAAAAGAGAGACATTTAGTGACGCATCTTTTTTGCCTGGTGAGGGTATGCTCTCTAGAGATGCCTGTACCTTTTTAAGGAAAGCCAACCAAGCTGCTTTTGGTCTCTGTTTAAAATGTGTAAAAGACAGCAGCAGGTAACTTGCTCATTGTACATTCTCCAGACATTTTCACTCTCTCCCGGAGCTAAGGAGAAATGACATATTATATGTTTCTTGACAACTGATCTAGGAATATTCCTCCAAAGAACAGTTCTTGATTTGTACTTTATTTCATCCTTTTAAGAGATACACTACTAGGGAATTTAAAAGTTGTAATGTTTCATACGTGAGGGATTTAGGTTCTATCTGTCCATTATTTTGGCTGTGAATTGGTGACATTTGCTCATCTCCCAATGAAGCTCCAATATGTCCTTAATAAAACTCTGTGAACAGAGAGATCTATGCTCTGGTTTCTGCAGTGAATGAAGGAATTTTTAGCAGTTGTCCTACAGTGTTCTATATATAACTAATAGTTTAGAAAGTGAACTGTTTACCGTGGTGACTTATGGTTGTTTAGAAAAAGGAGGCCATTGGTGGAACTTTATTTTCTTATTGCATGGTAAAATTCACAAGGCCTTTCCTTGTAGAAACATGAGGAGAATTAGTACTAAGATGGTGTTAGGTGGGAAATGAGCAGCGGAGAACACCTGGGCCCCTTTCCCTTACAGTGCTCTCTTTTTTGGTCTTGAGCTGCTCGGAAAATGTGACTTTGGTCCCATATGTCAAGCATTCCCTGTTCTAGAGATGCACCAAGCTCTTGATCTCTACATCCTTTGCTGTGTGGATAAGGCTTGAGTCCTATATTTCACATCTTCAGAGGCTGGTTCTCCACTAGGTAAAGGGCTGGCCAATCTAATTTGTTTACTTTAAGAAGATTTTGAATGATGGAAACACCAGGCATTAGGTAGGTGGGCAGGGGAGATATTTTAGGGCAGATTTAGTTTTTCATTTGTTTTTTTACATTCCTTAGAAGCCCATTCCTTCCTGATTTCAGAGCTATGGACTCTCTTAGGAAAAATTAACCCAAAGATTAAATATTTTCTTATGAATGAGGAACTGAAAGAACGTTGAAGGCCAGATTCTTGAGGGTAAGAAAGAAAATTGGAAAATGAAAAGAAAGCAGCAAATGAAGTGGGTTGGAATAATCTGTGCTTTTTTTTTTTTTGCGTTTCTCCTTTTTGTCTGGTTTTATAAGAATCTATGTGTCTATTTCTTTCCTTCCTTCCCTCCCTTTTCTTTCCCTTTCTTTCTTTCTTTCTTTTTCTTTTTCTTTCTTTCTCTTTCTCTTTCTTTCTTTCTCTCTCTCTCCTTCCTTCTCTCTCTTCCTTCCTTCCTTCCTTCTTTCCTTCCTTCCTTCCTCCATCCCTCCCTCCCTCCCTCCCTCTCACTAATGTATCTAGAGGGAGGATTTCTCCGAGTATGGATAGTGTCAAAAACTTGTGCTTTACTATTTAAGTGACAATAAGGGCAGCAGGTGGAGGGAGAGATTTGATTGCTAAAATGGGGTTGATGTCAGTTGCACATTTATTGATCCATTTTGTTCTTGTATGACTAGTGATCTTTGCAGAAATTCAGCATTTTTGCAACAGAAATCTGAAGACTACCTTGTTCAACTACTTTATTTTACATATGATGGAAACTTAGAGGTCCAGACAAAAGTGTCTTGCATAAAGCCTTACAAATAAATTGCTGTTATTTATTTTAAAAAGTAAACCGTTTATTGAAAAATTATATACATTCAGAAAAGCACAAAAAACTTTCCAAAGTGACTAGATCAGTGCAACTAGCTTCTGGACCAAGCCATGGAACATTACCAAGCACCCCAGAAATCTCCCTCATGGCCACCTCTGTCACCACCAAGCTCTCCAATCCCAAAGGTAACCACTATTCTACTTAAAACACAGCATAATTTCTCCCGTTTTGGTGAATTTTATGTAAATGGAATCACATAGAATCTGTTCTTTTTTATATGGCCTTTTTCACTTAACGTAATATTTATAAAATTAATCCACGTGCATGTCATAATAGTCTGTCCATTTGCATGGCAATACTTTATTCTCATGTGTGAATGTAACTCTATTTACTTTCCTGTTGGTTTGTTTTTAATGACTGGAGATTCCTAGTGCTCATTTTTATGTTTATCCTAATTATATTGGCTCAGGACAGGAATATTTTCTCTAAATCAAACTACAAGGTCACTGTTTGAGGTTTAATCCTTAAGTACAACAACCAGGAAACAAGAGTATATATCACCACTGATTATCTGTTGTAGCAACTCCTTTTTTCTTTGGCCCTACTTTCTCTGACTATTGAGAAACTAGTTGAACAAGAGTCAGATAACATTTCCCCTCTTCCTTTTTCTTCTTCATTATGGAATTGTGCTATGAAGAATGGATTTACCATTTGGGTTTTGAACGATTCCTGCTGAAGTGGTTCATCTGGAGCAGTGACTTTCCTTGTTCATTCTTCCCAGATCCTCTGGGAGAATCCAGATGGTTCTTGCATTTTTAGTGAATGAACACTTGCTGTCTTGCATAAACTAATTGTCTAAAACTGCCCACATGCTTACCATCTGAAGTGGTGCTGTCTGCCATAGGTGTCAGGTTATCTTTCAGATGACTTTAAGAAAGAAGGCATTTTAGCCCGAAATCATGGCATCAAAATGTGTCTCTCCTGGTTAGCTAAAATTGACAGTTTTTAAACCCCTTTATATTAAAAATACAATTCATCAGTCTGAAAAAGAGAATCTAATTATTTAACTGTCAGCAGTTTTCCCCATGGAAAATAAACCTTAAGTGTTTACATGTAACTTAGCTAGATTTTAACCAATTTACTTATTTAACCAAGTATTAAAAAAATCTATACCATACCTTGTAAGTTCTTCTAAACTCTTTTTGTTTCCATTGATTTTGATTAAACAGGTAATTGGCCATTGATCAATAGGCACAATTCTGATGAGCTGGTTTGGCTGAGCTCCGGGAAGAGGGAAGCCAGAGGTTTGCTGACACTCCAATCTATCTTCGATGAATGCAAGCTGGCTAATAAATATTTAATGGGCAGTTGTTTGCAGTTTAATAGAATTAGATAATTCTATTAGAATCCTGTTTGGAGACCCACAGGTATCATATATCACAGTTGAAGACATGGTTAATAATTTAAGCTAAGTGACTAGTAATTAGAGAGTCAGATTAAGCAGGAACTTTTGGTTTTAAGCCACTTGGGAATTGGTGTGTGTGTGTGTGTGTGTGTGTGTGTGTGTGTGTGTGTGTAAGAGAGAATGCAACAGAGTTTGCGTCTGTGAGAGCAAAAGAGAACAAGAGAGTACAAGTGAGAGTGACAGTGAGTGAGCGAGAAAGAGAAACTAGATAGGATTTTAGCCTATAAACCATTACCCGGATTAGCTAATGCAGCAAGTCTGGGCCAAGCCTTAAACGTGATAACAAAGCATGAAGCCCCTGGGGTTTCTTTAGTATCTCATCCCCTCAGTTAATGAGATGGAAAATAGTTCACTGTTTATCTACAGTAGATTGAGCAGATGTTGCCAATTCCATTTTATGGAATGTAATCTTGGTGAGATTGTCTTCTGCCCATTACCTTTTCCTGGCCTTAGTCTCTCCCATACTCTTCTTGTTCCGGGGGTTGCAGATACCCTCTTGGCCATGGACTAGCTGGAAAAACTTCCAAGGAAGGACTTAATGGCCTTTTCAAGTTCAAAACAGTCACTTCTAATAGGGTGAAGCTGGTTGGTTGACAAAGATTTGCAAACAGCTCCAAAAATGTGAAGACTGTTGACTCTAAGGACTCCCCTCAAATTACTGTTTATGAAACTCTTCCAGTTTGGGATTTTATTTCATTGGTTTCATTTGCCTCTTTTATATTTCAGTATTCTACAAATATATTATAATTAGAGCATTGTGTCTAAGAAATGTAGTATGATTCTCATTTTAGTAAACCATTTCAATTATCCAGAACCATTAGGAAATTTGTATTTTCCTAAATTGTGATATCAGGAGAAAATGGCTAATTTACAAGCAACAAGATAGTACAGATAGAGTTTAAGGAAGGAAACAAGCCAGCTTAGGAAATGGCCTGTAGATTTGATAGGACTTACCTTTGCCTATAAGCTTTATAGGACTTACCTTTGCCTATAGCAGAAAGCTGGGCTTATAATGGGCATAAATATGTAAAGGCTTGTTTTTTATCATGCAAAAATGTCTACGGGTATGGGGGTATGTGGTATTTGATATTAGATCAGCGGTGCAAGGATGACAGGGTTGAAGTCTCTGTGATTCTCTTGACTTTTTTTCTTTATGTCTTAAGATGGCTGCTGCTACTCCAACCATCATGTTTGCATTCCAGGCAGGAACTTTCAGAAAGGGATAATGTTTCCCAGAAATTCTCAAGAGACATCTGCTTATTTCTCATTGACCCTTAGCTACAAGGGTCTCAGAAAACTCTATTTTTATCTATCCAGCCTCTATAAGAGAGGAAGGAGAGGGAAAGAAAACTGGAATAAGTGTTGAGTGAGCCAACCTACAATATTTGCCATATTCTTTAAGGAAATTTTCTTATTTTGTAGTAAGTATTGACTTAAGTCTCTCTTACCAGAATGTAAGCCCTTTATGATTTCTTTAGGCTCAGTATTCTAAATGGCAATTAGAAACCCTTGCACTATGGCATATAGAAGTACTTGACAAATTATGCTACAGTCTTGACAGGAGGCCGTAGAAAAGGGAAGAATTACTCAGAGAGGAGGAAGTCAGAGACAAAATGCTATATAAAAACACACATAGGCCGGGCACAGTGGGTCACACCTGTAATCCCAGCACTTTGGAAGGCTGAGGTGGGTGGATTACCTGAGGTCGGGAGTTCAAGACCAGCCTGGCCAACATGGTGAAACCCCATCTCTACTAAAAATACAAAAATTAGCTGGGCGTGGTGGCACACCCCTGTAATCCCAGCTACTCGGGAGGCTGAGGCAGGAGAACTGCTTGAGCCCAGGAGGCAGAGGTTGCAGTGAGCGGAGATCGTGCCACTGCACTCCAGGCTGGCCGACAGAGCGAGACTCTGTCTCAAAAAACAACAACAACAACAACAACAACAACAACGCCACGTATACACATAAACACACACATATTGACAATCAAATCATAAATAAATATTAGCAATGAAATCTCTCCCTCCATCCCCTGCCCTTATCTTCACTTAAATAGTAAAGCACAAGTTTTTTGATATATATGTATATGTGTATGTGTATGTGTATGTGTATGTGTATGTGTATGTGTGACTGGTATTATTCTATCTTGTGGCTGGTGTTAATTCTCTCTTGTCCTCAACAGATTTGTAGGAAACGGTGACAGAAATTTCCAGAAATGCTTGTGGCCATGATAACAGCCCAGACAATAACAATTTAAGGTTTGCTGTATGATTTGTTCTTTTTGGGTTTTTTGAATAGTACAAAGAAAGTTCAGACTCACCTAATGTTTATTGAGATCATCATGCTTAGCACATGTAAAAACATTGACTCAATTAGCATTCAAAATAATCCTGTGTGAGGGTGGTCATATTCTCTAAATAGCATCACCCTTAGCATCTTTTTGTTGTCTCTCACATCTGCTTTCCAAATCATTCTGGCTCTACCTTTGGAATACATCTGAGTCTGATCACTTCTTAGTTCCACCACCAGTACCTTAGCCTAAATCACTGTCATTATTTGCATAGACTACTTCAAGTGCCTACCGAATTATGTTTTTGCTTTCCTTCTGCACCTGCCCCTCTACCAAGTTCATAATCATTTTCCTACAGAGAAGACAGAGTGAAAACATGTGACGCAGTTAGTATATGAACATATTTTATGGCTCCTGGTATCCAATGTATGTAGATAGTGAAGGAGGAAGAAGGTTTGCAAGAAAAGTACCCATTGTGACAGCTCTCTGGGGGAACATGGTCATATGGGGGCAGGGGTCCACATGGTGTTCCTAAAGATCTTAGAGAAACCTAGTAGTCATAGGACAAAGAAAACACCACAGGCCCCCCAGCCCCATAAAGAAAAAAAAGCACGGAGGGAGATTGAAAAGGACGGGAGAATTTAGCCAGTAGCCAGACGGCTCCTTTGCAAGTTGTACACACTCCTCAATACAATGTGTTGACTTTGTACAAGGAGGCTGAGGTGCTGCTATCCATTCAGAAGACGCTGGTGTGCAATGAAAGCAGAACAGCAGGAGCTGTACAGTGGAGAGGACTCTTTTGATTTGTAGCTCCTTTTGTTGCATTCCTTTTGAGTTTTCTTGGTTCTGTGGTTTGGACCTCCACAGACCTAGAAAAGTTCAGAAACTTGAAAGGGAAAAAAGCCTTTCCTCCCCAGGGCTGGCTCTTCCACTTTCATCTGTGTCAGCTGTTCATGCCTCACAAAGATGGTGCTAAATGGAACTCTCTGCAACCTCTGGGTAGCTGGGAGTCCTTGTGAGATGTTATGTTCTGGGAATAATGGAGTCTTGTTACTACAGGCTGTTAACACACACCCTTCCATTGTTGAGAACAACATCCAGGCAGCCACAAAGCACATGGCTTCCAGTAGAATCCTAGGCTCGAGGATCTCTTGGGGAGTTTGGTTCTGTGAAAGGAACATAGAAACCCCAGGCCATTACTTCTAAGAGCTGTTTTTCTCTTTTTTTTTTTTCCTGAGTAAGTTGTTTAATTTTATCTTTATGTTTGGCAGCACAAAGAGTTTAAGGTAGCTGGTTGTAACAAATCGCCAAGTACAAGCGATTTCAGGGAATTTGCTTTGTAATATGGTTATATTATCTTCTTTGAAGGAATGATAAATATCTTTATCTACACAATAGGTTAGATATCTTACTTTCTGGAATTTTCTATGATATCATTCTACCTTGATTCTCATGGAGAATAAATATACGGAATATGTTCTAATATGCCACTATCACCTGTGTATGTAGGCATTGTTCTTCAGTCATGACGTTCTTTCCTGCTAAGCCTTGATGTGGCTGCCAAAACATTGTCAAAGAAGGTTCTAGGGAGTCATTCAATTGATTGAGATTTGTGCTTCAATGAAAAGATTGTCTAGGGGCAAAAATTCCCTTCAGGTGATTCTAAGATCATTTTAGCAAAGACTTCTCTTAAAGGCCAGACACTCATTTGCTTACTTCCAAGATAAGAAAAGCAAATATGAAGTTTCATAAAAAGTTTTAAATAAGCATGGGATAAGAGGTCTGGTGAATTTGGAAGAGAGAGATGTGTTTAATTTGTATTAGGTGTTTTTGTCTGCTAGGCTGATTATATAAAAAAAGCTACTTTAGCAAATCAATTATAGTTAGAATGACAGGGTACAATGGTAATAGTTGAGACAAGCGTCATTAGGCATTTGTGAGTGTGGCTTTTTTCTTCTCAAAGGTCTGCCTGGGTCACTGGAATAACTGTGAATTTGAGTCAAGGACCTGAGTAAGGAGGGGAAGGCTCATTTATCATCAGAGAAGGGCAAGACAACTGTCATCACTCCATTTGACTCCAGCTGTGAAGTGAACAGCTTATTTTGTTTTGATGATGATTTGAGAGACTCATCAATAAAATCACCAATACTCTTTTCAGTGCTGCAATCTGTCAGTGTGTGTGTGTGTGTGTGTGTGTGTGTGTGTGTACATGTACATACACGTGCTTATTTCAAGGAAAAAGGGAGAAAGCAGGAAACAGATTTACCTTTACATATATATGTATATTTACACACGATTTCCCATTCTCCATTCACTGATGGTAGGGACGCATCTCAGAATCTCCAGCTGGTCCATCATTGTCCCTGATGGTTAGCATATTGAGCTTATTTTGCAGCTTTATTGCTCAAATGTGCTGCGGTTGCCTACTGTGCTACTCATATAACCAAGCCCAGAGGATTCTTTGGAGGAAACAGTGATTAACTGCAAGAAATGGACTGAGTAGACTGTCATCAATCTCTTTCCTTTATTTTCAAGAGCTCATTTCTTGAAACTTAATCATTTCGAAGACTCTAAGTTCCTTGTAATGATTTCCTGGGTACTTACTAAGCTAATACACACTCAGCACTTAACGATGTGTGAGGCACTGTGCTAAGCTTCTCTCTTTCATGGATTCATTTAATCCCCACAACTACACAGTGGGGTAGGTTCTATTATTGTTTCCTGTATTAGTTAATGCAGACTTAGTGTTCTAACAAATAGACTCAAAATAAAGAATGGCTCAGATACCGCAGAATTTTCTTCCTTGCTCACATAACAGCACTGTGTAGGTGAAAAACTTAGAGAGTGAGCCGCATCCCCACAACTATTCAGGAACCTGGACTGATGGGGGCTTTGCATCTTCAACACATAGTTTTTTAGATGATCTTGAGGGATCATCTCCATTCCAACCAACTATTAAGGTGAAAAGAATATAGATAGAGTACTATCCAGGAGGTTTTTATGTGGCAGATCTGGAAGTTGCAGTCATTAATTTTGTTCACATGTATCACAAAGCTGCCATGAATGGTAAGGGTAACTGGGAAATGTAGTCCCTGGCTGGCCAATGACTCCCCTGAGACAACTCTACACTATGGGGAAAGTCTAACAGGTTTTTGGTGATCTGCTAGCCATCTTTGCCCTAGTCTGTCCTTCTGGCTGCCAAATTGCTAAGAGTACTTTTCTTCTCATATTATTTTCTAAGAAAGGCAATCTAGATTTCCATTAGTTATCATATCCAGGTCAAGGCTCTCTGGGTAATGCACTGCCCTACATCAAGTGTGGATAGATGTGATTCCTTGTGTCTTGCAACAGATGACCTGAAAGCTGAGTTATTTTCCTTCCTCTCACCATACACCCAATAAATAACGACATTAGGACAACACACATAGAAGCTCCATCCTGGAGAATGAAAGCATGGGAAACTCACAGCTATCACTGATCTATAACAATGATGAATCATTTCTAGCTTAGTATATGGTGAACTTTTCAAAAAAAGCCTTATGGACATCTGAATAGAATGCATCTTCTCTGTTTGATTCATATATATACACACATACATATATGTATAAAATATATATTTTGTATATTGAATTCATGTGTATATATAGTTGTATCTCTATAAATGTAATATTCACACTTATACATATATGAAGAGAGAATACATAATAATGAATGTATAATAGTGGATGAATCTTATTATTCAAATTATATCTTTAATTTTTTAAAAGTCAAAAAATTTTAAAAATTTTTTTGTAGTGATGGGGTCTCACTCTGTTGGCCAGGCTGGTCTCAAACTCCTGGGCTCATATAATTCTCCTGCCTTGGCCTCCCAAAGTGTTGGGACACAGATGTGAGTCATGACACTCACTTTTTAATACATTTTAAACCTTTTTCTTACCTGAAATAAACGATAGAGAAAAGTCTTTAAAACATATATACAACTTAACATAGTAATAAAGTAACCGTCAATACAGTCATCATGTAGATCTAGAAATAACCTTTCAGCAAGGCTGAAATCCCCCAGCCCCATTGCATCCTTATGACAACTTGTTCTATTACTGCTTATAGTAACTATTGTCTTGACTTCATGGAATTCAAATCTTGATTTTTCTATGTAGTTTTACCACCTAAGCATGCATTCTTTTTTTTTTTTTTTTTTGAGACAGAGTCCCACTCTCTGTCATCAGGC
Organism: Homo sapiens; assembly: GCF_000001405.40. Classification (NCBI taxonomy): domain Eukaryota; kingdom Metazoa; phylum Chordata; class Mammalia; order Primates; family Hominidae; genus Homo; species Homo sapiens. The sequence goes on from NC_000005.10 coordinate 163,626,383, forward strand.
TGCAGTGCAGTGGCGTGATCTCGGCTCAGTGCAACCTCCACCTCCTGGGTTCAAGCGACTCTCCTGCCTCAGCCTCCCGAGTAGTTAGGACTACAGGCGTGTGTCACCACGTCCAGCTAATTTTTGTATTTTTAGTAGAGACAGGGTTTCACCATGTTGCCCAGTTGGTCTCAATTTCTTGACCTTGTGGTCTGCCTGCCTCAGCCTCCCAAAGTGCTGGGATTACAGACGTGAGCCACCGCACCCGGCCGCATTAATATACATACTTTTAATCTGTCTGTTTTTGAATTTTATACAAATGGACTCATACCATGTGCATTTTTGGTGTCTTTTCTCATTAAACACTGTAGTATTTGTTGAATAGTGCTGTAGTTTACTTATTTTCATTTATGATTTGGAAGTGCTTATCTCTTATTCTAGCTGGTTACATTTTTAAGCCTTGCATTTTCAGGAAATATATTTAATCCTATGGTCTGCCACTTTGCCAAAAATTAATCGACAATGATTATTCTGTATTAACTATAAGACATTTTGATTTTTTTTCACTTACCTCTGCTTTTTTCAGTTTTAGAGTTATAACTTTAGATGATCTTGAGGGACCATCTCCACTCCAACCACTGTCAAGGTGAAAAGAATATAGATATAGTACTATCTGGGAGGTTTTATGTGGCAGACCTGGAAGTTGCTGTCATCAATTTTGTTCACATTTGTCACATGGCTGCCACGAATGGTAAGGGTAACTGGGAAATGTAGTCCCTGGCTGGCCAGCGACTTCCCTGAGACTTTCCCTGCGGAAAGTCTAACAGGTTTTTGGTGAACTTGCATACAATAAAATACACAAATTTTAAGTGCATAGCTCAGCGAATTCTTACAAATGTATGTTTCTGCGTAACCACCATCAGAATCAGGTTATAGAACTTCCTTGCACTCCAAAAGGCTTTCTCATGCCCTTCCCAGTCAATATCCACCTTCCACAGATATTTACTATTCTGATTTCTATTATTATAAATTAACTTTCCCTGTTCATGAGCTATACATAAATGAAATCACACAGTACATTCTTTTTGTGTTTGTCTTTTACTCATCAATATATTTTGGATGTAACAGGAGTTTTTTTTATCGCTGTGCAATTTTTCATTGTATGCATATATCACAACTGGTTTACTCATTGTGTATTATAATGAATAAAACTGCTATGAACAGTCTTGAACATGTCTCTTTATGGCTATATATACTTATTTATCTTGGAAATATGCAAATACATGGAATGCCTGGCTAACAGGGCAGCTGTATATTGAACTTTATCAGAACTGTCAGATAGTTTTGAAGAGTGCTTGTAACAATTCACACTCCAAGCGGCAATGCCTAAGAATTCCAGTTGCTTCATTCATATAATCACCAACACATAGTATTGTCAGTCTTTAAAAAATTTTAATCAGGGGTGACTAACTTTTTTGTAACTGGACAGATAGTAAATATTTTAGGCTTTATGGACCATAAGCCTGATGCAACTACTCAACTCTGCCATTGTAGTACAAAAAGCAGCCTCTGACAATATACAAACAAGTGTGCACAGTTGTGTTTGCCAACCACTGGTCTAAAATGTCTATTCCATCACTTCTGTATTCTAGCCCACGGATAAAGAAAGAAGAGGGAACTTGGACCATATTCTTTTCTTAAAAATCATGGCCTACAAGTTACAAATACTACTTCAATCCACACCCCATTGGTGAAAATTTTGTCACATGGCCAATTTGCAAGAGAGGATGGGAAATTATTCTTTTGCTGTGTCCTCTGGGATCAGCTAAAACTCTCAGAGGTTCTATCACAAGGTCAGGAGATCAAGACCACCTTAGCTAACACGGTGAAACACCGTCTCTACTAAAAATACAAAAAAAAATTAGCCAGGCGTGGTGGCAGGCACCTGTAGTCCCAGCTACTTGGGAGGCTGAGGCAGGAGAATGGCGTGAACCCGGGAGGCGGAGCTTGCAATGAGCTGAGATTGTGCCACTGCACTCCAGCCTGGGCGACACAGTGAGACTCTGTCTCAAAAAAAAAAAAAAAAAGAAAGAAAGAAAGAAAGAGAATGGATATTTGTGGGCAACTAGCTGTCCTTTCTACAGCAAGCCTTGTCTTATGGCAAATTTCTTCAAGTAAAGGAAAACTTATTTTTATTTCTTTTGTTATATGCCTTCTGTATGCTTTTCATCCATTTCTTCTCGAACTCATGGTAGACAGATACTGGCTCTCAAAGATCTATCTTCCATGACTATTGTCACTTCTCTTACAATTTCTACCTCTTAGTCCATTTGATAGATTTCTGACTTGTTAATTCGGTTTTAGTTGATGTCTATTTTGGTATTCAGTTGATTTATTTGTTGCTCTTTTTTTTTTTTTTTTTTTTTTTTTGACGTGGAGTCTCACTCTGTCGCCCAGGCTGGAGAGCAGTGGCGTGATCTCGGCTCACTGCAACCTCTGCCGCCTGAGTTCAAGCGATTCTCCTGCCTCAGCCTCCCTAGTAGCTGGGATTACAGGCGCCTGCCACAGCACTTGGCTAATTTTTTGTATTTTTAGTAGAGACGGGGTTTCACCATCTTGGCCAGGCTAGTCTTGAACTCCTGACCTTGTGATCCACCCGCCTTGACTTTCCAAAGTGCTGGGATTACAGGCATGAGCCACCACGCCCGGACTTATTTGTTGTTCTTTTAAAAAATCCTAGCAATTGTATTTTTAATTTTCCGATTCTGGTTACTGCTTTTCACAGTGTCTACTGTTTTGTAGCTGTAATGTCTATCAAGTATTTAAATTTCCATTCAATATTGTTCATCAGCCCTGTCTACAGGCATTGAATATTTTCTTTTTGGCCTAAGGTCTCTTTAATATTGTTAGTTCTTTCTCATAAGTTTTGTTATTTTGGGGCTTTTGCTTATATTTGTAAATTTCCATCTGGAATAAGTACTAGTACTTGGACGTGATTTCTTTAGCACAAGTGAATGTTGATGTTCTTTTTTTTTTTTTTTTTTTTTTGAGACGGAGTCTCGCTCTGTCACCCAGGCTGGAGTGCAGTGGCGCGATCTCGGCTCACTGCAAGCTCCGCCTTCCGGGTTCACACCATTCTCCTGCCTCAGCCTCCCGAGTAGCTGGGACTACAGGCGCCCGCCACCACGCCTGGCTAATTTTTTGTATTTTTAGTAGAGACGGTGTTTCACCGTGTTAGCCAGGATGGTCTCGATTTCCTGACCTTTTGATCCGCCCTCCTCGGCCTCCCAAAGTGCTGGGATTTCAGGCGTGAGCCACTGTGCCCGGCCGATGTTCTTTAGATAGATAATTCAGTTATGATTACAAGACCTCTGGCTCTATAGCTATGCAGGGCAGAGGAATAGAGAAACATTTTTCTTTAGGTGCATGAGTGGCTTGACTGTGGGATGCTAGGAGTTTCATGCAACATATCCAGTGTTCCAGTGCTCACTTGAGTTGTCTTTTGGGGGCATATCTTCCAGTTTATTTGGTGGTGTATTTGAAGCTTGTCCTTCAAAACGTATTGAAGTCAATTTGAAAGCAGGGACCAATACAGTTATTCTCCAGCCCTTTAATGAATTTTCTCACTGATGATCACGCAATTTGGGGTCTCTTCCAGGGCTCGTCCACTCTTCCTGATTTTCTTATTTGGAGATTATTCTGTAGTTTTGTTGGTCTTCTTTTTTGACGGCATGAAGTTGTATGTTCCTCAGTTCTTTAGGAGTTCACTGTCGATCATTTTTTTCGTTTTTCTTTTTTCTTTTTTTTTTGACATAGAGTCTTGTGCTGTTGCCCAGGCTGAAGTGCAGTGGTGTGATCTTGGCTCACTGCAACCTCCTCCTCCCAGGCTCAAGGGATTCTCATGCCTCAGTTTCCCAAGTAGCTAGGACTATAGGCGTGCACCACCACATCTGGCTAACTTTTGTAGTGTCAGTAGAGACAGAGTTTCATCATGTTGGCCAGGCTTGTCTTGCACTCCTGGCCTCAAGTGATCCACCTGCCTCAGCCTCCCAAAGTGCTGGGATTACAGGTGTGAGCCACCACGCCCAGCCCACTGTCAATCTTATGTCACATGTTTTTCAGCTTCCCGAAGTTTCTTAATGATTGGGTTGGTTAATGCATCCTCAGTGTTAGCTATCCTGAAGTAGGATCGCCTCTATCAGCTGAATTTTGTGTCAGAGCTGTTGGTGAATGAGCCAAGAATCTCAACAGGGTTCTTGGAACATACCAAAACTTTGAAAGCAAGGTCCTTTTTATGTTTCAATAACTTGTTTAAAAACCTTCCAGCAAAATGTTTCATTTTGCTGGAACCTTTCAGAAGGATAGTTTTCTGGTAAACTTGGGAGGTATATATCTAGAGTCTGGTATAGGAGGCATCATGGGACTGCCAAGGGAGCCAGTTCCATGCCAGCTAATGCCTGGAGAAACAGAATCAAATAACCAAGTGGGAGATGGAGGAGGTTTTGTATTTGAATTTATTACATTGTATTGTGTTTTGTTTGCTTTTATTTAAAATTAAACTCATCGACTGATTTTTAAATTGACTTTTGGCATTTTAAAAATATGTAGAGGAACAAAGCTGGGAATCTAACTATTGTTTGGATTCATTAAGAATTACTCTATTAAAGCTATTATTTCATTTGAAGTTTTTAAAATTAGGTTTATTGTTAAAAATAGGTTTGTTTTTCTTATTACAAAAATAATATGTGCCCATGGTAAAAATTTTTGGAAAATGCAGATAAATAAAAATAATTTAATCCACCTATCCAGAGATAACTACTGATAACGTTAAAAAATATATATTTTTAGCCCTTTTTCTCCCACGTGTGAATTAGGCTTAATAGAAATTGGGTAACTTACTGTCACATGGTAAATGGTGAAGCCATGCTATAAAACAAGGCACACTTACTCCAGAACCTTTGCTTTTAAACACTGCAGTGTATACTTGGCCTTATGGATCAATTCCTGGCCCTAGGAAGTCCTGGAAGATGTAGGATTATAGCAGTTGGTAGCCATCAGCAAGAAGCGGAGTGAGGAGGTTGATGACTGTGAAGCATTCTGTTAGGTCCCAAGGGGAGAGTTGCTTTTCGGGGGGTTTGTTTCTCTTAGTTTCCCCAAAGGCCTGCTCTTGTTGATGACTCATATCTTATTGGCTCTCAAATTCTACTCTCTTCCAGGTATCCTACAGAGCAGATTCATTATGTTTAGTTGTTTTATTTTTTTAATAGAAACTCTGCACTGTTGAACTCCATAGCAAAACAAAAAAACTCACATGGATTCTAATCTTGTAATTATCAATTTGGGTGCAGTTTTCTCCTTGAGATTGGGCAAAGGTAGAGGAGGCATGGTGCATGCCACAACCTTCTTTATTATCCTTGAATTTACTCCTCTTTTTGGCAGGCTCATAGAAGTTAGCAAGGACCCAGAGAACTGAGTTGCCATAACATCTCTCTAAGACCTGCTTCAGGCAGTGCATTTCAGCAAGGAGCAGACCATGGAGGATCACAGGGATCTGAATTTGCAGGTGATGGTCCAAATTCTTGGCTCCAAGTATAAAATACTGATTTCCCAACTCCTCTACCCAGGGCTTTCTTGCTCTGAGGCCAGGCTGGCACTGTTTGCATAAAGCACTGTTCCATTTGAAAACAGCTGTGCCTAGAAGCAGATGAGAGCCGACGAAGTAGGGATCATAAGTCAGCAGAACTGTGCTACAAAGGCATTTTCTGTTGCTGCTTTTGGTGGATGCTGACTAGGAAATCAGACACTCCATAATCAACAGAACTTTACATCGTGCATTTTAGAAGCTAAAAATCCTAGATAAGAGATCCTTAATGGTTTACTCCCCAGGACAAAAGCTGCAGCTCATAGATTCTGTGTTTTCTGGCATTAATGTTATGATCTCACTGAAATGAACATTATCAGAACTCCTTTTAAATAGTCTTTTTGAAGTTTGCTAACTTATGGTTATAAGACGTGCGTTTTCCCTCCCCGATGAATGTCAGTTGGTATCATCTTCCCTACTTGACTGACATAAGCTTTCTTAACCTGCTGTCCTTGAGATAAATCTTGGTGGGGAACTTAGTTATACTCAGCTACAAAAGAGATGCTATCATTTTGATGTGTTATGGAACTGAGGAGTGATAGTTCCTATCACTGGGCTGGTGAACACTCTCCTGCTTCCTTTACTGTAGTTGTTATAAATGATGTGTTTGGGGGGTTTCGTTTTAGTTTATTTTTACATTTATGAGTCTGTGGTCTTTCTCACAACAAAGTCCAGCTGTTCCTGCATGCCTCATCACTCCTAAGTGTGGTATAACAGAATTTGAATAAGAAATGTAAGGCAAACAAGAGTTTGTGATTTTATTAGAAATGCTGGATAAGACATTTTTTTTTTGAGACTGAGTCTCATTCTGTTGCCCAGACTGGAGTGCAGTGGTGCAATCTCGGTTCACTGCAACCTCCACCTCTCAGGTTAAAGCAATTCTCCTGCCTCAGCCTCCCGAGTACCTAGGATCACAGGCACCTGCCACCATGCTGGGCTAATTTTTGTGCTTTTAGTAGAGACAGCATTTCACCATGTTAGCCAGGCTGGTCTCGAACTCCTGACCTCAAGTAATCCTCCCATCTCGACCTCCCAAAGTGCTGGGATTACAGATGTGAGCCACTGCACCCAGCCTGTATGAGGCATTCTTAATACATCTCTTTTTCTCATATATCATCTGATGATTATCTTTGACTGTCATCCATACTCCTCTTCCACAGTTAACACAGTCATGAGTTATGGCCCTGAGTTTGACCTGAGCAAGAATCAATTCTTGATGCTGTTGACAAAGCTGCTTTTGGACTCACATCATGATCCACATTTCTGAGACAGAGTCAGACACTATAACCAGCCTATCATTGCATTGGATATAAAGTTTGGAAGCAGAGCCACCAAAAAGTGAAGACAAATCAATAATTTCTTATTCTTCAATAGTAAAGCAATTGTATCCTATTTCTGATCCTAATAGTACCCTTGGAGGCATCTTTACTGTGTGATCAGATCTCCTCCAATATCCCTCTTACTCCCCAAAACAAACTCAGGATGACAACCATATGAAATTACTATGAGGATGCGGGAAGACGTGGATTAGTCACTCAGTGACCTTGTTAGTATTTGTGTTTTGAGTTTCAATAGCCCAGATGATGTTTCATCCAGATGCTAACATCCAGACGCCCTACCAATTGATGTACTTATTTAAGTCAAGCCACACGATCCTATTTATTCCTTTGCCATTTTATTTGCTAGGATTTAAAATGAAATGTCCTCCTTTGTCTGAACATGCACTATCAAAGTTCTTCATCTATCAATAGCAACAGAAAATGCAACGAACAAACCTATTTCTTTTAGATCTATTTTTGTATGTCTCATATTCTCAATGTCATTTTGTACTACCCTCCCACACCTAAGTGGTCATCTGGCCTTCCCTAATACAGTTCTTTGATTTCATTGAGAACAGCCGTTTGTCACATTTAGGTGGCATATGTGCTAATCATGGTTTAATTGGTCTCTCCTGTTCTGTGATGGTACAGGTGTGATGCAAATAAAACCTATATGTGCAATGGAGGTGATTGGAATTACGGTCAACTGACAGGAGGCATCAACCTCTCGGTGCTTGAATAGCCAGTTTATTGGATCAGACAGGACAATTACCGCAAATGGCCTGTCAGAATGGTTAGAGCTCCCTACAGGCTTTGAGGCAGGTGTTTGTGCCTTCAGTTTAATCTCTTCCTTTCTAGTTCCAGGCTACATGCAGCCCTTGGCACCAGCAGAAACATTAATACAGAAATGTGGGGCACCTGCATACCCAGACCAGTGGATCTGGACTCACTGCCAAATGAGGCATTAGTTCCCTGTGATGCAAGCTGGATTTCTCCAGGGAAAAGCTAGCCTGACTTGCAATCCTTTATGGATCATCTGAGTATTTGATTTAGTAGAATTATGGATATTTAGAATGCTTTTTCCTGAGTTCTAGTGGAGCCTCTAGAGACTACAACATTCATATCTCTCATTTTATGATTGAGGATTTGGAGTTTCAGAGAGGTTAAGCGAGTGCCCACGGCTCAGCTAGTCAGTGGTAGAGTCAGGGCGAGGTTCCCTTGTAAGTCTTTGGACAGTGCTGATTACTGGACCCACAGCTGCCGTCTGAGTGTCCTTTCCTGACACCTGACAGTTTCTGTCTGTGGAAGGTACTGAAGCCTTAACAGCTTCTAGAGATTGGATAAGCAAAATATATACCTCTATAAAGAAAAGCTACAGACAATTGTTTTCTTCTTTAACTTCTCTCTTCTGCATGATTTTTTGTATCTCACTACAATCAAAGTAGTAGTTATTCTATGGTGGTGCTTCTCCTTCTGAGTGTTAAAGTTGTTGGAAATCTGTGACAATTCTGTTATATAGCTAGGCTCTATTTCATACAGTATGGTTGGTCATCAAAGTTTGATTACATAGAAGATGTGTGTTAGACATATCCCTATTTTAGATGTGCAGAAGCCGGGCTTCGGGAATGTTTAATAACTTTCCTAAGGTCACCTGAACAGTAAGGCTGGACCTGGGAGTTGAACTTGAGACTGGTTTCCCTGAAACCTATGTTGTTGACCTCATGGCACACAGTTCCTCAGAACACTGAGCCCTTCCATAGTCATTTAGCTTACTCCCAAGAGTGAATGCAGCCTTGGGATAATTTGTTTCACAAGGTTGAGGCATTTCTCAAAACTCCTCTTTCAAGATCAAAATTTGGATGGTAATTTTCCTCTTCTCAGATTATGCCTAGTCAGAAAATTGTTTCAATGATCAAACTTGTATCAAACTTGGGGTTAAGGAAATGGGCCTATGCAGTGGTTGGGGTGATGGTCCTGCCTTTCTGAGAAACCCCTGCCAAGGAAGCCGCTGCTAAGTGTATTAGATGTCAGTTCATTCTTCTCTGAAAGTAACTTAGTTTATTCTTTTTTGGGAATACAATGGTCCTATATTTTTATGTATTTATCATGTTCCTTATAGAAATATAGGCCTTGCTACTTAGGCCATTTATGTCAAAACTCAATAATTTCTAGACTAGTAAAAAAATTTGAGCATTGCTGTTTCATAGACAGTTATAAAGCTGTCAGCTTTCTAGATGGTACTTTTTTAATTTGTGGATTTTTCTCAGAAAACCCCGTGACTTGGAAAGCCACTGTTTTTTTTTTTAATTTTATTAACAGTTTGTTACACATCTTGTACCTCCTTCATATCCCTTGTGATCATGTACAATTCATCCAGTTTCTGTTATTCTCATTATAAAGGACAAAAGTAGTAAAGGCGGTAGAATGGCTTGTTAAGAAAAGCCAAGTTCTGGGAGAAATTGGCAGGCACCACTCAGTTATTGGTTTAGGAAAAACGCTTCTAAATCCTTGCTTGGATGGCAGGACTGAATGTGAAATTTGGGAGGCATTGTGATCCAGATGGTTTTCTTGTTCCCTTGTAAGTCTACATTTTCCTTTTTTTGGAGGATAAAGACAGAAAAAATGAAAGATAGCAAAACTCAGTTTTTAGTTAGCTTCATGTTGAGCAATTAATCTAGTCAACCCATGTTTTGCATGTACTGCTTTCCATAATTACCAGTTAGCATATTTGAATATACAAATGAGCACTGTCACCGAGATAAAAACATGACCAGTTTCAAAGCTTGGGGGACATGCACAAAGAATTATTGCCCTACGTAGAGGTGTTCAAGGCTGAAGATGACCTTGACCACCTTGTCTTTTCTGCCAGGAAGTGATTCAATGCCTATCTGCCTACTTCCCATGTCTTCCCAGGCCATTTGTTTTTCTTTATTTCTCTCTGTTTCTTCAGTATTTATCTAATTTTCAGATATTATCATAAATTGAAAGGGTTTGTAATTGCATCATTAGGAGGATGAACAGAGGGTTCAGACACTCACCCAAAATCTGCCTGTACCCTTTGATACAAGAGTTTTGGATTTTTAGTTTGAATGGGAGTTTGGTTTGAATTTTCAGTTTGAAGTTTTTTGGAGTTTAGTTTGAATTTTAGTTTAAATTGGAGTTTAGCTTGAATTTTTAGCTTCAAGTTTTTTTTCAGTATTGTTTGATTTTATTTTGAAGTGGAGCTTAGTTTGAATTGAATACAAAACAGTATTCAAGGAGGATGAGAGACAAACATGATGAAGGTATTGTTTTGTCTTTCTTCCTTGTACAATGAAATGAGTTTGAGTTTATTGGTTAATGGGGTGATGGCCAGAAGTTGTGGGGTTTACAAATTTTTGAATAAGAGGGTTCAGGAACTGACTGCCTTAGCAGTGGTGCTTCAGTGTCCAGGTGTCAGAGTATACACAGAATTGAAGAAGGGGAATTATTTAGGCACAGTTTGGCGCCTTTGGAAATGGCATCTTGAAGAATTATCTGGAGACCATGCTCTTGCCTAGACACTGGCATTAACAGGATGGAGGTGACCAGCAGTTGCTGGAGGGAGGCTGCCAACATTTGTGGAGGCGCTTGGAGCAGGAGAGGGAGAACATGTCAGTTTTATATGAGGACTATAGCTGACACATTAGTTTATGGACATGTGTGGGGCACCCCCTGGGAATGACAGTGACTGGGGAATATTTTAAGTACCTCTTAGATCCAGTGAAATTCAGGAATCAAGCAATTTTTCATTCATATGAAGGAAGAGCTTATTATATTCAAGTTAATTTGTTAAGTCTGGTGGGTGCACAAAACTGTGAAGGTCTGAAATGTGATCCTAGTTGCAAGCTAACAAGTCAGCCTACTACAGTTTCATGGTTGCTGGCAGAAGGCATGAGACTCCTGGTAGGAGACATATAACTTTATTATGCATAGCTTTGAGGCAGCACGAGCTTGATGTTTGAATTTGTTCTTTCTGTTCGCCATGTTCCATACAATTATGCAGAGGAGGACCTTGCTGAATGCTGCACATACAGTGGATTTGTGTCCCCATGGAAGAACCCACACCTAGGAAACCCTAAATTTTTAAAAGTGTTGTTAGCAAACCTGACCAACGTTTGCCTTCAAGGGAGATGCTATCTTTCTTAAACTGGTCGGGAAACAAATCTGCCCTTTGCTCCAGAAGGAGACACTACCTCTATCTTCCAAGGCTGTTGGACATTCAAACATCTTTGATGAGATAGTCTAGAAAAAAACTGTCAATGCATCTGCTCAAAAGATTTGCAAAAATGTGAGAGACTCATGAAGGGTTGTCTCCCAACAGTATATCCCAAAGACTCATATTTTTATAATTATTGTAGATGGTTAAACCTGGAATCATTGGAGTGATACCAGTAGAGGTAAAGTAGGAGGAGTATTTTGAGGGTGTGAAGGTCTGTTTATGTTTATGGAGTTATACCCACTGAGGGTTTTCCTTCTCTGGTCTATAAATTGGATAAATTTTTCCAAGGTGTTGTCTTGTCTTTCTTGTTATTTAGACTTATCTGGCACAAATGGTTAGGCTAGGTCTACAGTTCTAATAGGTTTTGCCTTTGGTATGCAAAGGAAAGGCTTCAGACTAAATGTTTCAGTGTCCATTAAAGAGTAGCGACAGAAACCAGAAATCTTATATCCTGTCATTGTGTAATATGCTGGATTGCTTCAGCAGATTAACTAGAGAATAAGGAAAAATCTACATGAAAGTGAGTGAGTATACGTGGAGTGTGTGTGTGTGTGTAGGGATGTGTGTGTGTGTGAGAGAGAGAGAGAGAGAGAGAGAGAGACGAATGGCCTTCTGTATTCAGAAAGAGCCTGTATTCTTTTGTACTTTTAACACTGTTGGTCATTTGTTTTTTCCTTGTAAATCTGTTTGAGTTCAACAAGTGGGTGAAGGATATGAATAGACACTTCTCAAAAGAAGACATTTATGCAGCCAACAGACACATGAAAAAATGCTCATCATCACTGGCCATCAGAGAAATGCAAATAAAAACCACAGTGAGATATGATCTCACACCAGTTAGAATGGTGATCATTAAAAAGTCAGGAAACAACAGGTGCTGGAGAGGATGTGGAGAAATAGGAACACTTTTACACTGTTGGTGGGACTATAAACTAGTTCAACCATTGTGGAAGTCAGTGTGGCAATTCCTCAGGGATCTAGAACTAGAAATACCATTTGACCCAGCCATCCCATTACTGGCTATATACCCAAAGGATTATAAATCATGCTGCTATAAAGACACATGCACACGTATGTTTATAGCAGCACTATTCACAATAGCAAAGACTTGGAACCAACCCAAATGTCCAACAATGATAGACTGGATTAAGAAAATGTGGCATATATACACCATGGAATACTATGCAGCCATTAAAAAGGATGAGTTCATGTCCTTTGTAGGGACATGGATGAAGCTGGAAACCATCATTCTCAGCAAACTATCACAAGGACAGAAAACCAAGCACCGCATGTTCTCACTCATAGGTGGGAATTGAACAACGAGAACGCTTGGACCCAGGAAGGGGAACATCACACACTGGGGCCTGTCATGGGGTAGGGGGAGTCGGGTGGGATAGCATTAGGAGATATACCTAATGTAAATGACGAGTTAATGGGTGCAACACACCAACATGGCACATGTATACATACGTAACAAACCTGCACATTGTGCACATGTACCCTAGAACTTAAAGCATAATTAAAAAAAAATATATATATATATATAAAACACACAGTTGGTCTAGTGTAGCTCACTTGAAAGGCATTTTAAAGCTCTTAGATGTGCTCTCTCATACTTTCAAGACCTGCAAATGATAACCCAAGATTTTTGATGATGATGATATTTGGTAAACATGAAATTAACCTTCAGAAACATCACTTCTTAATTCAGATGCTGCTTAACTCAAAGTTTCAGTATTACAGAGTCGTGAAGTTTTTGTAGGTAGGAGGAGAAAACTAAATCAGTGTTTTTAACTAAGTATTTAAAAAGAAAGTGAAAAGAGGAAAATTGTATGTTTTACAGGTAGAGCATCTTAGGCCTTTTCATAGCTAATCTGTTTGGAATTCTTTGACTAGGGTGGAATAAATGTATTATATGAGAGGCTCTATTGAGCACAGTGTGATGGTCGCTTATTCTGACTGTGGCTGTGTCTCACATATCACTGTACCCAGTCAATACTCTATTATTGCAACTTAAGTGGTTTGCTACAGTGTTCCATGCACTGGGTATTAGAAGCTGTGTTCCCTAATTTCCTAAGCAATAATGGTATAAGCAGTATGCATTTTTTATTATAAAAACTAACAATTGCCTCCTCAGAGCTAATGGTTTTTTATATACTATTGGTACCCAGGAGATTTAGTCATAAATCAGAGCAAAATTAAATATGAAATGTGCTAAATTTTGGCAGAATTAGATTTTTCTTTGTAAAGGTTGAAGTCTTCAGTTTTTCTTGAAATCAAACTTTGGTTTTCTTCCTGGTGCCTTTATTTCTATTTTACTTAAATGAGTGTGTTGTTTCCTGATTAAAATTGATTCAGAATAATTATAACAATAATAGTTCATAGCATGGGCCTGGGTAGTATTCCTTGTAGCTCCTGGAGGCTGTCTCCATGCAGCCTTTCTGTTATCAGTTTTTAAATATGAACCATATTTGAGATGCAGAAGGAGTAATGGCTATGAACTACATGACAAAGATTGTCACGTGAAAGATCATTTCTGTCTTCAGATGA